>NC_000008.11:362285-664570 GCF_000001405.40 Homo sapiens | reverse complement strand
TAACAAAAAAACTTAAAAGACAAATGTGAGATGGGCTTAGAGTTAGTTCTCTGGGAACTTGAAAGACATTTATGCCATATTATTTATTCACGTGTTTGTTCCTGGTGGGCAAGATGCCATCTGAGGCTTCAGATGAGAAATTGGGGTAAAATGGAAATTTTTCACTTATTTGCAATTATATATATCTTGAATTACTACATAAAACTTGATTCTGTTTCTCTACTTATTGTAAAAATTGAAAATGGACATTCTGTTAAGTTAAATGTATAGTTTGAAGCTCATATATTTTTATGAAGTTTTGAATCACCTTGTATCTGAAAGTCTCTGCTTTAAGAATGCTTTCTGGGTATTAAAATGTTCTAGTTTAAGTAGTTTGAATATAGTTGAGTTTTTTTTCTCTTCTCTACTTTGTGAATCATATCAGGTACCTGTTTTTCCTGTTTCGATTTTCTTTTCTGTCATAGAAGCAGTCGTCAGTTCTTGGTATTACTAAGTGTTAAAAGCATCAGTCAGGCCGGGTGCGGTGGCTCACGCCTGTAATCCTGGCACTTTGGGAGACCGAGGCAGGCGGATCACAACGTCAGGAGATCGAGAGCATCCTGGCTAACACGGTGAAACCCCATCTCTATTAAAAATACAAAAAATTAGCCGGGCGTGGTGGCGGGCGCCTGTAGTCCCAGCTACTCTGGAGGCTGAGGCAAGAGAATGGCATGAACCTGGGAGGCAGAGCTTGCAGTGAGCTGAGATCGCACCACTGCACTGCAGCCTGGGCGACAGAGCGAGACTCCAGCTCAAAATAAAAAAAAAAAAAACCATCAGTCAATTGGTACAGCATTTTGTGAGGGCAGGTGCCTCTATCTATGAAAGGGTTTTATTGTGGTAAAACATACATACAGCTCATTTTAGTCATTTTAGGTGCATGATTCAAGGTACCACATGCGTTTGCTGGGGCCACCACACTCGTCCTGTTTGTGGTGAGAGCATCCCTCTGTGTCTTCCAGGACCCATGTGTGCCCTGTCCCGCCTGTCCTGCCTGTCCCGCCTGTCCCGCCTGTGAGCATCCGTGTCCCAGACGCTGTGTGGGTGCCAATCTCTCTTCCTCTAGGGAGTGGAACTGCACGGTCGCCTGGTGACGGTGATGTTCTGAGGGGGTGTCAGGCGGGCTGCTGGGCTCCCCACTCCCCCAGTGCTGATCAGGGCCATTCTGACGGGTGGAGGTGGCTGCTCAAGTGTTGCTGTCCTCTTCTGTCTGTCTTTGGAGAACATCAGCCCAGACCACCCCTGCCCAAAGCTGATGCTCAGATGGGCAGCATGGAGGGAGGGGAAGGAAGCCTTGGCGTCCCCGCCGGCCCCTGTCCTGCCACTTCCCTCCAGGTCCCTAAGAGACGTCTCTTCTACATGTTGGAACCTTCTGGAAGCAGGTGAAACAGGGATGTTTCTGGCTCTGGAAATAGTCCCCTTGGATCTGGTGGCCTTGCAGTGTCCCCGTCTTGATGCAGGTTGTAGGCCCTGGAGCACAGGCATGTGGCAGCGGACGCCACTCTTCCCAGCGTCACCCGAGGACAGGACGCAGGCTGCTCCAGACAGGGTGTTCCCAGGAGGCCACACATGAGGCAGGAGCTGCAGGCGCCGCTGCTTCACCGTCTTTTGGCATCAGGGGAGCTGTGGTTGTCTGCAGGGCGCCCTGCCCGCCCCTGCCCTCCCTTCTCTTCCCCTAACTCCGAAGTCATTGTGAGGCGTGGGAGTGGCCAGGAGCCGCTCTTCCCACAGTAAGAACCTGTGCTGCAGTGGTGTCCAAGCCGGACTCCTGCCTCCATCGAGAACCTCCATGGCCTTGTGGAACCTGGGATCTCAGAGGCACCAGCCTGCAAACCTCCCGTTTAAATGCTTCTTTTTTTATTTTTTATTTTTATTTTCTTTTTGAGATGGAGTCTCGCTTTTGTTGCCCACGCTGGAGTGCAATAGTGTGATCTCGGCTCACCTCAACCTCCACCTCCCAGGTTCAAGCGATTCTCCAGCCTCAGCCTCCCAAGTAGCTGGGATTACAGGCATATGCCACCACACATGACTAATTTTGTATTTTTAGTAGAGAAAGGGTTTCTCCATGTTGGTCAGGCTGGTCTTGAACTCCCGACCTCAGGTGATCCACCCGTCTCACCCTTCCAAAGTGCTGGGATTAGTGGTATGAGCCACTGCACCCGGCCTAAATGCTTCTTAATTAATAGCACATGCTTTGCAAATATGAAAATAAATTCAATATTGGCAGACTCATAATTTTACTATTCTTAACGTCCCATTTGTGTCTTTTAATGATGAACCATCTCCACCTTCTCCATCCCCTGCAAGTGAATGCACCATTGCAGGGGTGGTGGGTCATGTGTAGCCTTTTCCTGGGTTGCACAGAATCCCTGCCCTTGCAGGGGATGGTGGTTCACATGTGGCCATTTCCTGGGTTCCACAGAATCCCTGTAGGTTCCACAGAATCCCTGCCATTGCAGGGCTGGTGGGTCATGTGTGGCCTTTTCCTGGGTCCCTGTAGGTTCCACAGAATACCTGCCATTGCAGGGGTGGTGGGTCATGTGTGGCCTTTTCCTGGGTTCCACAGAATCCCTGTAGGTTCCACAGAATCCCTGCCACTGCGGGGGGTGGTGGGTCACGTGTGGCCGTTTCCTGGGTTCCACAGAATTCCTGTAGACTCCCTTCTTGCTTCTGTGATCCTGTGGGGCTTTACTTTGCGAAACCTTCTGCATTCACTTTCCTGACCCTGAGAATATTGAGGAATAGAGGTACAGTCGAGCAGGTGGGATGCTCAGGGTTAATTCGTTTTGTGTATCATTCTGATTCCAAAAAGGAAAATGCATCTTCTACAAAACAAAAGCAAATAAATCTTGTCTCTAATATGTCAGCATAGATATGATAATCTGTTTATTCCACTGTGTTTGAAGTTAGATAATAATTAGATCAATTTATCTTCTACAATAGTGCAAAATATTCAGTTCATGTAATTTATTTTCTGTAAACCACGTCAATTAAGACAGGCAGAGAAGGAAACAGTCAGGAGCATGAGGAATTGTCAGGTTGCCAATATTAAGACAGTTGTGCCTAGAAGGAAAAAAACACAGAATATCTGAGCCTGTCAGTACTGCTTGCACCCTGGGACCTCCGCCTGTGTCTGCAGAGCCTGAGAAGAGAGGGCTTGCACAAGCCGGTCTCTAATTTGTTTCCCAGGCCCAGCTGCCGCCAGGCTCCAGGGCAGAACTGTGGTGGGTTCAGGAGACTCCAGGGCCCACAGGGTCAGTTCTGGGCTTTGCTTTTTTGTGCAGCTCTTGCCCCGAGCGCTCTCCAGGTGACATGTCCTCTCATCCCGGGGCTCTTCAGAGAATCGCAGGAATGTGTTCCACCCGCTCCAAAATAAGAAATGTGCATGCATCTGCCCCGCCTCGCACCAATATTGGGTACAGCTTTGAAGGGGTCAGAAATTCCTCAAAACTTATTCAACAGGATACTGTGGTGCAGTGAGTTCCCTACCAGGTTACTTAGGGCTTTGGTCCACTGCGTGAATCCTGAAGGCTGAGAGCGAGCCAAGGTCACAGTGCCTGGCGGAGGAGCAGGTATCCCAGGAACCCGGAGCTAGCCTGAGAACCGCCCAGGACCCAGCGGAGGAGCAGGTATCCCAGGAACCCGGAGCCTGCCCGAGAACCACCCAGGAGAGCAGTCCCATATAGCTCATGGCCGGCAACGAGACAGGGAGCACAGGTGGAAGCAGCTCGAAAGCTGCGGATCTTAGCGCTGTCCTGAGGCTGCCCAGGCAGGCTGTGTCCCAGCCATTCTTTCATCTCTTGCTCCCTCCCAGTTTGGGCCAGGGCCAGGGATGGAGGAAACTGAATTCCAAAATTTTTATTGTAAAAAAAATTAATTTTCTTCTTCTGCATAACAAATGACCACAGGCATAGTGGCTTGAAACGACACCATTTGCCGCCTCGCAGTGTCTTTGGGTGGGGATTCAGTACAGCCCGGGCTGGGACCTCTGTGTGGGGACTCACGGGCCGCCAGCAGAATGCTGTTCGTGTGGCCGCAGGACAGAGGCTCCGTGTCCTTGCTGGCTGATGCTGTGGCCGCTGCCACACCTCAAGGCACCAAGTCCCAGCCCCGTGGCCCCTCCAACCTGGCAGCCGACCTCAGGGTGGCAGAAGAATCTTCTGGTATGGAGAACCTCTTTTTAAAGATGTCATTTGACTCCATCAGGCCTGCCCAGGTAATCTGCCTGTTGTTAAAAGTCAAATATTACAATAACAACTGCCAAGCCTCATCACAGGTGATGGCCCCAGGTGTGTGTGAACATGAGCACATGCTGGAGGGGAGGCCATGACACTGGGCAGGGGCCAGGGGGAGAGTCGGGGAAGGCCCTGCCTTCGGGAGCTCAGCCATGACCCCGGGCAGGGGCCAGGGGGAGAGTCGGGGAAGGCCCTGCCTTCGGGAGCTCAGCCCCACCTCGTTGCCTCAGCACAGGCCTCTGTTCCACTGCAGCTGTATCTGGCACAGTGAGTTGATGAGGGGCTGCCCCCTTCCCTTGGGGGGCTTGAGGCCAGGATCCTTGTAAGGGATTGAATGAGGACACAAAGGAAGGGAGACGGACAGACAGGGAGCAGCCTGCCAGTGGAAGCCTCGATGGTCACCCCCTCCCCAGGATATTCAGTGCACACTGGAGATCTCGATGGTCACCCCCTCCCCAGGATGGTCAGTGCACACCGGAGATCTCGATGGTCACCCCCTCCCCAGGATGGTCAGTGCACACTGGAGATCTCGATGGTCACCCCCTCCCCAGGATGGTCAGTGCACACCGGAGATCTCGATGGTCACCCCCTCCCCAGGATGGTCAGTGCACACCGGAGATCTCGATGGTCATCCCCTCCCCAGGATGCTCAGTGCACACCGGAGATCTCGATGGTCACCCCCTCCCCAGGATGCTCAGTGCACACCGGAGATCTCGATGGTCACCCCCTCCCCAGGATGCTCAGTGCACACCGGAGATCTCGATGGTCACCCCCTCCCCAGGATGGTCAGTGCACACCGGAGATCTCGATGGTCACCCCCTCCCCAGGATGGTCAGTGCACACCGGAGATCTCGATGGTCACCCCCTCCCCAGGATGCTCAGTGCACACCGGAGATCTCGATGGTCACCCCCTCCCCAGGATGCTCAGTGCACACCGGAGATCTCGATGGTCACCCCCTCCCCAGGATGGTCAGTGCACACCGGAGATCTCGATGGTCACCCCCTCCCCAGGATGGTCAGTGCACACCGGAGATCTCGATGGTCACCCCCTCCCCAGGATGGTCAGTGCACACCGGAGATCTCGATGGTCACCCCCTCCCCAGGATGCTCAGTGCACACCGGAGATCTCGATGGTCACCCCCTCCCCAGGATGCTCAGTGCACCGTGGAGATCTCGATGGTCACCCCCTCCCCAGGATGGTCAGTGCACACCGGAGATCTCGATCGTCACCCCCTCCCCAGGATGCTCAGTGCACACCGGAGATCTCGATGGTCACCCCCTCCCCAGGATGCTCAGTGCACACCGGAGATGTGGGGACCCTACCAAGATGAGATGATGGAGTCCCAGCTCCTGAAATCCAGAGCCTGGTAAGGGCCCCTGGGTCGCAGAGCAAGTGAAGGAAAGGCAGAGGAAGGACGGCCAGGGAGGAATTGGGGAGGAGCCAGCTCGGGCCCCATAGCAGGATAAGCAAAGCCCACAGCCTGGCATCCTCATGTCCTGCAGGTGGAGTCCCCGATCGAGGCCTTGCCCTGAGGCTGTGGACGACACCTTCTCCCTGAGTCCTCTTGTGGCCTTTGTTTGTACCAGGGGCATCTCTAGGGTCTTGTCCTCCTCTTGTCCGATTGGGTCAGGACCGCCCTGATGATCTCATTGAGGCCTGGTCACCTCCCTAAGGTCTTGTCTCCAAATGCAGCCACATCGGGGGCCAGGATCAACATGGACGTGGGCCGCGGATAGTTCAGCCCATGACACAGGAGGAATAATTTGAGGAGAGGAACAGGAGAGAACTGTGCCTCGGGGATGGGATGAGGGGTTTGGGAAGAGGGGTTTGGCCCACAGTGCCAGGTGTTCAGGGAGGTCGAAGCCCCTGCTTTACACTGGACTGGACTCGGGGCCTTGTGTCTCCACCCCCTTCCGGGGCTCTGGCCTGACCACCCCACAGGGCTCACAGTAACCCACCTCCCGGGAGGCCCAGTGGAGGCCAGGCTGGCAGTCTTCTTCCTGCAGGGAACCAGCCTCTCTCCCCAGTCACCTGGGGGCAAATGAGAAGGGGAGGGGCAAGCAAGGGGCCAGGCTGGGCCCTCCTGTTCCTGTGGTGAGGGTGGGTGAGGAAGTCCAGGAACCACAGTCCAGCTGCAGCCGAAGCCCTGGAAGCCAAAGACTGGGGCCCAGCCAGAGGCCACTTGGGCACGAAGAAGGGCAGCAGCAGCCGGAGCTAAGAATGGCCTCTAGAAAGGGGCCGTGCCAGCCTCTCTCTCAAACATGGTCCGTGGGGATCGGGTGGGGCCCCTCCTGGATGCCCCTTGGGGGCTGGTGGGCCCAGCCTTGTATTTGGACATTAAAGGCAAAGGAAACGCCAGCCAGTCAAACCACCTCTGCCATTCTTCCTCTTCTGGGAGTGGCTGGGGTTGAAGGCAGTGCTCGTGTTCATGGCCCTTTCACTACGTCTGATTTGTCGCAGATCCAACAGCATCTGGGATCTTCCTCTGAAAATCCCTCTCATTATCGCAAGGAATTCCTGCACATTACTGAGTCCTTTAATTTAACATGGCATGACATTTATATCATTCTAATCTCCACCCTCACTCCTGATGAAAAGGGCGCCCCTGGCGTTCAGCTGAAACCCACGCAGATGAACTCCATAATCAAGCCCCTGTACAAAATCCAGTGGCCAATGATGCATTTCCCCACAGAGACCCATACTAGATTTACCATCAGGGAGACAATGGCGCCAGTCTGGACTGACGGAGCAGGAGCATCATCATCTTAGACAAGCATCGCCCCTGTGAGTTCTACTTGATTCAAAACTGCCTAAATCCAGCCCCAAAACATCAGCCTAATGGCTAATGTCAGTGTGACCTTAAATCACAAATGAAACCTCTGACCAGAGACATGCCAACCCCGAGATAACCTCCCTTCCGACCAGAGACACTCCAGTCCTGCAATAAGACTCTCCTCCACACAGAAACATTCCTAGCCTGCAATAAGCTCCCCTTCCCGGAACTCTTAAATACCCTTAGTCTCCAAGAGAAAAGGCTCCTGACCGAAATCGGGCAGAAGCCCCTCTCAGGTTTATTCTCCAAAATAAACCTGTCTTAGACTGTTGAGCTGCTTTTCGTGTTTCTTTCTTCTTCAACTCTTGCAGTATCTATCACCATTATTGTTACAGTTTCATATTCCACATTGCAACCAACCTTTAAGAAACTACAGTTTGTTGAGTTTTGCTGTTGTATAAAAAAATCCATATTTATTTGAGAAAGCTATTAACTTACTCCCCTCTTCCCCAATCTATTAAACATTTGCTAAGTAATAGTAAAATTGTTTGCTCTTAAAAATTATTTTGCACTAAAATGCATTATTTAGGTTAACATATAAGGAGTGTATTGTTTATCTTAAATGAATTAATCCATAATGTTTAAGTTTCTGCTTTGTTTTCTAGGCTGGAGCATGCTGGGGGGCTCCCCGGGGGCTCTTCAGAGTGAGGGAGTCCTGAGGCTGGGAGTCTGGGAACCACTGCTGTGCACCGTTTGGCACAACACTAGCTGAGGCCCCTTGTAGAAATGTTCTTCCCAGACCTGCAGCAGGAAAGACACAGCGTGAATGGGGATGTCCTTTATTCCCAGAGGCAAGTAAGCCCCAAAATTCCACACTTGTCAGAGTGACAGGGTCCCAGGGGCAAGCCCTGGCTGATTTCAGCCTCAATGCGAACAAGATCGTTAATGGAGGATGACGCATTACAAAGGGCAGTGTAATCCATGGTGCATGGTCCATAGCACCAGAGCACAGGTGGGGAAGGTCAGGAGGAGAAAGCTCTACTTCTCACAAAAAAGTGGGGCAAACAAACATAGAGATGACAGAATTAGCAAAGTGCTTTGTCGTCCCCAAGGGAATAATAACCAAACCCAACAAGGACGATCCGGATGTTAAAATCACTGGGTCAGATATTTTGGGGAAGGGGAGAGTCCCGAAGCCTCAC
This sequence comes from Homo sapiens, assembly GCF_000001405.40. NCBI lineage: Eukaryota > Metazoa > Chordata > Mammalia > Primates > Hominidae > Homo > Homo sapiens. Next base: position 656,320 of record NC_000008.11, on the reverse strand, counting down.
CTTACCCCACAGGTGACTTGCAGATTTCGAAGGGGAGGAGCAGCTTTGCAGGGGGGATCCAGCTGCTGGCACTGAGCACCCAGACGGGAGGCTTGTAGGGGAAAACAGAAAAAGAAGGAACCGGGGGAGTTTAGAAGATGCTGTGGGGATGAGGGGCATGTCCCTCGAGGACCGTGCCAGCAGCGAGGCCATTCGGAGAAGACCTGGGAATGGCTGTGGTCACAGGCAGTTCAGACCTGGCGGGCAGGTCTACAGCCTGATTTGGGGAAGTCTTGAGGCCATGAGTCTGCAGGCACAGAGACAGCCCTGCAGCAGCATCTGCGGAGGCTGAAGAGGGAGCCCCTGGTGTCCACCTGGGCAGGGGGAGGGACCTGTTGCGATTGGGTGTAACTGCGAGAACAGCATAGTGGATGGGCGGTCTCTGCACCTGCGTGTGTGGAGGGAAAAGTAAGACAGGAAAGGATGTGTCATGAAAAACGTGGTCGTGAGTTAAAAATGAGGCACATACAACAATAGAAATTCTGCAGGAATGTATTTAAATAATACACTGTCTACCGTGTGTGACTGTGCATGAGAGAGGAGTGGAATGGAAGTGGGGCACAGAGGAAGGAAAGAAGGAAGGAAGGAAGGAAGGAAGGAAGGAAGGAAGGAAGGAAGGAATGCAGAGGACAGAATGAATACAGATAAGGAGTGAGCAAGCCAGAGAAAAGGCCACACATGCCCCCAGAATGATCCCCCGTGATGAAGGTTGCTGCGTGATCCACTCGGCCCCTGGGTCCCAGCAACTGACCACAGCAAAGAAGAAAAGAGGAGCTCCTGCAAGGGCAGGTGCTGGTGCACCATCGTCCAGAACACGAAACGCACACGTAGGTAAGAACGTAAGTCTATGTGAGAGACGGGCAAACAAAAACGAGTGAGACTCCTATTACATACGCTCCTGGGTGTGCTGACGTACAGAAATCCTCTCTGCAGGCTTAATTACTATCTGCCGTGTTGGATTTGCTTACAACCTGCCTGTGGCATGAGGGCGTCTGAGCGTAAGAGTGAAAGAGAATTTTAGAATAAGTTGGACAGCGTCTGTCTCCTGTCTAGAGACAGCCAAGTCCTTGCTGTTAGAAAGGCGAAGCTGAAGAACAAAATCAAACGCGGCTGCTCTTCCTAGTCCCTTGGGGCCGACTTGGCGTGGGCTTGGCCTGAGGTCCCGTCGTGCATCTGGGCTCGGCAGAGACCACTCGGGGTTGGTTTTCCTTTTTGTTGTTCTCCACGGCTTTCTGTAGTGAGCTGGGCTGAAGGGAATTTGTTACTAAAGATAATTAAAGTGCCCAAGTGAGCACCAGGGCGCAACTCCCCAGGGGGCTGGCGTCCAGCCTGAGAGGATTTGGTCACCGCAAGCAAAGCCATTGTGACCCGCTGTCTCCAGCTTGGCAGGTGTTCCCGCCTCAGGTTCCTGCTGGGGGGACAGCAGCTACTCGGGGGGTCCTCTCCTGGGGCAAACCCATGGTGTATCTACCTGCACTGCCACCATGGACACCACTGCCTGCCCCTCCCAGCAACGGGGACACTGTGGTGTCAGCCCAAGTCCTTGTGGGGACATCTCCATGGCAGCCTGGGGGGGATGTCACTGTGGTGGCCTCGGGGACGTCACCTAAGCCATCTCTGGTAGACAGTGGGAGGTTCCTTTCCATCTTTCCCTTCAGTGTGTGTCTTTACATAGTTGCCAATATGGATCCATAATTTTTTAATTTATTTAAAACTGTAGTCAATGTTTTTTGATGTATGGCATACATATAGAAAAGTACATAAAACATAATGTCACAGCTCCTTGAATTCTCACAAAATGCCGAGACCCCTGTAACCCACACCCAGATCAGGAAACAGCCCTCCCCAGCACCGTAGCCCCTCGAGGAGGCCCCGTCCCAGCTCTGCCCCTCCAGTCCCTCCAGGTTTTCTCTTACCAAGCCTCTGAAGGAGCTTCCTGGCCATCCATCCTAATGGTAGCACAATATGCTAGTAAGTTAACGGGCCTCAATTAACTTAGCTATTCCTTTATTTGTGAACGGTTACGTTGCCTTAGGATGAACAGGGTCTTAAAGCCTTTGGCGTATTTTGCATTATTTTCTTATTTAGATTGAAAGAACTGGGGCTTTTGAGGCAAAGTCTACTATACTTTAAAAAATACATTTGTATTGTGATACACATACTGTAAAATTTACATTTTAAAATGTAGAGTTCCCAAACCTAAACTCTGTCCCCATCAGACAGGAACTCCGCAACCCCTCCCTGCACCTGGCAGCCACCAGCCATCCTACTTTCTGTCTCTGTGGCTCCGACTTCTCCAGGGACCTCTGCTCAGTGCCACCCTGCGGGATTTGTCCTTCTGTGACCAGCTCATTTCACCCAGCATAACATCCTCAGGGTTTCTCGTGTTATAGCCTGTGTCCAGATTCCCCTGCGCGCATGTGGCAGCCACCAACCATCCTACTTTCTGTCTCTGTGGCTCCAACCCCTCCGGAGACCTCTCCTCAGTGCCACCCTGCGGGATTCGTCCTTCTGTGACCGGCTCATTTCACCCAGCATAACATCCTCAGGGTTCCTCGTGTTATAGCCTGTGTCCAGACTCCCTTCTTTTTTAAGGCTGGATCATATTCCATTTGTTAAAAGAAACACTTCAACTGAATTAAATTTAAAGGAGTTTAATTGAGCAATGAATGATTCATGAATCGGGCAGCGCCAGAATCACAGCAGATTCAGAGAGACTCCAGGGATTCCTCGTGGTCAGAACAAATATATAGACAAAAAAAAGGGGAAGTGATATATAAAACTCGGCAGTGAGGTACAGAACAGCTGGATTGGTTCCAGGTTGGCATTTGCCTTATTGGAACAGTTTGAACACTCGGCAGTCTACGCATGGTTGACGTATGGCTGCTGGGATTGGTCAAGACTCGGCCACTATTACAGGCGCAGACTCCTGAATTAGGTTTTCAGTCCTGTCTGCTATTAAGGTAGGTTATAGTTCGTCCACAAGGACTCAAACATAGACGTCCTGGCATTCTTCTCAGGCCACATTTAGTTCGTGTTAGCACATGGCACTGTGTTTGTCCATTGATCTGTAGATGGACATGGTGCTGTTTTCACCTTTTGGCTGTTAGAATAATGTTACTCTGTACATGGGTGTACAAGCACCTGTTGAGTTCCAGCTTTCAGTTTGGGGGTTTATGCCCAGAAGTGGAAGGGCTGGATCATACGGTAATTAAATCTGGGTTTCATTTTCTGAGGAATTTCTACCCCGTCTTCCACAATGGCTGTACCGTTTTTCATTCCCAGCAACAGCACATGAGTGTGCTCATTCCTCCTCATCCTCTCCAGCACTTATTTCTCGTTTGTAAAAATATATGATAATCATCCTGATGGTTATGAAGCAGCACCTCGTGGTTTTGATTTGCATTTCCTTGCTGATTAGTGGTGCCGGACATCTTTTTGCGTGCGTGTTGACCTTTGTCTATCTTCTTAGGAGAATTTCCATTCCGGTCCCGTGCCTACTTTTGGGTTGTTTTGTTTATCACAGTTTTTATAAACCAGTTCTACATCAGATGAGCTGTGTGCCCCTGGTCTCTCCAAGTAGCTTAAATTCTCTGAGCCTGAGGCATCTCCTAGGAATGAAGACACCCTGTAAGCTCAACACCATTATTCATGCCTAAGACAACTACACCAATTCCCCAGCTTTTGAATGACCATAGGAATTATCAGCAGAACAGGACACTTTGGAAAGTGAATGAGGTGGGATTAATAATTATGCGGAAACAGCAGGTGTGAGCCAGAACCATCCCAGGCAAGCTCGTGGTCACTTTATGTGATATCAACTCCACTCCGTTCCTATCTAGATTTCCCCACTGTCCCCAGCACATCTTTCCAACCAGCAGCCAACAACGGTCGGGCTCTGCATTTGGTTGCGAGCCTGTGTTGTCTCATTTATCTCTGTCCACTGCTTCCCTAAAGGTGGTGACTCTGACGGGGCCAGGCCCCAGTCTTGCTCTTGTAGAACAGCTTCTCCCTCCATCACGTAACCTTTCCTCCTGCTGGCTGCATTTCCTGCCACCGGAAGTAAGGTCTTCAGGCGTCGGATTCAGAGGGCACGTGGGTGCAGGGTGAGTTCAGGGAAGGCGTCGATGGGGTGGCATGGAGCACCAGGGCAATCGCTTGTCTGAAGAGGTGAGTGCAGAGCCGTCGGTGGTAAACCTATGCAGAGATGCCCCAGCGCCCGCAAACGCTCTGCCTCCAGGTCCCCGGATGCCTCAGCAACTGCCAACGGCCTTTTCCCAAATCAGTGCCTTCATTCGGGTTGCAAAATAGTTGATCTTCTAATTTCACCATTCCTGCCACATTTATTACCAAGCATTCTGTGAAAAAGGCTTTTTTCTCATCAAGAGGAAATGAAACACACTTTCTCTTAAGCAAGGGGGAACTGCTGAAGTCAGTCCCTTTCCTCACCGATTTCCGAGTAGAGTTGACAATGATGTCAGAGTGGCTGCCGAAGGGAAACCAGATGCCCTCCCCTCCCGCTCCGTCTCAGCCTCTCTCTCCCCTCAGTCTTCTCCCCCCTCCCACTCCGTCTCAGCCTCTCTCTCCCCTCAGTCTTCTCCCCCACCCTGCCCGTCTCCCTCGCTCTCTGCCTCTCCTGTCCCTGCCCACCAGCTCTCTCTCTGGCTTACCTGTTTCCCCTGCCCCCAGCTCTCCGTCTCTCTCCCTAATCCCCCTTCCCACTTCGTGGACTCCCAGGTTCTTCTTTGGGCAGTGGGAGCCTCTCCGGGCTGGCTCCTGCATTTTCTCCACCTGCCCCATTGCCAAGGGCACTTTCTTGCTCTGAAGGCCCTGAAGCCCCAGGCTTACCGGAAACTTTCTGTGCCCCGGAGCTGGGATCAGCTGCTTCTCCAAGGAGCCCTGGGATGATATTTGTAAAGATAGATTGCAAAATTAGAATTAGTATTTTCAGAATCCCTTCCCCTCTTTTCCCACTCCCACCCAACCCAGTGTCACAGTGTCAGGCAGGTTCGGGAGATGAGGACGCCTAAGCCCAGCGCCACTTCTCTTCCCAACCCTGGACTAACAACTTGAGCTGAACCAGATGTGAACTGAAGCCCAAAACAACTGACATTGACTTGCAGTGTCTAATTCAACTTAACTGAAATGCAGTATCAATGTTGGCCTGAATCAAGCCATGGCAAGATGTGTGATAAGCCAGGGACTGTGGCTCCCCAACAACGCATCTTCCTTAAACCACTGAACCCCTGCAAGACTAGAGCTCTATCGTGGACGAACGAGGGGTGTTCTGCCTGGCTTCGGTGATTCGTATCTGCTGTCATTTGTAAACTGTTTATACACCGCCTTGGTGACAGGACCCCAGATCTATTTCTCAGTCACACTCAAGGAGCTCTCCTGGGATAACACACTCCAGGGCTCTCAGTCGGACCTTTCACCATGAATCGTTGAAGCCTCCTGCGGTGGCTGCAGCCCCTTGCTCTGGCTTTATCAGGTCAGGTCTCGGCTCTGCAGGCCTCGGAGCCCACAACAGAAGAGACCCTTTTATCAGCGTGTGCTGCGGGGTGGCTGCACCCTCTTCAGGGTCAGGGTGGCCTGAACTTGCGTCCTGCGCCTCATGTCCTCCTTCTCTCCTGCCCTATGGCACGGTGCCGGCTCTGGAATCTGAGCGCGTTGACACCGGTTCCTCCCTGGTCAGGCTGGCTGCTTCCCTTTCAGTGTCTGGGGCCGGCCTCGGGGGTACCTGCAGCCACCGGGGCGGCTGCTGCTGGGAGGTCAAGCCCATTTCGTCCTCACGTTAGGATGTGACAGTGCCCTGCCGAGGACGGTAACTGAGATGGAAAACGAGTTAAGGCGACAAGGGCTGCCCTTTCAGTGGGTGGCATCCGTGAGGCAGATGTCAGCCCCCAGGGCAGGAAAAAGGAAAGCCCGTTCTGCCTGCATCCTCTCCTGAGACCGTGTCACTAAAGTTGGAACGGGGAGACCCAGCGAGGACAGGGGCCACGGAGTCAGACCCCGGGGACAGAGTGCTGACTCGGCCTGGCGGAGGCCGGCGTCCTCATCGCCAGCACGGAACGGGACGCAGCTCCTGAGTGCAGAGAGGAACGCGGGCTCCACGCTGTGCCGGACACGCAAGCGCCCTCAGCTCTGCGCGCTCCCGGCATGGAGCGAGCGCTGAGACCGCAACCTTCCGGCCTTGTTCTTCTGAACCGGCACGAAAGCCGAGAGCAGGACACGCAGGTCGCGCTCAGCGCAGGGAGGCCGCCCTCGCCGGGCGCGGTCCGGGGTGCTCAGGCTCTGCAGCCCCAGGTGCCAGATGTCGCGGCTGCCGTCTTCTCCCTGACGCCAGCACACGCTTCCCCAGGCCCGGTCCTGTCACGTCTCCTCCCAACCTGGGGCCACTGCTCCTCCCAGCCCTGACAGCGATTCCTGGAAAGCTCTTGCTGGAGCCCAGCTGTCAGCTCACCTGCTCTGATACGCCGTCCGCCCTGTGCGGCTGCTCTGTCTCCACGTGGATGGATGGTGCCTGCGCTCATGGTCACACTGCTCAGCCAGGGGCCACAGGGCCTTGGAGCCCCGTCTTCCAGCTCCTGCCTCCTGGAGGCAGTGCTTCATGATCTGAGCCCACCTTCCTGCAGGAAGGGCTCACAGCAGCCGGCGCGGCCCCACCCCAATCCCCCTCCCCCGAGAGAGGTACGGTGCTGGACATCCAACAAAGGTGACAACAGGGCTCACCTCTCCCCTGTGGATCTTCCCCCCGGGGCCCAGGGGCTCTGAGCATTTCCACAATGCACAGGATACACCCACCCTGGAATTCTCTGTGCTTGACCTTGAGGACAGCATAGAATAAAAGCAAGCCCCGCTCTTAGCCGAGAAGCCAGTTTAACCACACTGTGAGCGTAAAAGCCCTTCTGCAAACTCTATTCTTGTTGTTTTCAGGGTGAAATGCAAAGAAATAGGTATGTGTTATTTTAGCTAAATATTTGTTTATTCTAAAGACAGCTGCACTGGCACAGATATGCCATCTCTTACTCTCCCTGGATGCTGGTAGATGCTGGTGGACAGGAGGAAAGCCTGGCCTCACAGTTTCCTGCCCCCCATGTCTAAATTCATCCAGGTAATAAAGTGCGTCTGTGTCTGTACAGGCAGTAACTCAGATCAGCCCTTCCACAGTGGCACACAGTTCCACAGAAAATCCTGTTATCAATAATAGCATTTGAATGAATTTGGGAAATCACCCTGCTGAGCTTAACATATTTGCACTAGTATGCAAATATCCCTGAACACACCCACTGGAACTAATCCACTTAAAAATATGCAAAGAGATTACAGGCAGGAAAATGTCCTGTGTATAGATTTATGGGAAATGACAGAACTGCTCTCTATTTTTGCCTTCAGAAAATTAGATTCCCAGTATTTTATATTAGAATCTACTATCATTATGCAATTGTTAAATTTCCTCTTTAATTTTCATCTCTGAAATGTGGTTTTCACCCAGTCATCAAAATACAAAATAACTTTTTCAATCACTTGCAAAGGAGCTTTCTTTCCAATGTTTTCAAAATGCAAAACACAGAAGCATGATTTGCTCTTCTGCATTTAAGATGCATTTTGGCAGTGGTGGTGCCAGGCCGGTGCCCACAGGACAGCCCCGTGTTCACACATAGTGCACGCTGGAGTGAAGAGTAGAACCAGCGGGCTCCTTCCTGGCTTCATACTTGGAATGAAAAATCTCTTTGTTCAGATATCTGCTCTACATTCTTTTTTTTTTTTTTTTTTTTTGCTTTTTCTTTCCTCTGGTGACCTCAGCCACAGGGAGCTGTGTGATTTGTGTCCAGTTTGGGACACGACTGTGTCATCAGCCTCACAGGTCCCCAGCACCTCCCCTACTGCGACCTGGAGTCAGCATCCTTGCCGTGGGCCTGATGTGTGGATTTGAGTCGTTTCCATTAAAGTACACAGGATGATTGTGTGGGTCCATCTTGGGCTGCTGTCACGATACCCGAGACTGGTTCATCCGTAAAGAAAAGAAATGTATTTCCCATAGTTCTGGGTGCTGGGAAGCCCACTGTGAAGGGGCTGACATTCTGGGGAGGGGACGCATTCAGGCCACAGCAGCCTTCAGGTGAGCAGTGTCGTGCCTTTTGCTTCCTCTCGCCTCTTCGCAGCCTGTTTCTAAGTTGCGCACACATTTTGCTGTCTGTGCACCTCACTGTGGATTCTAGCTGCTGTCTGACGTGCTGTCGTTTGCGTCAGCCACACTGTACGTTTCCATTGCTGTGGCAGAAACGAGTTGTCCTCATGTCCATTCCGCCCTCCTCCTTTCAGTAACTGATGCAGTGAGTTTTAACTTGCAGGCGCACACAGCCATGTAACTTCAGCCTTGGGGAGAGACCGTCCGGCAGCAATAGATCAAGACTGAAAGACTCAGAGTCCAGCTGGCCCCGTGGGCAGGGCCCCATCTCCCCTGAACCCATCAGCCCACAAATACAGCTCCCCTAATGATGACACTCCCTGATACCACAGAGAAATCCTGGGAACAGCCATAGGATGCCACCTTGGGAGGCTGTGGGGAGTGTTTCTGAGGCTCATCCAGGAGTGGGCTGGCTCAACTCCATCAGGGCTGCCAGACAGCTTCCCGGGTCACCTGTGACCCATTCGTTTGTGTTTTCCCCTCCTAGCAGACCCACTGTACTATCTTCTGCCTCTCCAGTGTTACTCACTGTTTCCTTGTCAAATTTCAAGTTCTTTTAAAATTTAAATTTCTTTTCAAATTTCAAGTCCTTTTTAAATTATCGTACATACAAATGTCTATCCTTGTATAGGTCCAGTGCCAAGGTAAAATTCACTCAAACTCCTGACCCTTGGGCAAGTCCAGTGTCAAGGTATAATTCATTCAAACTCATGCCAGTGCACCATGGCAAACTCTTTGCCTAATTCTGGATTTTATTATGACCACAGACTCAGCATCCACTTGGTAAGGTTCACGCGTCTTGTCGCCAGTGCCACCGTTGTAACAGTTGTGGTTCAGAGACAACCAGTGGCATGACAGGATTCACTTCCTGAGAGGTAGGATCCCTCCCCTTGTGATCCAGAAACTGTTACGATGACCCCACGTGTCTCTGAAAGCAGGGCGTGTAACCGCTGCCAAGGGCGCGCCAAGGGCCTGAGCATGACTCCCGCCACCTGCGTGGACAGGCTACCTCAATATGCTCAGCCTTGGCGTCCACACCTGAACACTGGGATGATGCTCACCCTCACGGGATTTTGAGAAGGATTAAATGAGGACCCTGTATGAATGTGGAGGGCTTGGTAGGCCCTCGGCACAGATTAACTGGCGTGAATTGCTTTGCCACATGACTTCTGGGATGAGCCTGTTTGCCAGCAAGACCAGGTGTGGGCAGCACACTTCTGCACCCCTAGGGCACCTGGTTCACTGGACGCTCACCAGAGGCACCAGCAGGGAATTTGCAGAGGTCACCTATCGCCTGTATTCTTGTTCACAGCAGACACCACCAGGCCCTCCTTTGCCGTCTTCTTCATGACAAGCAAGTGCAGGTGCAGGGGAGGCTGGGGCAAGCCGGGGCTCTGATGCACCTCCAAGTGGATGTGGCCCTCAGAGTGGGGCTGCGGCTTGTGTGGCTCCATCAGCGTCCAGCCTCGCGGAAGGGGCTCGGCCACGGGACCCAAGGACAGGCTGGAGCTGTCGGCATATAGTTCATCTGCCTGGCAACTTCCATCAGTTCCCCCCGATGCCAGTTTTCTTACTTGGGAATAAAATGCAGTTTCCAAAATGGATTTCTGTTCTGCATTTGATTAAACACCAGTTTAGGCAAATTTCCCAATTTTAGTCTTTGTGAGAGCTAAAGATTTTTCTAGGACTTAAATTGTTACTCTTGATAGGATCTTTTTTTTTTTAATCTATGGAGAATCACCCTGAATACATACGGCTGCTGCAGGCAGGGAAAAATATTCCTTTTTCTCCTTTTAATTAGAGCTTTTGAACTGCTCTAATCAGTTTTTCTCAAAGTCACTCTAGTTTGTGGCATTGGGAAGCCAGTTTGAGTAAGCATGGTCTTCTGGTTGAGTCTCATAATATTTAGTTCATGGAGACGTCATTAAGACCCTGCTGAGGAGCAAGTGAGTTTTGATAACTTTTGATGATAGCCGCCATCTTGCAAGGCCAATGCCAAACCTTCAGAGAAAGAATTATAACAGCTCCTGCTTTAATTAAACAATCCATGTTTCTCCACTGCATTTCATCCTGGAGTAACTGCGTGTTGGAGACAAACGAGAGCAGCCAGTGCCAAAAACATGCATCTCAGTGCATCTCACGGATGTACAGACACGGCACTCAACATGCAGAAATGCCTGATCATCCAGTTAGCGCCAAGTTCCATTTCAGAACAGAAGGAGCCAGATGTGAAGTGGACAGCAGGGCTAGAGCTGTGGTGAAAGGTACCAGGAGCTGGAAGTCCTAGAAATTCAGATTTCTGGGCTGGGCACCGTGGCTCACGCCTGTAATCCCAGCACTTTGGGAGGCTGAGGTGGGGGGACTGCTTCCAGGAGTTTGAGACCAGCCTGGGCAGCAAAGCAAAATTACAGAAATACAAATTCTGCCAACTCCCAAGCCTCCACGGTCGCCTCCCTGATACCACGGAGGCCTTCCTGACAGCATGGTCAGCCACACCCTGGAAGTGGGTCAGGGCTGGGGGAACAATGGGAGGATGATTGCAGGTCTGTTGTAGAATTCCTTCAGAAGAAAGATGAGGTTTGGGGGGGACAGTAAGGAAAACACGACTGTCTGCCATAAAGTTCAAGAGATTTACCTTTTCAAGCACAGTATCAGGCATGCGGTGTTTTCTAAATAATCAAAGTATCTTCTACATTAAAAATACCAAAATAAACCCTGCTTGTATCATTTCGGGGGAAAGTTAGATTGAAAGTTTTTTCAACGACAGGAAATCATTGCGGGGCAAAGTCCACAAGGCCCAGGCGCAGGCCTCATGTTTCTGGGGGGGACTGGGTCTCCTTGCAGGTGCGTCCCAAAGCAAGGAAAGCGCGTCTGCGGTCACAGCTCAACGCGGACTCCAGTGCCAGCCGAGGGAAAGGGGTCTTCCCTGCAGAGAGCCGCACCCACCTCCCCCTCAACCGGGGCCAGCGAAACTCAGGTTCACTGCTCTGTGTGGAATTTGCCTCTGAAATCCCCTCACCCTGACTCAGGCCTTTGATAAAAATTTCATTTTTCAGAAAGCAAAGAGGAGAGATTACAGCAGTGACCAGCCCGTGGGAGGAGAAGGATCTCATTCCTTCTGGTCCTGGGCCCCGTAGCTCCTGCCTCTGAGAGAACAGACAGTGTGTTCGGGTCCCAGCCTCCCGCAAGTGCTCAGCATCTGTTGGGCTTGCTGGGAAGTGGGTGCAGGGCTGAGCCCAAAACACACATGTAGGCGTTGCTGGTAAACCTTGTCCCACTCACCCCAGGTCCACTTAGGAGCCCCAAGACCTGCTGCAGGGAGAGAAGTGGTTGGATAGGTTGGTGACACGTCTGTCATAGAACGGGTCAGGCTGGATGTTTTCCTCCTAAGACCAACACTGGGGCAGGGAGGGAGAGACGCAGCTGCGCCCTGAACACCACTCACGCAGCTCCTGGAAGGCGCTGGGGTCCTGTTAACTTGCTACAGGTGATTCTCTACGTCTATAGCTTGAGGTTAGCCTTGTATCACATTACGTTCTCATTAGAAACAAAATGAAAATGAAATATTTAAACCATGTACCAGAACAGAATTAGGCCTGGAAAGCAGCAGTCTTAGCTGACAAATGGGTTGTGCTATTTGACTCTCACGGGTAAGTCTCCTCTTTCATAGTAAAATCTCACTAAAGAATCTTCCTTGACTTTGACAATTTTTCAGCGTCACAAGCAAGAAACCACCACCTGTGGGCCCCAGTGAGAGACTGAACTTACAAAGAGACGATGACCACAGCATATGGAAAGGAAGAAGGAGCCACCCTCTGCAGGAGCCCTGAAGCCCGAAGAGCAGGAGGCCAGGCACTCGCCTTAGGACGGGGCCAGGAGGCCAGGCGCTTGCCTTAGGATGGGGCCAGGAGGCCAGGCACTTGCCTTAGGACGGGGCCAGGAGGCCACACAGTGATCCCTGTAGCAGTGGCCCCATGCGGCCAAGACTTAAGATAGCAGACACCTTCCCCGATTTGTGTCTCTACTTAAAATGTAAGATCAGCTGGAGAAAGCCCAGTGTGCGCCCCCACCAAGCCCACAGGACTCCTGCTCCTGCAGAGCCGCCCCCGCCCCGTCAGGCCCACCGTGCTGGTGCTCAGGGGGCTGCATCCTGCTGGGAGCACGATTCCGGGTGTTTCTCCAGGCGCTGAGTCCGTGCCTCCTTTTTCGGTCACACATCTTATCATTTGAGTTTAGCATCTACTTATAAACATCATTTTCAAATCTGAATCCTGCTTCCTCACTACAATAAAAAGGAGAGACAAAAGGAAGTTGCGCCTACAACCTTCCAGAAGCCCTGAGGAGCCGCCCCATGCCTGACGCCACATCCCACAAGCTCCCGAAGTCGCGGATGGCTCAGTGACATTCCAGATGCTGTCCCATCGCTCAGAGTCCCGAGACACAGACATGAACACCAAGTCCATCCTTTGAGGAAGGCAGACTTGGCGGGAATGTGGTTTTCTTCAAAGGTGAGGGGGTAGGGGGAGCTGCCAGGGCCCAGCCGGCAGGGGCAGGAGGGGCGGGGCTTCGGCCCAGGGCCCTGCACGGGGGTGACCATCAGTGCCCCCCATCACCGTGACAGTCCTATCCCCAGTCTGCAAAATGCCCCCTGGATGGAGCATCCCATGAGAGCCGGGCCATGGAGAGGCTGGAATGTGCCAGACTCTGAGGCACCCAGGGGGTCAGCCTTTCCCTCTGGTTGGTCCCCCTGTGCCACACCGCAGCCTGCGCCTGGCCAGCTTCCCGTCCCTGCGAGCACAGCCTGCGCCTGGCCAGCTTCCCGTCCCTGCTGCGACCCCATTACTAGGTCATCGTCTCATGCCAGAGAACTCGCAGGAATCGCATGCAATGTTTAACGAGAGGCAGAATGTGGGCACCAGGTGTGAAGCAGTCCCCGGCTGTGGACGGGAGACTCCAGGCTGCGCCAGGCAGGGCGCCTTCCCCTGGACCTTGAAGGGCACCCGATGTCCTGGGGCCGTGAGGGGCGGGGTGCTTATCCATGTGACAGGACTCTTCCAGTAGCAACAGGGAGGGCCCAGCAAAACCCGCAGTTTGTTTCGGGCCACGTTCCAACAAGTGACTCGGCGGCGTCTCCCACCTGCACACTCAGTCAGGAGGCTGCAGTCTCCCGTCCAGCCCCACAGCCTGAGGGATTCCTGTTGGTTACCCAGAACTGCCTGCCACAGGTGCCAGGGCAAGAGATGTCACTCAATTTTCCAGCCCCCAGTCCTGTAGACATCCTGGGTGTGCGGCACACATCGGCTCACTCACACTGACCCTCTGAGCCGGTGAGAACTCCACAAGAAGAGGGCCAGCGCCTCACAAGATCAAGGCGGAACAACGCGTTTGTGGGATGATGAAGACCTCATAACAGACGTGCCAGTGGGTTGATTACTGTGAAATTCTCAACTGTGGTTTCTGTAACTTAAAAAAAAAAATTTCCACTTTGGGAGGCCGAGGCGGGCAGATCACGAGGTCAGAAGATCGAGACCATCCTGGCTAACACAGTGAAACCCCGTCTCTACTAAAAATACAAAAAATTAGCCGGGCGTGGTGGCTGGTGCCTGTAGTCCCAGCTATCTGGGAGGCTGAGGCAGGAGAATGGCGTGAACCCAGGAGGAGGAGCTTGCAGTGAGCCGAGATCGCACCACTGCACTCCAGCCTGGGCGACAGAGCGAGACTCTGTCTCAAAAAAAAAAAAAAAAAAAAAAAAAAGTCCAGACCATGATATTCTTTTTAGGGATGTTCTTTGCAGCAGTTCCCCTGCTAAAATGAATGAGAGCAAAGCAAATTGCAGTTAGCAGTGTGCATTCCCGACCTGTGGGCCCTGATGGACACCAGTGCCTCTGCCACCTGGGCCAGTCGCGTTAAGTGCTGGGATGGTGGGCCAGTGTCCAAGCAGAGCTTGTGAAGAATCTGCACACGCCCCTTTTTGCATGTGCTCACCCAAAGTGAAATCATCTCTGGGCCTTCCCTAAGATCTCCTTGAGTCAGGAACCTGCAAGGGCACAGGCCGCCTGGCAGGCCATTTTCATACATGGTCTCCCACTGTTCTGAGCAGGTGGCAGCTGCGAATCTATTCTTTAACAATTTAATAGATGCCTCCTCGGAAAAAGCTATTGACCTGAGACCAGTGGAGACTGGAGGACGAGATGGGGTCAGAAGAAAGGACTGCATACGGCCAGAGGCACCGTGGGGTTTTGGCCAGCACAGAGCCGGGGCGTTGATTCTGATGAGGTCTGGGCAGGAACCAAAGAGAGCTTCATAGACAAGGCGGCATCTGAGATGAGCCTGGAAAACGCAGACAGGAGAGGAATCGGCGGGGAGGGGGAGGGGTCCTCCGGGAGGAGCTCCGCTGCCAGCGTACCCAGGCGTGACGGCCGCTGCGTTCTCCACTGATTAGATCACGCTCAGACACACTACCTCCTCCCAGTACAATTAATCAAGAAATATTAAGCTATAATTTGAATAATCTGTGTGAAAAGGTCTTTCGATGTGGAATGAGAGACACCTTTGAGGAAATACATTACGATACAGGCTATTAACCTTTACCAAGCTAATTAAAGCCAGCCAGGGTTAAAGCTGTCAATGTAACTTTGCATAAATTTCCTCAAGATTTCTACTTAAGGGGACTTGGGGATTTCTTTTTCTCTTTTAATTTTTAATTTTGAAAATGAGGCCCTGTAAACACTGCTTATATTTGGCCACTAAGTGGCCTCCTAAATGGCTGATTTCTTTTTAAAGTATGAAGATTGTTTGCTGTGGCATTATTAATTACACACAGATTTGTACCACTTTCCTCCACTAGAATTAAGGAAATTTGTAAAACCAACTCGTGGTCAGACTCCAGCAAATGACCCATCGTTTTCCACCAGTGTCTCTGTTTCTATGTAAAATTATAGATTAAACGCCAAGTCCTCTGCCTCCACCTGTCCAGGGTAAGTAACCACCTCCAGAAGTGAGAAGCTGGGAGTGGCTCTGAGAGGGGCTGACTCAAGTATTCTCCTAATAAATAGGGGCGGGCGAAGCATCAGGGCGAATCCCACGTGAGGCAGAAAAGTGAGCTGAACTATCCTGGAGTGTTTTGTTGCATTCCATATCTCCCTCAAAACTCACTGACTCTGGAAGCAGTGGTTTTGAAGTCTTAATTGAAACAAAGTTGAGATTTTTAAGAAAATTAACAATTTCTAATATTTTCAATTGTCTGGTGTTTCCAGCTTTTATTGGCTCTTGTCGAAATCAAATTGGAAGATCTTCAGTCCCAGCTGCACCCAACGTGGAAAAGTATTCCAGGTCCATCCCCAAGGAACCAACACCGATGACATGGACTCAGGAATCTTATAACCTACGTGGACTCTTTCCATCCGTACATTGTCGTGCACATGCCACTCATCACCTGGCGTGCCCAGATCCTCGCAGGGCAACACCCTGTGATAATTCCAGGTGATTCTCTACATCTGCAGCTTGAGGTTAGCCTCATATCACATTACATTCTCACTAGAAACAAAACAAAAATGAAATACTTAAAACATCTACCAGAACAGAATTAGGACTGGAAAGCAGCGGTCTTAGCTGACAAACAAGTTGTGCCATCTGAGACTCATGGGAGTAAATCTCCTCTTTCATAGTAAAATCTCATTACAGAATGTTCCTTGACTTTGGCAATTTTTCTGGGTCACAAGCAAGAAAAAAACATAAGCAGGCGGAGAGAGCTCGCCCTGCCACCTGGGGCTTGTGTGTCAGCAGCTCCAGAGAGGAATTGGGATGTGAAAAGTTCAGCCAAAATAGAAAGAATTAACATTTTTGCTATAAAAAAGGAGCATCTGCTGCCTTTTCATGAGGACCTTCTCCATAGGGGTCCTTTGATTAGGCGGCATTCCACTCAGTTTCTCGGTTATCTCCCAGTTCTGCCACTGACTGCTTCCATGTCTCAGGCAAGTATTTCAGCCCCCTGAGTTTCTTCCTCTGTGAAGTGGGGATGACAGCTGTGTGGTACAAAATGAGCCACTCCCCATCAGGGCTTGGGACATGTCACGGGCACACACAGGGCATGTGTGCGGCAGCTTTTAGGGAGCATTATTCTTCTTTGTCTCTTGAGAATCTTACCTGGAAACACAAGCTCAGGAAATAAGAAACTTAATTAAGGCCAGGAGGCTAGTGAACAACAGAGCTGGTTCTGAAAAACCGGCTGCCTCTGAATCCAGGGTGCTTGGTGTGTCTGCTCACTGGATTCGTGGCTGCCTGTGAATCCAGGGTGCTCGGTCATGTGTGCTAACTGGATTGGTGGCTGCCTCTGAATCCAGGGTGCTTGGTTGTGTCTGCTAACTGGATTCGTGGCTGGCTGTGAATCCAGGGTGCTTGGTCGTGTCTGCTAACTGGATTGGTGGCTGCCTGTGAATCCAGGGTGCTTGGTCGTGTCTGCTAACTGGATTGGTGGCTGCCTCTGAATCCAGGGTGCTTGGTCGTGTCTGCTAACTGGGTTGGCGGCTGCTTCTGAATCCAGGGTTCTCGGTCGTGTCTGCTAACTGGATTGGTGGCTGATGACAGACCGGCTCTTTGATATTTTGTGGTTTGCCCAGAGTGACAGCCCAGAGGCTCAGAATTCTTAGTTCAAAGTGCTTTTCAAATCATCTCCTCATTTATTTCTCTATCACTTCTTCTAGGAAGATATTTCATCCTGATGGTATACATTGATATGTATACCTTGATATGCAGCCTGGGAAGAATAAGCAGCATGACCTGGGGTCACAGATGCTCTGCGATGGGATGAGTGGGAACACAGCTGACCCTGGGGTCACAAGGACCTCAGTGATGGGATGAGTGGGAACACAGCCTGCACTTCAGACCCAGATCCAAGTGTCTTTATCTGAGTAGAAAAAGCAGAATCCAAGACCCGGGCTTTGGGCATTTCCAGCTTCCCCAGATGGGGAAAAGCCAGTGCCAGGTGGCCACGCTGGGGACATTCATGACCTCAGCAGCATGGACCGTGGTCTTCAGTGAGGCCTGCTTGAGAGACGGCTTCCGTTGCAGTGTTGTGGGCAGGTGGGGCGGTGGTGACTGGTAGGGGGGCAGTTGTGAAATGTACCTGGAAAGATAGGCGTTTATGGGTTCAAAACTGTCTTGTCAGGAGGGAACCAAGTGTGGGTCAGAACAAGGCCACGGAGGCAGCGTCCACTGAGCAGCGATTGCGCACAAGGGCAGCGGGTGACTGCCGTGGCCTTGCTCTCGATGACGACAGGCCGGGGTCAAAATGAGTCTTCTGGGTCAATGCTGACGCAACGAAAGGGTGGAATGGCTTCAGGGATAACCACGTTCAGGTGGGTTAGACACACCTCCTGTGGGAGGAGTGATTGCAATTAGCTATCATAAGGCAGGAGACACAACAGCAACTTAAATTATCCACAAGCAGAATCATGAGCTGTTTGCAAAGGGAGTTTCCATCGCAAGACAGTTTCACTGTATTTAAGCGAGATCCTGCCCTCGTACACGATCACAGCTCAGTGGACGCCACCTCCGTGGCCTTGTTCTGACCCACACTCAGTTCCCTCCTGACAAGACAGTTTTGAACCCACGAACCTTCCCAGGTGCATTTCATCAACTGCCCTCCTTTCAGGCACGACCGGCCCACCTGCCCACCGCACTGTAACGGAAGCTGTATCTCAAGCAGGCCTCCTCTCCGAAGAACATGGCCCGTGCTGGCTGAGGGTCTGAACGTGCCCAAGCGTGGCTGTCTGGTGCTGAGCTTCCCATCGAGCCCCAGGAATGTTGGAACTAGCCCAAAGCCCTGTAAGCAAGGTCTTAGGACACTGGGAGGCTCTGAAATCACAGATGTAAGTAAAAGATAAGAAACGCCAAGGCAAGGGCCAGGCGCCCCACACGTGGTAGGAGCTTCTGCAGGATGCTGGGCCCTTCCTCAGCAGGTGCTTTGCCTGGGTTGTGCTCCCGCAGCCTGACTGCTGCCCCAGGTCACCGATGTAAATGACTCAGGACCTCCTAGAGAACAGGCTTCTGTGTAAAGTCATTATTTTGCTTCCTCACCAAATCCTGCCCCTGCAAAGCAGTCCACAGAACTTAGTGGCTTGTTAAAGGTGCATCTGTTGAATCAAAGTCCTCAGCAGAAAGCCTGGCCCCTGCATTTTGTTCGGCTGCCTGCAGTGGCCAGAGCAGGCTACATGTTGAGAGCAGGACCCTGGCTGCTGTGCTCTCGCACGGCTGGTGACTACAGCGGGGTCTGGACGTCAGGCAAGCACTGTTTGACTCCCGGCTGCTCCACTCCCCAACTGAGCAGCCGTGGCTTCTGTGGTAGGAACTGCCAGATGCCCCCCAGCTTTCCTCCTGCTCCCAGGCACACGGTGGGGCTGTGTTGCCCTACCCCACTAGGTTCTGTGGCCCTGTGAGGTCATCCTCACAGCTGAGCACCCCACACAGCTTCCCTGCCCTCTTCTTTTGAATTCAGCATCTGCAGTGGCCATGAGCAGAGCCAGACAGCAGGAGCTGGGCCCTGGACGACTCCACGGGAGAAACAGCCACAACAGGCATGTGGGGCTCTGATTGTAGGCGAGCCGGCTCTGCAGGGATACAGAAATCCACCCCAGGAGTGGCGAGCTGCCCTAGCAAAACCCCAAGCACGTGGTGAGGATGGAATGCTGGGCAGCATGAGAGGAGACACATGGGGCTAGAGGAACGTGTAGCCCAGGAGCCGCAGAATCAGGCACAGCTGTGGCTTTTACCCACTCAGGCCACTGAGGTCCCAGGGTGGCAGCTCTGGGAAGCAGCTAGGAATGCAGGATGCCGGGGACGAGGCTGTTGGTTGCAGAACCCCACCGGGTGTTTCACAGAATGAGTGTGGCCAGATCCAGCCTGTTTCCAGCAGGGCTGACACAACTACAGCCCCGATGGGCCCAGAGAAGCCACAGTGGCTGCAGAGAGAAGAGAGAAGCAGAAACGTGTCGTTAGCCTTCAGGCAACAGGAAGCAGCCCTGGTGTGGTCACTGCACAAGGAACAGGCTTGGTGAGCTGGTTTGGACGCCTTCGGTGCGTTTGCAATCTGGCTTAAAGTCCTGAACCAACCCTCCGACCCTGCAGAAAGTGGACTGTGCAGGCTGGGAAATGCTGAGAAGGAAGTCCTGAACCAACCCTCCGACCCTGCAGAAAGTGGGCTGTGCAGGCTGGGAAATGCTCAGAAGGTGACTCCCAACACGTGGCCTGGAAGTCATGGAGGATTCTGGACGGGAGGGCAGAGCCCAGAGCATCCCTCCTGGCCCCTCAGGGGAGCACGTCTGGGGCCTCATCAGGGAGCTGCCTGCCGAGGCCAGGTCTGCACCGTTCCTCCCCAGAGGTCACAGTGTCGGAGGCTGCACAGCCACTGCAGCAGCGACCCTTTATTTGGACTGCGCTTTTGTTGTAGGTGTCCTGTCTGCTGTTGTGCATTTGGTGGGACAGTGCTGAGGGTTTGGTGGACAGGGCTGAGGGTAAGTGGAGGGCTTGTGCTCAGTGCACAGGCCTCCGTCCGTGAGGAGACTCTGTTGGGCCCACGTGGGGCAGAACCCAGGCAGATGCCCCGATTCTGAGCTAAAGTCGGGAGAGGAAGGCACTCTGGGCCGTCTCCTTTGGGAACAGCTAAGAGTATTTTCTATGAGGGAGGAACGATGAAAAGGCATCCCGTGACCAGAAGGACAGTCTCTAGCAGAAACCATCAATGATTTCCACACATCCGAGGCCTTGGCTCCCTGGTTGTGGCTGCACCTAGTTCCCAGTTGACGTGCAACCCCACGTGGCCACGCAGCTGAGCTTCAGGGAGGCTGTGAACGCCCAGCTCGGCTCAGGGCCATGGAGGTGGTTGGGGCGCAGGGATTCAGCTCGGCCCAGGGCAGTGGAGGTGGCCGGGGCGCAGGGATTCAGCCGCCTTAGAGCGCGCCAGACATTAGCCCCAGGCTGAGTGTTTTCCACAGAGAATGCTATTAACAGGATCCCAGCTTTTGCCTCTCTGAGAGATGGCATGAAGGAGCCCACAGCCTCGTTGCACCAGGTGGCCCTGGCAAGGTGCAGCTTTGGGCTGTTTCTGCCGAGGCGGAGGCCTTCTCGCCCTGGTTGAACGGCTCGCAGGATGAGGAATCACCGCACCTGCCGCGTAAGAGCCGCTTGCAAGTTAAATGGGGTGAACCTTTGAAGGACCTGCTGCGTTTTGGATCCAGAGTTGGTTGAACACAAACTTTGGTGAGCCAACCGTCCCTGCTGTGGGGTGCAGCACGCATGTGGACCACAGACTCACGGACACACACACACACGCTGGGGGAGCGTCGGCCCCACTCGATGGTGACAAGTGTGCTCACACCCCGTTGCTAGAGCCTCCAGGGACCCTGCTTGGGAAGCCAGTCATGACAGGTGAGCGTGAGGGTGCAGGGACGGGTTGCTGGGAGTCCCTGGACACATCCCGCAGGGTCCTCTGGCAGGTCGGGGCCGGGCCGGCTGGCCACTACGTCCAGGTCGACCACAGCTGTGCCGCCTGCGGGCTGTGATCTGGGCTCCCAAGACCACCCATGTATGAGGGAGGACAGGTGGGGACTGGGTGGGGCGTTGGTGCAGGTGAACGCCCTAGACAGCCCCTCTCACAGCCAGCCTTAGCTGTCACTATTGTTAGTGGTGATGAGCCCTGCGGGGACTTTGGAGGGAAGCTCAGGCTGGTCCCAACGGCCCGGGCTTGGCGTTTATCCGTTATACCCGGATAAACCCGTGTGGGGGGCTCCATCACAGACTTAGACGCCTGTTTTCTCTATGGACCTGACGCAACTCAAGGGAAACTCATAAGCTCGGATGTGTATTTCCTGGCTCTTTCCTGAGGCTGAGGGGCCTGTCCTCGGGGGGTTTCCTGAACAGAGGTCACCATGAAATGGTCACAGGGAGAGGCAGATGCGGCCACGCCCACTCCTGGTGAGGTGCTTTTTTTTTTTAGCTGAGTGGCTCCGGCAACCCCTTGAGTCCACGTCCCTGAGTGTCCAAAGCCTGGGACACCCCCAGGTGCGGTCTGAAGCCACGGGTGGCCAGGCTGCAGGAGGGAACTCCGACGGCCACCGTGATCCCTTTCCCTCCTTCCTTCCCCAGAGGCACCAAGAGGGCAGCCACAGCCCCAGCTCCCAAGGTCCTTGCGGGACGCTGCCCTGTTACCTGATTCCTGGAAGGAGAGAGGCTATAGAGCTGCAAAACTCTTAAGAGACAAAAAAGAACCTTTCCCTGATTTTCTGATGCTTGACCTGGGCTGCTCAGCGGGGTTTGGAAGTGCAGAGGCTTCCGGTCGCCAAGGTCATCCCGCGTGGGACTCAGTGTCACAGCGGCCCCTCTCACACCCGGGACCAGCTGAGTGGGTGCCCACGGCAGCCCCCCACCCATCGTGGGGGCTGGTCCGGCTGCTCCGCCAGCTGTCCTTCTGCGCACACAGTGGGCACCTACTGCACGCATGGCACTGTGCTTAGAGCTGGAGTGAGCCGCAAGCAAACCTGCTGTTGAAGGTGCCCGCCCGACGGGGCCGCCCTGAGCATGGGTGTGCAGACGTATCCTCGAGACCCTGTTCAGTGTTTTGGGTGTACGCCCAGGAGACGAATTGCTGGATGCTGTGGCAATTCTATGTTTACTTGTTTGAGGAGCTTCCATGGTAGCTGCACCATTTCACATTCCCGCCAACAGTGCACGAGGGTTCCAAGCGCTCCACGACGCTCGCTCGTTGCCTTTGTGTTTTGTTTCTATAGCAGCCATCCCAACGGGTGAGGTGAGCACCGCTTCGTGGATTTATCAGCTACTTGTGTGTCTTCTTTGGATAAATGTTGATTCAAGTCCTTTGGCCATTTTTGAATCAGGGTTTTTTTTGTTTGTTTTTTTTTTTTTTTTTTGAGTTTTAGGAGTTCTCTATAGATTCTGGTTTTTAACCCCTTACTAGATGCATGATTTGTAAATATTTTCCCCATTGTGTGCTCTGCCGTTTTACTCTTAATGTCATTTGATGGACGAAATGTTTTTGTTTCCACGCAGTCCCGCTGTCTGCTTTTTCTGTTGTCGCCTGGGCCTTTGGTGTCACCTTCAAGAAGTCACTGCCAAATCCAACATCGTGGCAGTTTTCCCTGTGTTTCCTTATGAGAGGTTTAGGTCTCACATTTAGGTCTTTGATGTACTTTGCACTGATTTTTGTCAGCTGTAAAGTAGGGGCCAATTTCATTCCTTTGCGTGTGGATGTCCTGTTTCCCAGCACCATCGGTGGAAGCGGCTGTCTTTTCCCATTGAGGAGTCCTGCCATCCTGGCACCTGTGCCAAAGCCCATTCGACCTTGAGTTTGAGGGTTTATTTCTGGGTCCTCGCCTCTGTTCCCTTGGTCCATACACCACCTTTATATCAGGACGGTGATGCTTTCATTCCTGTGGCTTGGCAGTAAAATTTTGAATCAGGAAATGTGAGTCTCCAGCTTCGTTCTTTTTAGGATTGTTTTGGGTAATCAGGAACCCTTGAGATTCCATGTGAATTTAGGGTGGGTTTTTCTGTTTCTCTGAGAAATATCCTTGAGATTCTCCCAGGAAGATATATTGTTTTGAGGGCTTTAAAACTCCCTATAAATATTGCTGTACTTTGGGGGCCCTTTTCTTCCCACACTGTGTTTTTGAGATTTACCCATGCTGTTGTGAGTACCTCGCTGAATGCAGCACATACTGCATCATACAAGTGCATCCTGATCCATTTCCCCTGACGGACGTGTTCATTTTTTGTTATGGCAATGCTGCAATACACGTTTTTAGCTGTGCCTCTTTGTGCTTGAATGTGAGGGGTTTTCTAAGGTGTGAACCTCAGAACAGAGTCGCCAGGCCATAGGGTGTGCACAGCCTCCGTCTGTCCTGGGCGGCCCCACGCGGGCTCCACACTGGTTTCCGTCTGTCCTGGGCAGCACCACGGTGGCTCCACACTGGTTTCCACACTGGTTTCCGTCTGTCCTGGGCGGCCCCGCGCGGGCCCCACACTGGTTGTGCGTTTCTCAGGCCACCAGCAGCGTCCAAGAGCTCTGGCCGATCTGCCTCCCTCCCTGCGTCTCGGCATCTTTGTCTGGCACTGCTGATGGTTTTGCCTAAACGGCTCTTTGCTGTGGGGCATCCTGTGCACCGTGGGACGTCTTGTGCACTGTGGGGTGTTGAGCCGCATCCGTGGTCTCCACCCACAGATGACAACGACACCCCCAGCTATGAAACCAGAAATGACTCCACACATTGCCAAATGTCCCCCAGGGCAAAGTCACCCACTTGGGCGTTATGTTACCCACTGATGATCTGAATTTTTGTCCATTTCACCTGTCTGAGTTTGTGTGTCTCTGAGCACTGGTGGGACTGAGCGTGTCCGTGGCTTGTGGCCACTCCTGCTTCCTGTTTGTGAATTTTATGTTCATAACGTCTGCCCCTTTCTTTGGGTTTTTCACTTTATTCTTATTATTTTGTAAATTCCTTAAGTATTCTGGATACTTACCTTTTGTTATTCTATTCTAGTAGTCACTGTCCCCAAAACAATGTTCATAAATTTGTTCTTATAAAGATGAGAAATAAAAAACATTGAATTTTAGAGCTGCATACATTTTTTTAAAACATGGGCTTTAAGAACCTTTGGTCTATTTGATCTTTCACTTTCTTTTCATCTGAAATAAGAAAAGATCATTTTTAAACATTTCTTGCAGCCTTGGCATTCATTATTATTTTTTTTTTACTGCTAATTAGAAATTGTCAGCAAGACTGGATGAAAGCAACAATAGTTTTGAGAAAAACTATCTCAAAAGCAGATGTTATCAAGATAAACACGACACACAATAGAAAAATGAGACCCCGGGACAAATCACTACAACATCAAAATTCAAGACTGAGGAAAAGTCACAGCCTCCCTTATTCATTTATCCCACAAAGTTTTCCTCTCCTGAGCACAAAGGTTTCAGTGGGACTCGCAGCCCTGCCAGTCGGAGAGTAGAGCCTGTGTCCTGGGGAAGCAGAGACGCAGCTCGAGTCTATTCCGGCTGTGGTGCTTTGGGAGTTCTAAGCAGCATAGGATGTCTGACCCAGCCCTGGAAGGACAGGAAGCACCTTTGGGAAAAGAGGAGGGTTTGCGTTCCAGAGCGGAGAATGGGCTTTAAATCTTCCTCTAGAAACAAGTACAGCATTGACTGAGCAAAGGCCTGGGGCGGGGGTCGGGGGGCGGCACCTGCAAACCTTCACATCACCCCACCAGGTCATCCTAGAAAATTAGTCAGTGCCTGTAAACATGGCAGTTCTCGGGAAGCTGAGAACGTTCCAGAGACGATGGTGTGGACGGCTGCACCAGTGTGAAGCGCTCAGTGCCGCTGAACAGCACACTGAAAAAGGGCTCTGGTGGTAAATTTTATGTTGTGTATATTTTACCACGATGTAAACAAACAAACAAAAAACTCTCGGCATTGCCCCCACTCCCTGGCAGTGTCTATTGTGGGAGGAGAGACCGAAATTCTCAGGACACACCCAGGCCTCAAGACTTCTCGCCCAATCCGTCACCACTTCCTGGCGCAGACATCGGACTGTTAAGGCCCCTCCACTTCCCGCTCAGGTTACAGACCCCAGGGCACATCCCCCCATCCTCACCCGCCTGCATGACCAGGCTGCCCCCTGCCCCGCACACCTCTCTCTGAGTAGCCTCCTGTCTTCCCTCTGGCAGCTGAGTCAGCTTCACCACCTCACTGGGTCTGGAACAGCCAACTCCTGACACTTTCACACTCACAGAGGTGGAGCAGGGGCACGGGGGCTGGGCACCACCAGTGTGTGGGCAGCACCCAGGCATTAAACACAGCAGAGGATGGCGCAGGCACCCCTGTTCTCCTCCCAGAGCCAAGCTTCAGGCCATGTCCAGCGGGGGAGGCTGTGAGTCACCTCTGCCTCATGTGGGTGATCATAGGAGGGTGTGAGTCAGCTCTGTCCACATGGTTGCTCATGGGAGGGTATGAGTCAGCTCTGTCAATGTGGGTGGTGGGTGGTCACGGGAGGGTGTGAGTCAGCTCTGTCCACGTGGTTGCTCATAGGAGGTTGTGAGTCAGCTCTGTCCATGTGGGGTGCTCACAGGAGGGTGTGTGTCAGCTCTGTCTGTGTGGGTGGTCACGGGAGGGTGTGAGTCAGCTCTGTCTGTGGGTGGTCACAGGAGGGTGTGAGTCAGCTCTGTCTGAGTGGGTGGTCACGGGAGGGTGTGTGTCAGCTCTGTCTGTGTGGGTGGTCACGGGAGGGTGTGTGTCAGCTCTGTCCGTGTGGGTGCTCACGGGAGGGTGTGAGTCAGCTCTGTCTGTGTGGGTGGTCACAGGAGGGTGTGTGTCAGCTCTGTCCGTGTGGGTGCTCACGGGAGGGTGTGAGTCAGCTCTGTCTGTGTGGGTGGTCACAGGAGGGTGTGTGTCAGCTCTGTCTGTGTGGGTGCTCACGGGAGGGTGTGAGTCAGCTCTGTCTGTGTGGGTGGTCACAGAAGGGTGTGTGTCAGCTCTGTGTGGGTGCTCACGGGAGGGTGTGAGTCAGCTCTGTCTGTGTGGGTGGTCACAGGAGGGTGTGTGTCAGCTCTGTCTGTCTGGGTGCTCACGGGAGGGTGTGAGTCATCTCTGTCTGTGTGGGTGGTCACAGGAGGGTGTGAGTCAGCTCTGTCTGTGTGGGTGGTCACAGGAGGGTGTGAGTCAGCTCTGTCCATGTGGGTGCTCACGGGAGGTTGTGAGTCAGCTCTGTCTGTGTGGGTGGTCACAGGAGGGTGTGAGTCACCTCTGCCTGTGGGTGGTCACGGGAGGGTGTGAGTCAGCTCTGTCTGTGTGGGTGGTCACAGGAGGGTGTGAGTCAGCTCTGGGTGGTCACGGGAGGGTGTGAGTCAGCTCTGTCTGTGTGGGTGGTCACGGGAGGGTGTGAGTCAGCTCTGTCTGTGTGGGTGCTCACGGGAGGGTGTGAGTCAGCTCTGTCTGTGTGGGTGCTCACAGGAGGGTGTGAGTCAGCTCTGTCTGTGTGGGTGGTCACGGGAGGGTGTGAGTCAGCTTTGTCTGTGTGGGTGCTCACAGGAGGGTGTGAGTCAGTTCTGTGTGGGTGGTCACAGGAGGGTGTGAGTCAGCTCTGTGTGGGTGGTCACGGGAGGGTGTGAGTCAGCTCTGTCTGTGTGGGTGCTCACAGGAGGGTGTGAGTCAGCTCTGTCTGTGTGGGTGGTCACGGGAGGGTGTGTGTCAGCTTTGTCTGTGTGGGTGCTCACAGGAGGGTGTGAGTCAGCTCTGTCCGTGTGGGTGCTCACAGGAGGGTGTGAGTCAGCTCTGTGTGGGTTGTCACGGGAGGGTGTGAGTCAGCTCTGTCTGTGTGGGTGGTCACAGGAGGGTGTGAGTCAGCTCTGTCTCTGTGGGTGGTCACAGGCGGGTGTGAGTCAGCTCTGTCTCTGGGGTGGTCACAGGCGGGTGTGAGTCAGCTCTGTCTCTGTGGGTGGTCACCGGCGGGTGTGAGTCAGCTCTGTCCGTGTGGGTGCTCACAGGAGGGTGTGTGTCAGCTCTGTCTCTGTGGGTGGTCACAGTAGCGTGTGAGTCAGCTCTGTCTGTGTGGGTGGTCACGGGAGCGTGTGAGTCAGCTCTGTCTGTGTGGGTGCTCACAGGAGGGTGTGAGTCAGCTCTGTGTGTGTGGGTGGTCACAGGAGAGTGTGAGTCAGCTCTGTGTGTGTGGGTGGTCACAGGAGGGTGTGAGTCAGCTCTGTCTCTGTGGGTGGTCACGGGAGGGTGTGAGTCAGCTGTACGTCATGTAGTTGGTCATCTGTGTGTTCCACCTGCATCCTGGGGTAGCCTGTTGGCCATTTTTGTTGCCACTATAAAGCCCTGAGTGTGGCTAGGAAGGGGGTGCTGGGTGGGACCGTATGATCACGTGTGCTCAGTTTGGCATGTGTGATCGTCATGTGACTGGGCTCACAGAAAGGAGCTTGTCCCTAATGATTTCCAACCTTCGGACTGTGTCCTGACCTGGCCTGTAGTCCTGCTGTCTGGGTTTGCATGGCCCCGAGAGCCCTTCTGAACAAAGGATGCTGATGGATTCAAGCCAGCTTGGTGGGTGCCGGGCCCTCCCTCCCACCTCCTTTAGTCTTTATGTTGACCTTGAGCTGGGGTGGTCCTGGGACCCCGAGGTTCGTGAGCGGAAGGGCTTGCAGGAGGGCACACAGCAGGGGAGCTGGGAGAGGGGGCTTGTTTGCCTCAGCATTGGGGGAGCCGAGGAAACGTTCATGAAAGCTTCTGAAAGGGAAGCAGGAAGGATTTTCACCCCAGGGCTGCAGCTTCAGGGACTACGTGAGGGTATGGGTGGGGATGAGGGGAAGGCCCACAGGGTGTTATTCCCATCTCATCGTCCTCCTCTGGCTTTGCTTTGTGTTGCGAACCCGCATCCTGAGGCTGACTTCAGAATGTTAAGAAAGGCAGCCCTGAGCCTTTGATCACCCCAGGAGTTCCAGAAGGCACCAGGGAGTCCTCTCGGGTCCCATGCCCCTCCCAGCCCCTTGGGGTCACCCTGATCGGCCTGGCCAAGGTCGCCAGCTGCCTGGGGACTGGGGAGCAGCCACATGCCCTCTGCAGGGGAGTAGTTGCCAGGAAGGTGCAGGCGGAGGCCCTGCTCTCCATCACAGCGGTCCTGTTTATGAGATCGTCACTCTCAAGAGGCCAAAAGTTATGACCAAACTTCAAGAGAAACTCCCAGTAAAGTAGTATTTCCACAGCAGACAGTTGGGATGCAGGTCCACCCACAGCCAGCTCTGAGCTGACACAGGGGCCCTGGCCAGGGTTCCACCCTGCTCTGCCTGCCTGGGGCCCTGGCTAGCCTGCAGATAACATCAAGTAGTTTCGTAATTTCCACACACAGCACTTCCAGAGCCTCATAATCAACCATCTATAAAGTCTCAAGAAGCCATGTTGCTTCCTCATGGCACCTGCTTTCCTTCCTCTGTGGTCTCGGGCAGGGTCAGAGAGAGGGCCATTTAGTTGAGAATGGAAGGGAGGGGCCGCTGGCTTCTCACTCCTCAGGAAGGCGCCCCTGCTGCTGCCCCTTGAGCTGGGAGTGTCCGGCACTGTGGTCTCAGCACGTTCCAGGCCCCCCCGGCCCCTGTGTTCTCTGCTGGGCCTCCCCTTCCCGAGGGGACTAGGGGAGGCAGCTGGGATCTGCCCAGAGCTTGGTCCTCACCCTCCTGTTCCTGGGCTCCCCAGCCTGTCAGACCCTTGCTGGCTCTTTGCTATGACCACACAGTTGGATGGAGGCTTCTCCAAGGAAAAGGCAGAGACCAGGGGCCAGCAACTCCCCTGCGGCTGAACATGGAACTCTCAGGCCAAGAGGAGCCCTGGGGTGAGCAACAGCCCTGTGGCCTTGCTTTCGGGTTCAGGTGGTGCAGGGAGGCACCCCGGACCTCCGTGAAGGCCAGTGAAATGGACAGGACAAGGTGCTTGGCCTGCGGCTGGAGAGCCATCTTCTTACCCCCTGGCCACATGGTTCTGGGAAGGCACTGACGCTTTGTAAAACTTGCCTGGTGTGGAAAATGATGGCGGTCATATGTAGTACCTTAGAAGGCTGTGCTGGGAGTTAACGATATAACATAGCGCAAATGCCTGACCCCTGGGAGAGGGGCAGTGAGAGTTTGTTGAAGTTGGCATGTGAAGTCGAGGCTCTCAGTGAGGTGCAGACTTTTCCTGTCCAGGAATGGGAGACAAGGAGCTGTCATTCACTCAAGCCCTTCGTCTGCCAGCCCCTGGCCTGTTATACACCCCTTTTCAATCCTGTAAGGTAAGTGTTCTTATCTCCAACTTCCAGGTGGGAAGTCTGAAGCTCAGAGAGCCTGGGCCAATGGTACAGGTCACACAGCACATCAGTGGCTACATGTGAGCTCAGACCTGGGTCTGCTGCTGTCTGTCTTCCCAATATCCATGACCTTGACTGATGCAGGTGTCTAGGGATACGTCCATCCCCGTCCTGCTGGAGCCCAGAGCACGGAAGCCTGGCCCTCCGAGGAGACAGAAGGGAGTGTCGGACACCATGACGAGAGCTTGGTGAGTACCAGGCCAAGCTGTGCTTTCCTCCTCCACGGCACAGCTCGGGTTGGGGTTCCAGAGGGTCCCAGCTGGCCCTGGAAGGTACCTTACTCTAGGCAAGAATGAACAGGTTCCAACCGCCAGCATTTCCTTAGCTCTCCCTGGACAGCCTCCGAGATTAAGAGACCAAAAACTCCATGATGTGATATAAATCAGCAAATATAAAAAACAAAATCTTCACTCTGCAACTGAGAGACAGGACAGGAGTCCAGGGGCTCAGGATGAGGATGGCATCGCGATGAGAGACAGACGCCAGCTGGAACACCCTCTAGGCAGGCCACCCTCTGGGCAGGCCGTCAGCCACAGTTCCATGTTTAGGAGGACCTTGACAAGGTCATTCATAATAAAATTATTCCCCGGCAGAGCATCACTTCTCGGAGGGAACTGTGTCTCTGAACTGTGTTCAGTTTTTGTCCCGGGGAGCTCTGTCTGGTGCTCACCTTTGTACCTGCAGCAGGTGCACTGGGCACCATGTTATTAGTGTCTCAGAGCTGAGTTCATGTGCATTTCTTCACCTAAGAACCCACTCACAATGACCCCACCCCAGCTCCTGCAGACCCGGCAGAGGCTAGGACGTGGCTCAGGAGACAAGTAGGGTCTTTAGAGAAGCCCCCCGGTCACTCCCTTTCAAGCCATAAGTTCCCAGGTCCTCAATAGTTGGCTCTGAGTAGAATTGTCAGAGAATGGGATTTTCTTAACCATCACAATTTCCAAGTAGACTCAGGCCTAACTCCCAGCAATTTGTATGTCAGACTCTACAGACAATTCTGTGCTGTCTATTTTTGCTCATCTTTAAAACAGCCACGAAATATGCAGCTTCCTTTCCCTGAGAAAATGGCAAAGAAAATTCAACACAGAAGGCCAGGGAGGGTGTGTGGAAACGATTCACATGTTCAAAAGATTTATATGTGTAGAAGAAAGCTGTGAAGTGTGAAGTATATTTTCTATTGTAGAATGGATGAAAATGGAATAAAAATAATATCCTTTGCTAGGCAGAATAAATAACTTCTTTAAACAATTTTACGGCATGAAGAAATCTGGACCAGTTTATTAAATGGGATTTCTGCCACAAACCTTGGAAGAATCACATCATCTTAGCCCAAGGTGAAAACTGTGTTGCGTAACAAAGAACATGACTGCGCTCCACACATACATCATTGCCCGGCGAGGCGGGACACAAGTCAACGACGGAACACTTGAGACAGGCCTACAACTGTGCACGGTTCAGAAGCAGGTTTAAGCCATACTTGCTGCAGTGAGACTACATTTCTGTCTAAAGAAGATGTGTGAGTTCCGTCCTTTGTTATTATTTTTAATGTCTTAAGATATAATTTGCTTACCGTAAAATTCACTTATTTAAAGTGTGTAATTCAACAGCTTTTAGTATATTCAGAGTTGTACAATCCTCACTACGATGAATGTGAGAACACTTGTATTACCCCCAAGACACCCCGTGCTCTTTAGACCTCACCATGCACCCAGACCCCGTACCCTCAGCCCCAGCAACCCCTAATCTTCTTCCTGTCTCTGTAGATTTGTCCACTTCTGTGGACGTGTCCTGTAGACAGGCACGACACTACCTGGCCTCCTTTGTCCGGCTTCTTTAACTCAGCGTCGTGGTTTCAGGGTTTATTCCTGCTGCAGCATAAACCACTGCTTTCCTTTTTGTGGCTACTATTCCATTGTTTGAGTAGATCATGCTTTATTTATCTATTCATCGGATAGGAAGCATTTGGGTTGTTTCTGCTTTTGGGTGATTGTGAATGACTCTGATATGGTTCGGATTCGTGTCCCCACCCAAATCTCATGTAGAATTGTAATCTCCGATGTTGGAGGAGGGAGCTGGTGGGAGTGATTGGATCATGGGCGTGGAATCCACCTCGCTGTTCTTGTGGCAGTGAGTTCTCAGGAAGCCTGAGTGTTTAAAAGTGTGTAGGCCGGGTGCAGTGGCTCACGCCTGTAATCCCAGGACTTTGGGTGGCCGAGGCAAGCGGATCACGAGGTCAGGAGATCAAGACCATCCTGGCTAACACGGTGAAACCCCGTCTCTACTAAAAATACAAAAAATTAGCCAGGCATGGTGGCGGGCACCTGTAGTCCCAGCTACTCTGGAGGCTGAGGCAGGAGAATGGCGTGAACCCGGGAGGCAGAGCTTGCAGTGAGCCGAGATCGTGCCACTGCAGTCCGGCCTGGGTGACAGAGCGAGACTGTCTCAAACAAAATAAAAATAAAAATAAAAATAAAAAATATAAAAAAAAAAGTGTGTAGCGCCTCCCCCTTTACTCTCTTCCTCCTGCTCCAGCCATGCAAGACGTGCCTGCTTCCCCTTTACCTTCTGCCAGGATTGTGACTTTCCTGAGACCTCCCCAGCCATGCTTCCTGTACAGCCTGCAGAACTGTGAGCCAATTGAACATCTTTTCTTTAGAAATTACCCAGTCTTAGGTAGTTCTTTATAGCAGTTCAAGAAAGGACTGATACAGACTGTGCTGTGAGCAATCACGTACAAGCTTTGGCGTGAATGTGTTTTTGTTTCTCTTGGGTCTGTGCCTAGGAGTAGAACTGCAGGTTCGTGTGGTGACTCTGTGTTCACCTTTTTGGGAAATTGCTGGACTGTGTTCCACATGGTTGCACCATCTCACATCCTTATCAGGAAAGTATGCATTTCCTTGGTTCCTCATCTCAGTGGTTCCGATATCTTCACATCCTCTCCAATCTTTACATCATCTATCTTTCTCATCTAGCCATCCTCACAGGTTTGAGCTGATGTCTCATTGTGGTTTCGATTTGCATTTTCTTGGTGGATAATGAAGTTGAACATCTTTGCGTGCGCTCATTGGCCATTTGCATGACTTCTTTAAAACCATGTCTATTCAAATCCTTCACTAATCTGCAGTTGGGTTTTTTATTATTGAGTTGTAAAAGTTATTTATTTATTTTGGATATTAGTCCCTCGTTAGATTAGATATATGATTTGCAAATATTTTCTCCCATTCTGTATGTTGTCTTCTTTATTAGTGGTATCATTTGCAACAAAAAAGTTTTAATTTTAATGTAGCCAATTTATCTACTTTTTTCTTCCATTACTAGTGCTTTTGGTTCATATCTAAGAGACCATGGTCTGATCCAAGGTCATGAAGACTTATACCTGTGTTTTCTTCAGACAGTTTTATAGTTTCAGTTATGACACTAAGGTCTGTGGTCCATTTTGAGTTAGTCTTTGTGTTAGTGTAGTGCAAGAAAGGGGTTCAACTTCATGTTTTTGCATGAAGTCCACTTGTTCCAGCATCATTTATTTAAATGACTGTTCTTCATGCACACAAAATGGTAATTCTGTGAGGTGATAGATGTGCTGATTAGCTTTATTGTGGTAATTATTTCACAATCTACACATATATGAAAACATCCTATTGTATAACCTAAATATATACAATTTTTATCATTGATACCTCAATAAACCTGGAAAAAACAAAAATTTTTAAATTAAAAAATAGAAGACTATTCTTTCCCTTTTGAGTTGTTATAGTATTCTTGTTGAAAATCAATTGACCATAAACATAAGCATCAGGCTGAGGAGGTTTCCTTCGATTTCTAGTTTGTTGAGCATCCTTTTATTATGAAAGGGTGTTGAGTTTCCTCAAATTTCTTTCCTGCGTCTATTGGGAAGCCACATGGTTTTTGTACTTTATTCATATGGTGTCTATTACATTGATTGTTGCCAAACCACCCTTGAATTCCTAGGATAAATTCCATTTACTCATGGTGTGTAATTCCATTTATGCATTGTTTTAAGTTGTTTGCTAGTGTTTGTGTCTATATTCATAAGGAATATTAGTCTGTAGTTTTCTTTTGATATCTTTGCCTGTTTTATCTCTCGTCATACTGTTCTATAAAATGAGTTGGGAAGTGTTAAACCCTCTTCTGTTTTTTTGGTAGGATTGGTATTGACAGTATTGGTATTGATTAGTATTGATGTTTTATTTATTTATTTATTTATTTATTTATTGAGAGCGGATCTCCTCTGTTGCCCAGGTTGGAGTACAGTGGTACAATCATGGCTCACTGCAGCCTTGAATTCCTGGGCTCAAGCAATCCTTCCACCTCAGCATCCTGAGCTGCTGGGACCACAGGTGTGCACCACTACACCTGGCTATTTTTTAAAAAAATTTTTTTATAGAGACACGGTCTCACTATGTTGCCAAGGCTGGTCTGAAACTCCTGGGCTCAAGTGATCCTCCCACCTCAGCCTCCCAAAGTTCTGGGATTACAGGTGTGAGCCACTGTGCCCTGCCTTTTTAAATGTCTGATAGAATTTGCTAGTGAAGCTGTCTGGCTTGGGTTTTCAAGGGTAGTCTGTTTGGACTGTGATATCAAAATACCTCAGACTGGGTGCTTTATAAACAGCAGAATTTATTGGTCACAGTTCTGGAGGCTGGACAGTCCAAGATCACGTCACCACCAGATTTAGTATCTAGAAAAGCTTCGTTCTCTGCTTCATAGATATGGTGTCTTCTCACTGCATCCTCAACGTAGCAGAAGGGAAGGCAGTTCTTGGGGGCCTCTTTTATAAAAGCATTAATCCTATTCATTTTCACAGGGCCCTCATGACCTAGTCACTCTCCAAAGGCCCCACCTCCTAATAACATCACCTTTTGCTGATTGAGTTTCAACATATAAATGGGGGGTGGATACAAACATTCAGACCATAGCAAGGAATTTATTTATTTATTTTTATTTTTCTGAGACAGAATCTTGCTCTGTCACCCAGGATGGAGTACAGTGGCACAATCTTAGGCCACTGTAATCTCAAACTCCTGGGATCAAATAGTCCTCCTGCCACAGTCTCCCAAGTAGCTAAGACTACAGGTGCACATGCCACCACGCTTGGTTAATTTTTTTCATTTTTATTTTCTGTAGAGGTGTTGTCACTGTGTTGTCCAGGCTGGTCTCAAACTACTGGCCTCAAGGGATCGTCATGCCTTGGCCTCCCAACGTGCTGGGATTACAGGCATGAGCCACCACACTCAGCCACAAGGAAGTTTTAACATTATTTAATCTCTAATTGTTTTAGATATATTTCCTTTTGAGTTGGTTTGGGTAGTTTATGTTTTTCTAGGAATTGTATTTAACTTTGTTGGCTCATAATTGTTGATATTATTCACTTATAATCCTTTTTTACTTTTATAAGGTCATTATTTTATAAGATGTCCTCCCTTCCATTTCTAACTTTGGTAATTTAGTCCCTCTCTTTCTTTCGTAGTCTTTCTAAAGGATTGTCGTTTTGTCAGTCTTTTCAAAGAACTAACCATTGGTCTTGTTGATTTCTCTATTGTTTTTCTATTCTCTGTGTCAGTTATTTCTGCTCTAATCTTGATTATTTCCTTTCTTCTGCTGGTTTTTAGTTTGCTCTTCTCTATCTCCTTTCTCTTTTTAATTATTTAATTATTTTAATTATTTAAAAAATTTTTATTAACATATAGTTGACAAAAATTACATATATTTACTGTGTGATGTTTGATACATGTATACCTTGTTAAATGGTTATATCAAGCTAATTAACATATCCATCACATCACACACTTATCTTTTGTTGTGAGAAATTTTTCTAGTGTCTTAAGGTAGAAAGGTTATTGATTTGAGAGTGTCTTTTTTAATATAAGCATGTATAGCTATAACTTTTCCTCTGGGCACTGCTTTAGCTGCAGTCTATAAATATTGGCATGATGTGCTTTTATTTTCATCCTTCTCAAGTTTTTTTCTAATTTCCCTTGTAATTTCTTCTTTCATCCATTAGTTATTTAGGAGTGTATTGTTTAATTTTCACATATTTGTGAATTTCCCAAGTTTCTTCCTATTACTGATTTTTAATTTAAGTCTATTGTGCTCAGACAATATACTTTATGATTTCAATCCTATTTAAAGGTATTCGAGTTTATTTTATGGTGTATGCACCATATTGTCAGTCGTGGAGAACGTTTTATGTGTACTTGAGAATATGTATTCTGCTGTTTTTGGTGAAGTGTTCTGTAGATGCTGGTTAAATCTAAGTTTATTTAAGTTTTTATTTCTGTGTGGATCTTCTGCCTATTCATTCTATA
Organism: Homo sapiens; assembly: GCF_000001405.40. Taxonomy (NCBI): domain Eukaryota; kingdom Metazoa; phylum Chordata; class Mammalia; order Primates; family Hominidae; genus Homo; species Homo sapiens. The sequence continues at coordinate 620,864 of NC_000008.11, read as the reverse complement.
AATAATTAAAAGTGGGGTATTGAAGTCTGTAAAAACCATTGTTAAATTGTCTACTTCTCCCTTCAATTTCACCAGTTTGCTTTATATATTTTGGGGTGCCACTGTTAGGTGCATATGGGTTTATAATTGTTATGTTAACATTTATCATTACAAAGTGTTTGTCTTTAGTAACATTTTCTGTTTTAAAGTCTGTTTTTTCTGATGTTAGTATAGCCTATCCAGCTCTGTCATGGTTGCTGTTTGCATGACGTATGTTTTTCTGTTCTTTAACTTTCAACTCATTTGTATTTTTAAAAGCTGCACTGGATTTTCTACAGAATATGAATACTTTTTCTATAGGAGGTCAGTGTACATTGCAGATACTATACAGACACACACAGAGACACACACTTGATAAGCAGGTTTCTGGTTTCCCTTTATTCAGTCTGATGATCTCTGCCTTTTGATTGACTTGTTCAATTGATTCACATTTAAATATTATTTTTATTGATTATTAGGTTTATATCTAACATTATGCTTTTTGTTTTCTTTTTTATTGATTTATTTATTTTTTGAGACAGAGTCTCACTCTGTTGCCCAGGCTGGAGTGCAGTGGCACAATCTCGGCTCACTACAACCTCCGCCTCCTGGATTCAAGTGATTCTCCTGCCTCAGCCTCCTGAGTAGCTGGGATTACAGGTGTGCGCCACCACGCCTGGCTAATTTTTGTATTTTTAGTAGAGACGAGGTTTCACCATGTTGATCAGGCTGGTTTCGAACTCCTGACCTCGTGATCCACCCACCTTGGCCTCCCAAAGTGCTGGGATTACAGGTGTGAGCCACCACGCCTGGCCCACTTTTTGTTTTGTATATGTCCTTATTATTCCTCCATTTTCTTTTATTGCTTTTTCATATTAAGTGGCTATTTTATAATGTAATATTTTTTATTCCTTAAATGACATTTTTACTGTATTGTTTATTTTCTTAGTGGTTGCTCTGGAGCTTACAATGTACATCTTAACATCAAATTTTATTTTAGATTTATACTAGCCTAATACCAGTGAAATACAGAAACATACTCCTGTGGAATGAGTTCAATTCCATAGACTTCATACAACATAGTTTCATTCCATAGACTTCTTTTTTGTGCTGTTGTTTAATATATTGTCCCTGTATATGTTACAAACCCAACAATATATTGTTATAATTACTACTGTATATAATCTTAAGTCTTTTAAGGAAGTTGAGAGAAGAAAGGAGAGCAAGTATATGTTTATAAAGTTTGTTATATTAATCTCCTTATTTACCATTTCTGATTCTCTTTTCTTCCCCCGGTGGATACTGGTTACTATCTGATGTCATTGCTTTCTCTCCAGTACAGCTTTGTTCCACCTGGCTTCTTTGTGCTGCTATTTTCAAATGTATTACGTTTCTATATGTTATAATACAAATAATGTAATTATATACATATTCTTTTATGTAAGCATTTTAAAAATAAGTTGAGAAGAAAGAAGAAATATGTTATACTGTCTTTTACAATTATCTACAGAATCCCCTTGTGTGAGATAGGTCTCACCGGGCCCCCCTCGTGCGCGGTGGGTCTCACCGGGGCCTCCTTGTGCGCGATGGGTCACGTGCCCTTTCTGTTCTCAAGGCTTTCTCTTTATTTGGCTTTCAACATTTTAACACGGGGCTGGGAGGTGGGCAACACAGGTGGCCAGAGCCCCAGACTGGGCACTGGGGGAGTAGGGCCCCCATTTTCTTTTCCACATCTGTAGAGAGCAGAGCTTCCATTTTCTCGATGGGCTTGGAGGGAGGGCTGAGGCTGAAATGCCACAGACTCTCACTGTTGTTACTAAGATTTACTGGATTTTCCTGAATAAATAGTTTTTCATTCTGCGTATGCCCTTAGGATAATTTCAGAGACTTTAAATGATGTTTAAAACCATTTTCTCCGGTTAAATGATTGTCTTCTGGGAGGAGTCCACCACTCCCAAGACGGCAGCTGTGTCCTCTACCTTTGAAATTTCCACCACTGATCTCCAACTCGGTCAGGCGTTTGGGGGACCTTGTCTCAAGTGGCGCTCTCAGTCTGCGTACTCTTGCATTAAGATTACACATAGCAGGGTAGTCCACGACACCAGGTTTAAGCACAATTTTAATAGTTAGTATCCATTGCGTGCTGTTCCAAGCGTGCTGTGTGTGATAACGCAGTTAGTCTCAACCACAGCCTGGAAAGAGGTTTCAGTCACACCCATTTCACAGCTGAGGCCTGAAGGATTTGGTAATGTTGCCCAAGGTCTCTGAAAGACAGTGGGGTGGGAGGGGGAGGCTCTGTCAGTCACTCACTCAGTTAGCATGTACCCACTGAGCTTATGCCATGCACTGCTCCGGGCAGTGAGGACAAACCAAGCACCAAGCACTTACAGGGCAGTGAGGACAGACCAAGCACCGAGTACTGAGCACTCAGAGGGCAGTGATGGTGGACCAAGCACCAAGCACTCAGAGGGCAGTGAGGACAGACCAAGTACGAGCACTCAAAAGGCACTGAGGACAGATGGAACACAGAGTACTGAGCACTCAGAGGGTGGTGAGGATGGACCAAACACCAAGCACTCAGAGGGTAGTGAGGATGGACCAAGTACCGAGCACTCAGAGGGCAGTGAGATGGACCAAGTACCTAGCACTCAGAGGGCAGTGAGAACAGATGGAGTACTCAGTACTGAGCACTCAGAGGGCAGTGAGGACAGATGGAACACTGAGTAGTGAGCACGCATAGGGCAGTGAGGATGGACTGAGCACCAATCACTCAGAGGACAGTGAGGACAGACTGAGCATTGAGCACTCATATGGCAGTGAGGATGGACCAAGCACCAAGTACTGACCACTTAGAGGGCAGTGAGGATAGACTGAGCACCCAGCACTCAGAGGGCAGTGAGAATGGACCAAGTACCGAGCACTCAGAGGGCAGTGAGATGGACCAAGTACCGAGCACTCAGAGGGCAGTGAGAACAGATGGAGCACTCAGTACTGAGCACTCAGAGGGCAGTGAGGACAGATGGAACACTGAGTAGTGAACACTCATAGGGCAGTGAGGATGGACTGAGCACCAATCACGCAGAGGACAGTGAGGACAGACTGAGCACTGAGCACTCATAGGGCAGTAAGGATGGACCAAGCACCAAGTACTGACCACTTAGAGGGCAGTGAGGATAGACCGAGCACCCAGCACTCAGCAGTGAGGATGGACCAAGTACCATGCACTCAGAGGGCAGTGAGAACAGATGGAGCACCAAGCACTCAGAGGGCAGTGAGAAAAGACTGAGTACCAAGTACTGAGCACTCAGAGGGCAGTGAGGATGGACCAAGCACCAAGCCCTCAGCATTCAGAGGGAAGTGAGGATAGACCGAGCACCAAGCACTCAGCACTCCCCAGTGGGGTCAGATGAGGACCAAATGGATAAACACGCAGGTAGTAGATGACAGGGAGTGATCAGTGCTGAGAACGGTGAGGCAGGCATGGAGCCATGAGCAAAGGGGATACTCTGGACATGGTGGGGGAAGCCCTCTGAGGAGGCATCCTCTGAGCTGCCCTGAACCACCAGGAACATTCTGACTTAGAACACGCTCCCAGCAATCGGAGTACTTCCCACTTTTTACGGAAGCCCTTCATGAAGGCGTCAGTGCCTCTTGGAATCGTGTGGTCCCCACCGCCTGTGCCCTGAGTGGACTCCTGCCTTCTTTCTTTCTCAGTTTCCTAGCCAGCTAAACTGGAATAATATGCACTGTCATACAGTCATGGGTGGGCTGGGACAAAGAGTCAAAGTGGGAACCGGAATTATTTCGTTGGTCCTGAATCGTTTTTCTTCCTTCTGGATATTTGCTCGCTTATATAACCAATGTCTCTCTCTCTCTCTCTCTGTGTGTCTCTGTCTCCCTCTCCCTCTCTCTCTCTGTCTCTTTCTGTCTCTCTCTCTCTCTCTGTGTGTGTGTGTGTCTCTGTCTCCCTCTCCCTCTCTCTCTCTGTCTCTTTCTGTCTCCCTCTCTCTTTCTCTCTCTCTCCCCCCGTCTCTTCCTCCCCCCTCTCTTCCCCATCTCTCTCCCTCTCCCTCTCTCTGTCTTCCTCTCCCTTTGTCCCTCTCTCTCCCGCTTCCCTATCTCTCTGAGTGTCTCTATCTCTCTCCCTGTCCCTCTCTGTCTTCCTCTCCCTCTGCCTCTGTCCCCCGCGCCCCCGTCTGTCTCTCCTTCTCTGTCTCTGCCTCCCTCTCCCCACTCACTCTTATTCTCTCTCTGTCTCTCTCCAGCCCTGACTTGATCTGTTTTTCAGCTCCAGTTCCCAGATGTGCGTGTTGTGGTCCCCAGGTATCAACTCCAAATTCCTGGGAGCAGTGCTCTGGCCGTACCTGTCTGGGTTTGTTGGCCAGCGCTGAATCCGCTTAGCCAGGAGAGCATGGGGTGTGCGGGGTTCGGTCAGCCTCACACACGTGGCAGGAGTTTCTCTCTGGACGGCGGCCGCCCACACCTGGCCGACAGGAGCCTGTCTTCAGCAACTTTCAGTTAACGCGTCCCTCTTGCCCCATGCTTGTCCTGCCACACAAATGTGAAAATGCAACGTTACAAAGATCTGTGCCTCAGACACCATTTGAACACAGAGAAACTCGTGGGCTTATGTGACTACACTTTTCAGGTTACGGAATTTCTTTAAGGTGTACCCTTGAGTTTAATATACTTATTAATAACTTATCATTACAGAGAAAAAATTACCAGAAGTACAGGGTGTTTTTAACGGACTTTCTTCTCTTGCACATTGCTGGGCATGGCGTGTACTGTGACAGGGCGGAGTGATGGGCTGAGAATGTGTGTGTGTCTCCAACAGTTCCCAAACGTCTACATTTTCAAGAAAAAGGCAATCTACATCATCTGGAAAATTGTAACTTAGTAATTAATTAGGATAATTTCCCTAGGTTCTCTGTGCTGCATGAGACCACAGCGTATTCATTAAAGAGGAAAGCTGAATATTGGCGGAAAACAGGGTTGTAAATTTGTAACAAGTTTTTCTATCAGAAAATGAAATGCAATTTTCTGTCCTCTCTGAGCTTTTACCACATAGCTCTTAGCAATGGGTGTTTTTTCTGTCATTCCACTCAATTCTCACTCGAGTAAACCTCCAAGCAATAAGAATGTTGTCTTTCCTGTTTAGACTAGACTGACTACCTTTCCAGGACAGTCCATTAAGTTGATTTCCAATGGTGAAGGGTCAGACACGCCTCCCCTGGGCAGATCAGGGATAGTTCATAGCATTTGCCAAATAGCTGTCTGCAGCTGCAGCCATCACCTCCGTAATCAACACTGCCATTGTCTGAGCCTTCCCTTTGCAGGAATGGTGTCAGTGCACCCAGGCCTCGTAGAGATGACAGCCACCCCAGGCACTATTGTGACCATTGCTTTGATCATTGTTCTGTTTATGACTGAGGAAAGCAGGGCTTAGGAAGACTAATCTTAGTTATCTCTTTATCCCAGCAATCGGCACACATCTGTGGATCAATAAACATTGTATTAAAATGATGAACACAACTGATCTCCCTTAACCTGATTTTCCAGGAGTCCTAAGCAGACTTAAAGCCAAGAAAATAAGAAGAGGAAAGAGAGAGGGGCTGCCTTAACCAGCTGTGGTGCTGACTTGGACAATTCCAGGTCAAGAGGAACTGTCTACTTTCGACTTTGTGTGATAGTAACTTTTTAAGCAGTGGACCGGGAGCCCAAGACTCAGATGCAGCAAGCTTTGCAAGGCTGACGAGAGCTGAGATCTTCAGTGGCCGATGGGTACAGGGCTGCTGGGAGCGTAGCCACGTCTGCTCCAAGGTGGCTTGAATGAGGCAGTGCCCAAGTCCTTTTGACTGGCTGAGGTGAGCCTGTGGCTCAGTCACAGTTTGTCCCTCTCCTAATAAGTGCATTTCCCAGACAGCAGCTCCTTGGTGTCATGCAACTGAGGAACCTAATTGGCTGGGTGGGTTGTTCCCATCCAACTTCCACCTGTCACGAAGGATGCTTTTTCAGATCAGTCTCCACAGCTACCATCTTGTCGGGCACAGAGCCGGGCATCAACAAGTGTATGTTGAATAAAGAATGAATTGATGAAATGAAGTGAATGGAAAACATTGATTCAACACTCCTTCATACTTATTATTTAGTCCTACGTGAAACACTAGAGGAAGAGAAATCCTAGTCTTTACCCATGAAGAGCTTAGAATTTGGAAGGGATCGTAGACACACACACACGACCATTAGCGATCCTGACACGGTCCCACCAGTAATCTGACAGATCTGTAATAATAAATACTGCATTGCATAGTCAGCACCTGTCTAGACAGTTGCCAAGGGGGTTATAACACTTGGAGTCAGATGAATCAAAAGTTCAAATGCTAACAAAATTCCAGAACTGAGAGAGGTTAAATATCTGTAAAAATGTGAAACTGTACCCAGTGGCCTTGGCTTAATGAAGTCGTATGTTGGTGTTCCTTTTGCATTTCTGAAAGGTCAGCCCCAAGTCTCAAAGCGGGAGAGTTCTCAAAGGGTCTGAAATAAGGTTCCTCAGACTCCACCCCTCGGTGGCTGGGAAGCTGTTTGTGGGGCAGTAGGCGATGGCTGGGACTGCAGACAGCTGACAGAGGAGGCATCAGATCATTACAGAGGAATGCGAAATCTGGCCTATGGGCTTTCCAGAGCAAACAGCCTGTCGTTTACCGGTGATTCACGTACAGAAATGCACGAATTCTCAGACAGTGGCTGAGACTCCCCGAAAGGTTGTCAGGGTTGTTTCTTCAAGGCTGTCCTTGTTGCAATCACTTTTCTGCAGTGCCAGTGCCTCCTGGGAATCCTGCTTGCGTCTTTGGGCAGATTCCAAAGGGAGGCGGCCCTTGCTACAGCTGCACCTGCCTCCTCCATCACCACCTGCCTCCTCCATCACCACCTGCCTGTCACCTGGGAGTCAGGCCCGCTGCCCTGGAGGTGGGGTCAAACCAGTGCCAAAGTCACCCAGGAGCCAGCCAGGGCCTGGGAGTTCTCCCTCATGACACGCCGGCAGCAGGTGAACATTCTAAGGCTGACACTTCTGGGCATTCGCTGAGATCTTGGGAAAGAACTAGCCCCCCGGCCCTGCTTTCACTTAGAGATGGGAACAACGATTGCCCTGAGTTCCTGGGAGCTACAGGAGAAATATGCGCCCTGAGTTCCTGGGAGTTACAGGAGAAATATGCACGGTGTGCTTGGCCTGTGGCACCAGAGCTTTAGGGCACTGGTCTTTCATCGCTGGCCATGAAACAGCAAGGCTTTGAAAGGAAGGTAGATGGAGTGTGCAAACCTTGTGGGAATCTTTGCTTCTTGGCAAAAGAATGAATAAGTGAATTTGGTCATGGAGAAAATTGCATGCTAGGGGCATGTTTGTAACTACCGTCTGTGTTTGTAGTAAAGCACTCGATAAGTATTTGCCAAAAGAATGACCAATAAATCAATACAGCTCTTAAATTTTTCAAGCCAATTTGACTTTATGCAACTTTTGAAGCTCTTTCACAGATAATGAAACAAAGGCACAAAGAAATTAAGTCATACAAGGGCCTTGGAGAGCTTATTGAGCAAATATTTTGTGTTTTATTTATCAGTTCTGACTAGGATTTTATAATTTACTCCTATAACTTCCATATATTTTCCTTTTCTAATGTATTTTCTAGATTGAGTCTCATGAATATTGAATTTTCATTTTGAAAAATTTGGATCTGTCTACACATATGAAATTCAACCCATTAGGCATTCTTATAATTTAAACAAATGTTCTTACATAAGAAGAGTAATACATTTAAGATATACCTTTGTCACAATTTCTGAACTCTACCTAATGAAAATTCTCTTTCATGTTTGGAATATTTTCCACTTCAAGTGCATTTTATCCACATAATGAGGTTCATAATTCATTCTTTAATATTTTTATTTTGTACATTCTATGTATATTATGCATGCATATGCACAAATACTTTATTGGTCTCCAGATTTTATTCACTGGCATGTCATTTTAAATAAAAATTGGAAAGTAAATGAAAATAAATCTATTTACTTAGCTAAATTAACATTAATACAAGATACAACAAATCTGCAAAGATTTTCTTCATCCACGGAAACGAGGCCCTGAGCATTTTCAAATGTTGAGGCTTTTCAAACTCTGCTAGTTACTGTGTTAGACAGTTGATTCATGTTCAAGTACCTTATACCCTCAGGACTTGCCCTGATATCTTAAATGCAGGCATTGCAATGCATTGCTTTGTTACTCTACATTGTAATTGTCTTTGAGCCCTCCAGTAGGACGTGGGGCTTGGAAAAGACCAAATCTGGCTCAGCCATGCATGCTCCATCGGCGCCAGTACTTTGCTCTTCCTCTTTTAATCATAAGAAATTGAGTTAAAAGAGAAAGAAAATCTATGTATTTTATTTTGTGAGGGAATGCATTTATGCTGCAGCATATAGAGATGGAGGTAGAGAAAGATATAGCGTGCTAGCTCCAATCAAAATGGATCCATTTCAGATGGGAAGGAAGATGTTCTTTAAGGACAGTCACAGGAGCCTCTGGTCAAGAGTTGATCCAGGAATTTAAAATCCTGAGCGTGTCATTTCCTTCCTTTAATGCTCTGGTGCATTCAAAACCAGCTGTTGAGCTCCATGGTACCCGAATCCCTCGCTCTCACCACGATGGCTTGTTGCAAATACAATTCATCCTTTCTTAAATTTATTTAGAGATAGCATCTCGCTCTGACATCCAGGCTGGAGTGCAGTGGCGTCAGCACAGCTCATTGCAGTCTCGACCTCCCAGGCTCAAACAATCCTCCTGCCTCAGCCTCCTGAGTAGCTGGGACTACAGGCGTGCGCCACCATGCCCACCTAATTTTTGTATTTTCGTATTTTTGTAGAGACAGAGTCTCCCTATATTGCCCGGCTGGTGTCAGCTCCTAGGCTCAATGGATCCCCTTGCCTCAGCCTCCCAAAGCACTGGGATTACAGGCATGAGCCACTGCACCTGGCACAATTTTCTATAATGAGGTTTTTAATGAGCACTAGCATCCTATGTTATCCATATGCAATAGTATTTATATAACTTTTTGAACATTTGCGATATTACCCATTTTGCTTCTCTAAAAAAATCTTATATTTTAAAAACTTAGTGGAAGATGCAATCTAGCCTGAAATCCTGATACTAGGTTTTAGATATGGTCCTTCTCCTCAGGCAGACCTCACAAACTCCAGCGAGTCTGTGCCAGCCGGGGCGGGAATGCGTCTTACTCGTGTGCGTGCTCCAGGGTGCTCTGCTGAAAATGTCAGGTCTCAGGAAACACAGCTGTGCAGAAAATCTGAGATTCTCCCCACAGGGTGTTTTGTGCTTGGGCCCTACACAGTAATTATCTGTGACCATTTTGGAAGCATAATTCTGGCAGCAAACTGCATTTTAGAGTGAAGGATGTGGGGTAATTCATAACATGATTTACTCTAGTCTCCATATAGTCACTCTTAAGTCTGAGTTACATAAAAAGAAAGTCTAATAAAATAAATTGCAGTTGAAACATAGTTGAGCTTGGCCCACAAAAAAGAAACGAGCAAAAAATATCATTTGTCTCCGAGGTTGATATGAATGACCCTATTAGACATCTATTTTCTCAAATCTCACTTTGGGACCTTTTATCTCTCAAAATAAGACTCATTTTCCCAAGTCTTTCTGAACCAAACCACGATGGTTTGGTTTCTGAACCAAACTTCCGGAACCGTCGTAGGCAGTGTCTCGAATGTTGTGATGAGGTGATACTCAGTCTTTACAAGTAAGAAAGACAAACTGAGAGACAGCTCTAGATCAGAAGAGAGAATGGCAGCGGCTTTTCAATTTAGGTCACTCTAAAGATAGAAAAACTAATACCCAGGGCTTAAGTGTGGAGTATAATGACACATTGTTCCAAGATAAGTCAGCATATTAACTTCCTTTTAAAAATTCACTGGAAGATAAAATAAATGGAATTGGTTTTCACAGCAGTTAATCAACTCCTCTCCACTGGGCTCTGCACCACCAACATGAAAATCTAACTGCAGTAGCTGAATATATACTTAATTGCAAGGCACTTTATTTTAGGAAATGGAAGCCACGCTTAGCACTTAGTCCACTGGGAAGAAAGAGATAAGTTGTGGTATTTGGTAATTGGGTAATTTTTGGAGAAAGATTTTGCATTATTTTTTAAGCATTTTTCAAACAGATGCTGGTTCTACACAAACCCAAACCATCCAGGAAGTTCGGTAAATCAGACAACTTGTGTTTTGTTGACAGGGACTGACCTCCTCCCTCGCCATCTGCAGAAAAATGTGCTACTAAATATTTATTACACCCCATCAGATATTAAATCATAGTTACATTTAAAAAGACACAAATTTCACAAGGTCCCCGGAGCCCCTTCCAGCTACTCAATGACTCACAGGCTCAGAACATCATGCAGCTCTCGTGCCAGGAGCTCACAAGACAGACCCTGCCTGACTCCCACCCAGCCCAGGATGCTGTTATTGATAAATGCAGCATTGCTGAGGCGATTGAGCTGTTCACTTTATTTGAGGGCTTGCCATCATCCTCGCAAGAGCCCCAGGGGGACGCAGCACGGTCCCTCCTGGCAGGGGAAGTACCCGCTCGTAAGGCAGGGGGCTTGTAGGGATCCGTTCGGGGCACCAGAGATGACGCCGGTACTCCTGCCAGTCAATCAGCCATCAGGATCAATCAGTTCTGGGTTTTCTATTTACTCCCTCCCCTGAGACGTCACCCCATCCATTCATTTTCATACCTTTAAGGGAAGTTGAAGAACTTTAACCTTCACTCAAGACAACGGGATATGATTTAGGGCTAAAAAGAAAAGAACTTTCAAGCCGTGAAAAGACGTGGAAGAATTTAAATGCAGATTACTAAGTGAGAGAAGTAATCTGAAAAGGCTTTTCAATCTGAAAAGGCTGCACACCGTGTGATTCCAGCTACAGGACAGTCCAGAAATGGCAGAACTATGGAGACAGGAAAAAGCTCACTGGTTGCCAGGGCTGGTGAAGAGAGGGCCTGAAGCCACGGAGCACGGATGATTTTCAGAGCAGTGAGACTCTGTGATGCTGTGATGGTGGGTACAGGTCATTACGCATTTATCTAAACCCACATAATTTACAGCCCCAAAAGTGAGTTCTAACTGTTCTAAACGATTGATTTTAGTTAATAATAATTTACCAATATTGGCTCATGAATTGTAACAAGTGCACCGCACTAAGACAAGATATAAATAATAGGGAAAACTGGAGAGAGGAGGTATGAGGAAACTTTGTACTTTCTGCTCAATTTTTATATAAATCTAAACTTCTCTAAAAAATAGTCCCTTTTAAATGCTATATTCAAAAGTATTGCATACAGAGTATGATCTCAATTATATGTGTAAATGTTGGAAAAATACTCCAAAATGTTAATGGCTACCTCTAATGATGGATTATGAATAGTTTTGGTGTTCTTATTTATAGTTTACTGAATTTTCTTATTTTTATGCAATGAAAATATTATTCTTTAATCATTAAAAAAAGTGTTTCATATCACTTTGTTTAAATAAGGCACAATCTCACAAGTATAACTGTACTTCAGGGAAAATAGAAAAGAATTTTGAAATTGTTATTGTTTCAGAAAATCTAGGGACTGTGTTTTCTGTTATTACACAGATCAAGCCACATTCCCCGAGAGACTGACACTAAAATAAGAACGAATGTTGGACAAGTTCATGTGTGTCTCTGGCTGATTCAACGCAGCAGAAGTTATATAAAAGTATTGGTGTACATTAAGACAAGGGTATGAGAAAGCACGTTGCAATTGTTTAAACTCCCCCTGGCAGAATGAGATCCAACGGGAAATGAGAGATGAGGATGCACTTGACTCTCTTAAATTCCACTCCATACTGGAGTGTGTATGTCAGGGATTGAGAGTGAAGCCAGCGTCCTGCCCACCTGCTGGTCCATCTGTAATTTTGCTGATTCTCTATTCATAGAGCAGTGTTCCATGCATTTTCTTTTTGTCAAGGAGCCAGAATTTTGTGAAGGTTAAATAGTTGGTTGGTGTTTCGTTGTTTTGGCTGAGTGGCGAGGGGGTATTAGGGAGAACTGTCTTTTGTTTTTTGCTTTGGGATTCATTATGTCCTTTGGTTTTATCTCCCTCAGAAGGTGTGACATTGGGGCAGAGAGTGGATGCTGCTCCACGCTTCCAAAGACAGGAATTTTGGTGGCTGTGACCTCCTTGTGATTGTGCTGAACAGAATGCTCTGGTCTTCAGGAGGTTCAAGTCCATAATGACTTAGCAGCCACAGACTGTGTGAGGTGGGGTGGGGGACAGTGGGGACAGGAGGGGTGACCATGCACAACCCACAGGTGGACATTCCGGGGCCATCGGGACTGGGAAGGGCCAGCTGATGGGGGCTATACAGCATCCTGGCCACAGAAGGGAATAGAGGCTTGGCTTCTTGGGGGTGCTGGAGGCAAGTTTTGGGAGGGTGCAAGAAGGCACTGTCTGGTGAATAAAGTTGCCTAGTTGTGCAGGTAAGAGTCTCTCTGGGCCAGGCTCAGTGGCTCATACCTGTTAGCTCAATACTTTGGGAGGTCAAGGCTGAAGGATTGCTTGAACCCAGGAGTTCAAAACCAGCCTGGGCAACAGAGTGAGACTCCATCTCTACAAAAAGTTTTTAAAAATTAACTGAGCATGGTGGTTTACACCTGTGGTCCCAGCTACTCAGGAGGCTGAGACAGGAGAATCACTTGAGCCTGGGAGGTCAAGTCTGCAGTGAGCCATGATGGTGCCATTGCACCCTAGCCTGGGGGACAGAGCAAGACCCTGTCTCAGAAAAAAAAAGTTTGTCTGGTGCTCTGGGGTAGAGGCTGTCTAGAGTAACTCTCCTCCTGGTACAAGATCTTTACTAACGAGCCTTTTCCTTGTCAGTGTCAGTTCCTTTAAAAAGAGGAAACTAATACATTAATTTAGGTATTTTATGAGGAGGCAAAGAGCATTCTTGTGTTGGCTCTCAATTTTTTAATTTTTTTTCACTGCAGCCTCCAGCTCCCAGGTTCAAGTGAGCCTCCCACCTCAGCCTCCTGAGTATCTGGGACCACAGGCGCATTCCACCACACCCAGCTAATCTTTTTACTTTTTTCTAAAAATGGGGGTCTCCCTATGTTGCCCAGGCTGGTCTCAAACTCCTGGGCTCAAGAAATCCTCTGACCCCAGCCTCCCAAAGTTCCGGGATTACTGGCATGAGCCACTGTGCCTGGCCTTCAGTTTCTTTTAGCTCAAACTAATCAATATGCTATTGTTGCATATTTTGGGGTGGCAAGTTCTGGACCCCTTAAGTCAAAGCAGATGATGTTGGTCCTAATCCAGCCACTGAACTTGGTATTCTGACATTGGACAAGTAGCCTCAGCCCCTCAGTCCCCATCTCCTCTTCTTTAAAGAGGAAATAATAATCACGCAAACTGCCAACCTTGCAGAGGTATGGAGAGGTTCAAGGCAAACGTCAGATGTGAGGAAGCAGCATTTGTAAATTTAATTCAATCAGCATCTGTCTGGCATCTGATATGAGTCAAGTCATGTGTTGGGCACAGAGGAGAGCTCAGAGATAACCCTGCTGGGACCTCGGGTCTGATGGTGCTGTCATGATCACTTCTGTACAAATTGAAACTGCCGTCTTCACTTGAAAACCAGAATGTACAAGGAAGACTTTCTTGAGCTCTTGAGTTCAAACTGAAATCTTACAGAATGTAGAAGAAAATTCAGGGACATTTGTAAAGTTGCTGCCCAGGAAGGATTTAATCTCAAATAAAGATTATAATGCACAGAAAGCCAAAACTAAAATATTTACACATCCTGAAAGACAGTGGTCATTTGTGACATCATCACTTTGAAAGATCCTTTATGGGAGGATCCTTTATGAGAAGGATCCTTCAAAGTGACAGATCCTTTCAGCTCGACTTTCTTTCCTCAAAAATGAATTACTAGGATTTCCACACATGGGAAGATGAAGATGTAATTCTCTCTATTCCTCATATTAAGTTCAATTAAAAACCATACAGCATATAGAAAGGAAAAAAAAAAGACTGAAAGATGAGAAGAAAGCAGACTGATTGGGAACCCCAGAGGTGAGAAGTGGCACAGGGTAAGCCATGGGTTTTTCCTGGTGTATCCCAGACCTGGAGCTGAAGAAGCCAGGAACCTGCAACACAAGGGGTGCAGACAATAACAGGCCCAAGTGAAGCCCGCTCACACCAGCCACAGGACCAGAAACCAGGGAGCCTAGAGAGAACGTTCAGGCAGAGAGAGCTGGGGCCACAGCTTCACTTGCACCAACCTTACTTGCACCAGCAAAGGGTGTGGGGGCCTAGACTCTCCCCCTCAAAGATCTGCAAGGAGGTGACAAAACCAACAAAGCTCTGCCTGGGCGGATGACAAAACCAAGAGCGAAGGCACTGATCAGCATCAGGAATGAGACGGGGCATCACTACAGACACCACAGACATCCAAAGACAATGAGAGAACACCATGAACAACTTTACACAGATAAATTTGACAACTTAGATGAAATGGACCAATTCTTCAAAATACACTAACTTCCACAACTCACCCAGTATGGAATAAACAATTCAACTATCCCTGTATCTATTAAGGACATTAAATTTGCAATTTAAAAAGTCCTCAAAAGACAGCTCCAGGCTCAGATGGTTTCACTAGAGAATTCTAACAAATATTTATGTAAGAATTAACACCAATTCTGCACAATCTCTTTCAGAAAACAGAAGAGAGAATGCTTCCTGATTGATTTTATGAAGCTGGTATTACGCTGATAAAAAAATCAGACAAAAAGACAGTACACAAAAAGAAAACAATGAACCAATACCCCCCATAAATACAGATACAGAAATTCTTAACATAATATTAGCAAATAGAAGTCAGCAATGTAAGATATAATTATCCACCCATGGCCATGTAAGGTTCATTCCAAAATAAGCACACAAAAACCCATTGCATTTCTGTATACTAGGAAGGCACAAGTGGATGCTGAAATTGAAGCTATGATACCATTTATAATTACTAAAAAGAAATGTGTGTGAACCTAACACATCCTCTACAGGACTGGTGTGCTGAAAACTAGACAACACTGATGAAAGAAACCAAAATCTAAATAAATCGAGGTAGCTTATCAATGGATTGAAAGACACAACATAGTAAAGATACCAATTCTCCCCAAATTGATGTACAAGTTTAACAAAATTCTTATTAAAACCCCAACAATTAGCCGGGCATGGTGGCTCACACCTGTAATCCGAGCACTTTGGGAGGCTGAGGCAGGCAGATCACCTGAGGTCAGGAGTCAAGACCAGCCTGGCCAACATGGCAAAACCCCATCTCTACTAAAAATACAAAAATTAGCTGGGTGTGGTGGCGCACACCTTTAACTGGAAGGCTGAGACACAAGAATTGTTTGAACCTGGGAGGCAGAGGTTGCAATGAGCCAAGATTGTGCCACTGCACTCCAGCCTGGGCGACAGATCGAGACTGCATCTCAAAACCCAACAGTTAATTTTTGAAATATAGACAAAATTATTCTAAATTTGATGAAAAGGCAAAGGAACTAAATTAGCTAAAACAATTTTGGAAAGAATAAAGTGGGAGGGAACACTTTATCCAATTTCAAGATTTATTTTACAGTGACAGTAAAGACAGTGTGACACTTGTGGAGGGGCAGACCCTGGATCAAGAAGATTAGAGACCCAGAAATAAACCTGCACGAATTCGCCGGGCTGATGTTTGATGAAGGTATGTGTGCAACTTGGGAGAGGAGGTCTCTGTGCACAAGCAGTGGGAGGCACTGGACCCCTGAGGTAAAAACAAGCCTCTACCTGAGTCTCACATCTCATAAAATTAGCTCAAAGTGGACCCCGGACATACATGTCAGGAAAAGTAAAGAGAAAATCAGGGTCTACCAAGGCAAGGAGTTCTTACTCTTGACACTAAACATCCAAAGGAAAATAATTACAAATTGGACTTTTGCGAAATGTAAAACTTGCTCTGTGAAAGACCCTGCCAAGAAGATGAAAGACAAGCTCCAGGTGGGAGCAATCCACACAAATCCAACAGCAGACTGGCACCTTGAATACCCAGAGAACGCTCAAACTCCAACAGGAAAGGAAAGCCAACGATGCCATTAGAAAATGAGCAAAAGGTCTGTAGAGGCATTTCACAAAGAGGACATACAGATGGCAAATAAGGACATGAGAACGCTCCACAGCATTAGTCATCAGAAAACTGCAAATAGAAACCACTGCGCCCCATCCCGATGGCTAACATAACAGACAGTGACAATGCCAGGCCCTGGGCCGGGGAGAGGCCACTTGCCGCTGCTTTGCTGCTGGGAACATGAGATGGTGCAGACACCCTGGAGGGCACCAGGCAGTGACTTTAAAAACTTAACCTGCAACTACCCTGCAACCCAGCACTCACACCCCGGGCACTCATCCCAAGGAAATGAAGACTTACGTCCACACAAAACTGTGCACAAGAGATTACGTCAGCTTGTCCTTCAATGGCTGAAGGGTCAAACAAACTGCGTTATGTCCGACCATGAAATTCTATCCCCACGCTAAAAGGGAGTGAATATGATACCATGAGCTGGATGAATCTCCAGAGAATTGTGCTGAGTAGGAAAAGAAGTTAATCACAAAAGGCTATAGACTGCATGATTCCACTTACATAACATTCTTGCAACAAAATTGGAGGAGAGGGAGAGCAGAGGAGTGGCCGTCAGGGTAGCAGGGAGACACGGGTCTCAGGTGCAGCCATGAAAGTCGTGGCTGGGTCGCATCTTGGCCGGGTGGGGGTTGACACTGGGCTGTGCAGACCTGACATGGTGTTGCAGGACATCAGCACTGGGGGAGTAGAGGAAGGTGATGTGGGAGCTCAGCATAATTTCTTACACCTGCGTATAAACTAAAGGGGTTTAATTTTAAAAATGAATTACTCAATCCCTAGTTATGTAACCTCTCATCTAATTTTTAAAGAACTTGGATCTAATGAAAATGTTACATATACTTCATCTAAAAGCACTTACATCTGTTTCTTTAATCTGAAGCTCCCAAAGTAATTTCAGGAGTCACCACTGGGACATCAGCTGTCGGGGACCAATTAAAAACAAAACAAACAAACAAAAAAACTTCGAGCTTCCTAGCGCCTTAGAATCCATGGAACTAAATCGTATTCCCATTTCTATAGAAACAACTACAATGTATTTTTCCATGGCATCATTGTTGCAGTCAAATAAACATGAGGTGAATCGTAATGGACTGCAGCATCATTAAAACACGCTGGGTGTCCTGGCCTAGAACTGGTAGAAGGCGAATCCATCTTAGGAGGACACAGCTGTCGCCCGATCTGGGAGGGGCTGTCACATACGGGAGGGATGAGGCTGTGAGTAGCTGCAGAGGCAAAGCGTGGGTGTGAGCTGAGGGGCAGGCTGCTTTTCCTCAAAATGAGAAAACAGTGGCAGAGGTCAGCTTGTGTCGAGGGGCATTGGCAGAGTCTAGGGGGCCTGGGTGTTGAGGTGGGGTCTGGCATGCGGGGTCTTGGCACTGAGGCAGGGTGGAGTGTGGGGGGCCCGGGCGTTGAGGTGGGGTTGGGCGTGGGGGGCCTGGGCACTGAGGTGGGGTCACCCGTGGGAGCTGATGGTTCCCTTTGCAGCCTGACTTCCCCTCACTTCCTGACCTGGGCCCTCGTTCGTGAGAAACTTTGACTGGAAGTATCCTGGAATGTTTGAGGCAGCCACGCAGCATCCTGAGGGTTGGCCGTATCTGCCCTCTGTCTACTCACAGCCCCACGCTCCTTCACCTGGAGAAGGTGGCTTCCCCAGGCTGAACCCTACTTCTGCAGCCACAGGCACTGTGCGAGAAACTCAAAAGAGCCCGCTCGCTGCCCATATTCTCTTTCCCTGTGAGCCAGTGTGGAATAAACGGATCGTGGGATGCTGAGCGCCAGCATGGCATTATTTGTGGATGGCTCGTTTTAGTCACGGCTGAGTCCTGACGTAAAGCAATGTTCCTGGTGTGCTTTGTGGTCAAAAGAATTTGAAGCCACTGCTTTAGGGCCTGTATTTTCTAAGAGGATGTTTATTTAAAATGGGTCCTGCGGGTGCCCCTCCAGCCTCAGGGAGGGGCCTGGGTGTGCCCATGTGTGCCTACTGGCCCACCAGAGCCTGGCAGGTCCCAGGAACCCTCCTTGGTCTTGGGGCTCCCTTGTCCCCCGTCGGAGGTCAGAGTCAGGGTTTCTTAACCAGGGCATTTTCAAAACCCTCCTGGCTGGGCGTGATCTCCAGAGATCCCAGTCCTACTGGTCTCTGTGGCTCAGCCCTCCCTCCCATCCAGGGTGTCTGAGAGAGCTGCTGGTGAGTCCTGCAGATGCTTCGAGCTTGAATCCATTGGTCTGTGTGGCACGTAGTGCAACCCTGGAGAGGCGTGCGGAGAGGGAGAATGAGATCGAGACAGATCCTGTGGGCACGCGTGGTATGTGCGGAGGGCTTGTCTAGGTTCTCAGGACAGCGTGGCCTCTTCCCTGCTGGTCTTTACATGGCGGCAGCTGAATCCATATGGTTTCTCACACAGCCTGCACTGATGGGTCCCAATCAAAGCTCCTCCTGCTCTGTCCCTCTCGCTTCTCCGCTGCCCAGCACCTCCCTTCCCTCCAGGCCTCCAGCACCTGTGCCTTCTGACCCCTCCCTCAAGGTGCTCTCGGCCTGTGTCTCTCTCTGTCTTTGTGGGTGTGTGTCTCTGTCTCTCTGTGTCTCTCTCTGTCTCCTCCTTTTCTCACTCCCTCCCACTTCCTAGTAAACCTCCTCATTGGAGGGATGGCCACATGTCTTTCTGATCATGGGTTTGTTGCTGGGTGTGGAAATTCCCCTTAAAAATATATGCAGTTGGTGCTTTGAGCAATGGGATGCACAAAGTCACACAGGGCTGCCCTCCAGAGCCACAAGTTTCCGGGTGCAGCATGAGTGGCCCTGGAGTGCCCTCGCCCCTGCCTGCCCCCTGCTCCTGGCCAGGCAGTAGCTCCTGGCTTCTTGCTGCTCCCTCGCTCCTGATCCTGATGGTTCCGTCAATGCTCGGGGGAGGTGGGAGGGGTGGCTTGTGCTGTCCCGTATCCCCTGGAGAGAGTTATGTAAGCATGTCAGTCGGTCTCTGTGGAAAAGCCCGGACATCCAGATGACACCGAGCAGTTTCAGGACATAGAAAACCCTCTGAGGCTCCAGAGAGGTGAAACATGGAAATGCCTCTAAGCAGTGACTCCATGACACAGGGGGCCGAACGAGGGGATTAGCACCCAGGCTGCATGGCTGGCCGCAGCCCCTTCCCACTCCCAGCGCCTTCCACTGCTCCTCTCTGTCCCGAGGGGATTAGAACCCAGGCTGCATGGCAGGCGGCAGCCCCTTCCCACTCCCAACGCCTTCCACTGCTCCTCTCTGTCCCGAGGGGATTAGAACCCAGGCTGCGTGGCAGGCGGCAGCCCCTTCCCACTCCCAACGCCTTCCACTGCTCCTCTCTGTCCCGAGGGGATTAGAACCCAGGCTGCGTGGCAGGCGGCAGCCCCTTCCCACTCCTAATGCCTTCCACTGCTCCTCTCTGTCCCGAGGGGATTAGAACCCAGGCTGCGTGGCAGGTCACAGCCCCTTCCCACTCCCAACGCCTTCCACTGCTCCTCTCTGTCCCGAGGGGATTAGAACCCAGGCTGCATGGCTAGCCGCAGCCCCTTCCCACTCCCAACGCCTTCCACTGCTCCTCTCTGTCCCGAGGGGATTAGAACCCAGGCTGCATGGCTAGCCGCAGCCCCTTCCCACTCCTAACGCCTTCCACTGCTCCCCTCTGTCCTCTCTGTGCCAGGAGGAGTCACCAGATGCATTCCTGCCCAGCTGTCTCCTCTAGCTTTGCAGTTCCAGGGCTGAACCGAGGCAGCCACCACCCACCACACGGTGACTCCATGTTTCAAAGAGCCCAGATTTGGCAGAAGGAAGCTTGGCTTGAGGCCCCATTTGCCAGGTGACTGCGGATAAGTCCCTCCATAACCCACAAAGTGGGAAAAGTGCCCATTACATCATTATGCAAAGACAATATTCATGAAAGCACTTTATGAAGTGTGAAAGTACAAGCTTTGAAAATATTAATACTTAAAGTCTTTCCATCTACCCCTAGTGGTCTGTAAGGGTCTTCACAGTTTTTAAGGCAGTTTGTGTATCTGAGCGTCTTTGTGCCAAGTCTGTATTTCAGTGTCTTCCTTCATCATTAGCATAGTAATATTGCAGCAGCAAATCATGGGTTGGGAGAGAGGTCTTAGAAGCCAAGAACAATGGAGATTCATGATATGTTTGTCCAAGTTCACGGGACTTGCCAGCACCACTGGCACTGAGTTTTCTAAATGGAAAAAGATGAGCTACCTTGCATCTCCCCTGTGACATGCTCTGTGGAGCCCTAAGCAGGACAAAATGAGCCAGTGAAGAGAAGTGCGTATGCATCTCATTAAAATTCTGCATTAAGCCTGAACTTGCAACCTCTTACAACGCCTCTCTGTGACACTAAATGTGGAGAATATTCACATTTTGTTCACCGGAAAATGAGGGCTGGAAACAGAGACACAAGTGGTGTGAACTGCTCCCGACTTATGTTTCACCCTTCATCTGCCTGGCAGCCTCCCCACAGTGTCCCTTCTCGTCTCCCCTTCACCTCCTCCCTCACCTCCTAGCCTTTTCTCAGTTCCTCCCACTCTATTTTCTCTCCTCGTTCCCTGTCTGTGTCAGGAAGCTCGGGCCATGCTGATTTACACAACTCTGTGCTGCAGGAGCCACCTTGCTCCCTGCCTCGTGTAGCTTATGGCCTATGGTTCGTTTTATTTTAATTTTATTTATTCAACAAACATTCCTAAGGTTTACAGTTTGCTGAGAGCATGTTTGGTTTACAGAGACAAGTAAGAGGCTTTCCTGTTCAGGGACTCAGCATCTGAGCAGACACTGGGTGCTCTAAAGTGGCACTGCTGAGTGCATGTCTGGGAAGTGCCTGTGAGTTCAGCGAATCCAGCAGGGCTGTCTCGGTTGCCCTCAGACCGAGAACCTGTGACACTGGTGGGGTGAGGAATGAGCCGTGGCCACTGCCGAAAACTCTGTCGGCTCCTAGATAAGTCCCACCGAAGGGGCATTGGTGACCTCCTTGGTGCCACAGAATCTCCTGCTCCAGCCCTGCTGTAGACCTGTGGCTCTAGGTTACTTGCTTTATTATGACCCGTTGCCCTCAGCTGCCTTCAACCTCTCGGTAGGTGAGTGTCATGTTCTGTTCATTTCTGCAACCCAAGTACCAGGTGTAGCACCTGGTGTGTGGCAGATGCTTTGTAGATGTTTGCTGGACTCCTAAAAGCAGCATTGCGTCGGGTGGATTGTGGAGCCCATGGCACATGTGGATTGCACGGTGCTCTCCACCCTAAAGCAGTGGTCCCCAAGCTTTGTGGCACCAGGGACCAGTTTCATGGAAGACAATTTTTCTATGGACCTGGTGGTGGGGGGATGCTTTCAGGATGATTCAAGCACATTATCTTTATTGTGTACTTTATTTCTATTATTATTACATTATAATATAATTATACAAGTCATCTCATGTAGAATCAGTGGGAACTCTGAGCTTGTTTTTCTGCAACTAGAGGGTCCCATCTGAGGGTGATGAGAGACAGTGACAGATCATCAGGCATTAGGTTCTCATAAGGAGCATGCAACTTAGATCCTTCCTGTGCACAGTTCACAATAGGGTTTGTGCTCCCATGAGAATCTAATGCCACCACTACTCTGAGAGGAGAGAGCTCAACTGGTAACATGGGCAATGGGGAACAGCTGGAAATACAGATGAAGCTTTGTTCACTCACCTGTCACTCACCTGCTGTGTGGCCCAGTTCCTTACAGGCAACAGACCAGTACTGGTCCATGACCCGGGGGTTGGGGATCCCCGATCTGATGTCCCCTGCAGTGCTCTGATCAGTGGAACTGGCTTGGTGACAGAGACAGTTGTACAGAGGCACTTAAAAATATCCAAATAGAGAATAAAGCATTTCTCATCACTTGTGGTTAAAAGTGGCTGTTTCCAGGTGATAGGTTGTTTGGCTTGGAAGAGAGTCTGGTACCCAGCCCAGGCCTTCCCGTGGGACCTTCAGGAGAGAGAAGGCCCCATCCCAGAGTGTGCCTCATTGAACAAGGATTTTGAGGAATGGCAGCTGCAGGAGAAGCTCTAAGAAGTCGCCCTTTTGGAAGGGGAATTTACCTCTGTGAAGGAATCTCTACCTGCCGGGTGTCTCCTCTGGGATCCAGGAAGAAGAGGGAAACTCAGTTACAAGAGACACTTGTTGAGGAGAAAGCTCTATTACAAGCCCACAGCAAGTTGTGGCCTTGGTCACCTGCCTTTCTGGTCACCTCCCCGTTGCCGGCCACCCCCATCTTCTTTCTTTATTTTAGTTGAAGATAAGCTAGGGTTCTGGGCCACCTCCTGCAGATTTGTGCGTCTTCCCCTGGAGTTTGCCACCCACGCATGAGGTGTGTGGATTAATAAACTTCTGTTTTTCTCTTGTTCATCTGCCATGGGTTACAGGCGTCCAGTTTTTCTTCTCCTACAGGGAAACAATTTGCTCCACTGGGAAGAGGGGAAAAGGCCACAGAAAGGCAAGTTGACCAGAAGACCCCTCACAGCGTCCCCTTATCATCACCTCCTCTGCCTCTAGGGAAGTCTTGGGGGCTGGTGGTGCATTGGCTAGGTGCAGAGGCAATGGCTACAGGCTGGGACCACTGTGGAAGCCCCCAGACTGAAGCCCCACTGCCTGATCTCATCATCCTTTGCATCACTCTGTGACCTATGACTTTGACCCTCTCTCCTAACTGGCCTGGCCTGGTGGGAGCAGGAGCCACTTATTTAGGTCTAAGGACTGCAAGCTCTAGGGCTTTGCAGATGCAGGCAGATTTGGGGCCTGAGCAGGGGCAGGAATGAACTTGGAACATAACCCTCAGAAGTTCTGAGGTAGTCCTGGCCATGGGGTCCATGCAAGGACTACATCCCGCAGCTTTCCGCTTTCCAGTCTGCCGTCAGTGCCCACACATGGTTCAGGAGGTGGAAATCATGAGATGACACCGTGTCTGTGCACGCGGCTCTGGTTCTGCTCAAGGCTTATAGTATTGCTCATGGAAACAGAGGATGCTGGAAACGAGGGTCTGGTTTTGCAGCAGAACCACAGCATCTGGGGGCGAGTGTGGGGGCTCAGGCCGTGTCCAACCAGCTGGCCCCTGTAGCAGGCCCTCCCTAGCCTCTAGCCTCTGGGGACTTTAGGACCTAATGGAAACTTTTCTTGACACAGCTCTAAGTTGGTCAGCTCAGTCTCTTTCTGCAATTCCCAAATTGCAGTCTGTGTGTAGTGAAAACTACCAGCAAAATAAAAAGCAACGTGTCCTCTACTCATAATTATTTTTTAAAATAAAATTTCAGAAACTGATTATTGAAATTTTATAAGCTGCATCTGCTTCAAATTCCAGTTAAGCCCAGTAGCCCTGCTCTGTTTTACACATCAACACCCAAATTATTTGTTGCTATTTAAAACGTAACTTTCTACATATTTTTAAGGCTTTACTTGTAAATTTTATTGCACTTGTATATGTAAAATTCTTAAACGGCTAAGAGCAGGTACTACACTTGGTCTTGGCCAAAAGGGCAAGAATCACTGCTTGCAAAGCTTTTAAGAGCCAGCATTACTGCCTGGTTTGTGGTGAAAGCGGCTTCCTTATTCCACCCTCGGTCCTTGCGGCTGTCACTCTGTCTCTTGGTGTTTGCCTCCTGTGAAAGAACATGCTTGTGTCTCATGTTTATTTTGGGGCTCATCTATTGATTTCCTTCAATGATGGGGGAGGAGCTAACCTTTCTGCTAAGCACATGCATGCACCCACAATCTCTGCACCCCCTTCTCCTCCAATGCGATAGCCACACTCTGTGGCGACCTCAGTATTCCAGGTTGCCATCCTGTGATCACGCAGAGCTTATTCTCAGCTGAGCTGTGTAATTGTAAAATGATTAAGTTTCCCTTCATGCACTCCGTTTCCTCTGGGGTTAGAAGCTGTTGCATTTTAGTTGTTATTTCCTTAGACTTCTAGGAAGGGACCACTGTTCTAGCCACATACTTCCTAACGGAAATAAGAAAGACCCTTGGACGATCAGGCACATCGAAGGTCCAGCCATGGCGTCCCTGAGGCCCCCACTGCCTCAGCTCCTAAGGCTCTGGCCACATTTCCCTGTGTCTCCCTGCTCCTCACCTTCAGGGCTGCCTGAGTTACCCTGTGTGGAAGGAACCCTTTGAGACCTGCAATGTCTGGAGACGTCGCCATTCTCTCCTTGACCTTTTCTTTCTGGGACCAGGATTCTAGGCTGCAAGAAATGTCTCTCAGAACTGAGAAGGCTTCACTTCCCGCCCTGCAGACTCCAGCGTTCTGTAGGGAGGTCTCAGCCATTCCAGTTCTGCCACGAGAGTGCTGGGGCCTGTGGCTCTGGCCCCTGGGCTGCTGGTGAGCTCTGCCTGAAGTGTCTCAGCAATGAGGATGTGGATGACACAGGTGTTTTTACTCTGTTCTTTCATGCATGCGCTACTCTCTCAATCTGGGCTCCTGTCTGCAGTTCTGGACCACTTGTTTGAGTTATTTCTTTGCTGGTCTCTCCTGTCTGACCTCTCTGGTCTCTCTTCTCATTAAGTGGGTATTGGAATTTCTGGGTTGATTCTCTATTTCTTTTTTCATTCCTCCCTAATTCTTCATCTGTGCATCTTTTTATTCTGTTTCTGTGAGATGTAAATGAGTCTAATATTCAACATTTCTATTAAATTATTTATGTCTATTCTACTTTTAATTGAAAGATTCTGTGTGTAGTTTTGCGGTGTCTGCTCTTATTTCACGGCCACCCTGTTTCTCTGCGAATATCATAGGTTTGTCTGCGTCCTACTCCCTCCATCCACTCGGCTTCCTCCAGGTTTCTCTCTGGGTCTGTGTCATGTTAGGGTCTCCCTGGGTCTCTGGCCTGCATCCTCCACACAGACCCCCCACCCCAACCCACTCACATGCAGGAAGCAGCCACATGTGCTTCCAATGGGAGTGGATGGTGTGTGGGGAGGAGATGCAGCCGGGCTCTTTCCCATAGAGGTTTCCTCCAGTCATCTGCATCCCTCTCCTGAAGGCCTTGCTGGGCATCCCTGCTGTCCTGTGGCCTTCCTGGGTTCCACTAACTGCTCAGGCATGTCCTTCAAGACTGGAGTTTGTGCTGGTGGCAGGGCACTGCAGCTCTCCCATGGTATTCCAAGACTGCCTGCACGTTTGCCATTAGTTCTTTTTTGATTATTGCTTTTCAATAGCAGTTCCTTAATTAAACTTTTCTCGATTTACCAAGCTTGAGCGTGTCATGGATTTCCTGCTGGGACCCTGGCTGATAACAGCTCTGCAGCCAAGTGCCCAACAGCTCTGCAGCCAAGGCCCAACAGCTGTAGGAGGCGTATGGGGGCTTGCTTACGAGTGGCCCTCACCTCACAGCAGTGGAGATGGCCCAGTTCTTCCACTGGGGACTCCTAAGTCCAAAGACTGCATTTGTAGATTTTCCCTCCACAGCCAAGAGAGAGGTCCTTTAATTCTTTGACCTCCTGCCTGGGGGTATGAGCCTGGCCTTTGACATTCTGGGAGCTTGGAAGGTGGGTGAGGTATCCCACTCTCCACAGGGGGGCTCCACTCACCCCTCTCAGCAAGGTGTCCTCCACCCTCACTGCCCAGCTGCCCCTGCATGCCTGAGGTGCCTCACAATCACCCGGGCTCCTTGACACCCCTGACTTCTGAGGTTTCCTGAGTCTGGCGCAGATCCCCTGGGTGGTAGCTGGGCTTCCCTGTTCCTGCTTTACCTGAGATTGCTCAGTCCTCCCTCCTGGCCGAGTCTTCCTGTCTTCTCCTCTCTGAGCTTTGTTTTTATGCCTTTTCAATCACTTTATTGCCCTTTTGATTGACAGGTGAAGGAGCAAAGATGGGAGGTCTCTGTCTCTCCATCCTTAGCCCTGCTTTGCTTTAGAGCAAAGATATTGTTGGTTAAAAAAAAAAAAAGCCCTTATCCTTGAGTGATGACCCCCCAGTGTTTAGGAGCAGACGTAGAGAGAAGAGCAGCTTGAGTCTGAGCCACCCAAGGGGTGGACAAATGGACTGGGGAAGGCATCAGGAGCTCCTTGCACGAGGTCCTCTTGTTGTTCTTGTTCCTGTCACTCTTGGCTGACGAAGAACCAAGAAGGAGACTTCCATGATGACCCCGGAGAGAACCACAGTGACTGGCAGGAGGCAGGGGAGGTGAACAGGCCCTTCTCACCAGGGACCCTTGCCTGGCCTCACAGGTCCGAGCCTGCTCCCACGACCAGGTCAGCCAGAGGTGTTTACATGAGAGGGAGAGTGAGGAACACCAGTTTCCGAGGTCCCGGCTGACCTTGACGGTGAGCAGAGGAAGGTTCTCAGGGCCTCAGTGGCCCTTGGAGAACCTGCACTCTAGGGCTCATAGGAGGCACCGCTCTCTTGGAGGCCATGGTGGTGATGAAATGCTGCTTCAGGGGCCTTCTCAGCAACCCATGCCAGTGCCAGGCCTGTGTGGAGGAAGAAGGGAGAGAATGATGAAGGTGAAACCAAGGAGTTGTGCTTAAAACGTCCCCTCACTGAGCTCTCCTCACAGTACTCACTCACATCCCTCCCCTCACAGCGCCCCCTTCACATCCCTCCCCTCAGGGCGCTCCCTTCACATCTCTCCCCTCACGGTGCTCCCCTCACAATGTTTGCTCACATCCCTTTCCTCACAGCGCCCCCCTCACATCCCTCTCCTCACGGTGCTCCCCTCACAACAGTCCCCTCACAGTGCTCCCGTCACAGCACTCTGGCACAGTGCTCCCCTCACATCTCTCCCCTCACGGCGCTCCACTCACATCTCTCCCCTCACAGCGACCCCCTCACATCCTTCTGCTCACGGCACTCCCCTCACATCCTTCCCCTCACGGCGCTCCCCTCACGGCGCTCCCCTCACGACGCTCCCCTCACAGCGCTCCCCTCACATCCCTCCCCTCATAGTGCCCCTCTCACATCCCTCCTCTCAGGGGCTCCCCTCACATCTCTCCCCTCACAGCGCCCCTTCACATCCTTCTGCTCATGGCACTCCTCTCACATCCTTCCCCTCGTGGCGCTCCCCTCACAGCGCCCCTCTCACATCCCTCCCCTCAGGGCGCTCCCCTCACATCTCTCCCCTCACAGTGCCCCCTCACTTCCTTCTGCTCACGGCACTCCCCTCACATCCTTCCACTCATGGCGCTCCCCTCACATCCCTCCCCTCACTGGGCCCCCCTCACATCCTTCCCGTCAGGGCGCTCCCCCCACATGTCTCCGCTCACGGCGCTCCCCTCACAGCACTTGTTCACATCCCTCCCTTCACAGGGCCCCCCCTCACATCCCTCCCCTCACAGAGCTCCCCTCACAGCGCCCCCTTCACATCCCTCCCCTCACAGAGCTCCCCTCACATCCCTCCCCTCACAGTGCTCCCCTCACAGCGCTCTGGCATAGCGCTCCCTTCACAGAGCTCCCCTCACAGCGCCCCCCTCACATCCCTCCCCTCACAGTGCTCCCCTCACAGCGCTCTGGCGCAGCGCTCCCTCACATCCCTCCCCGCGTTCCCTCACAGCGCTCCCCTCACAGAGCTCCCCCCTCACAGCGCTCCCCTCACTGCCCTCCTATCACAGTGCTCTGGCAGGTCTAGAGTCAAGGTGCCCAGGACATTCCAGCCTCCAATGTGTTCCTTTTTATTTATTTACTTTTTGAGACAGGGTCTTGGTCTGCTGCCCGGGCTGGAGTGCAGTTGCGTGATCTCTGCTGACTACTGCCTCAGCCGCCAGGGTAGCTGGGACCACAGGCACCGCCGCGCGCTCCTGGCTTATGTTCTTTTATCCTCCTCTGCAGTACTCTTTCCTCTTCTCCCTCTCAAACCCAGATAGATTACAACCCTTGTTCTCTCTGCTTTCGTTCGGGATATCTCCTGTCTCCAAAATCGTAGAACTGACTCATAAAATATGAGAGCCAGGAAAGACTTTAAAGACAACCTCATCCTGTGAATTTTGGCACCAGATATGAACCTGAAACCTTAAAGTTCCCAACACTGCAATGGGTCAGGCCCTGCTGCGCTGGTGGAGATAAAACGTACTGAGCAGAGGAGAGAAGCTAACAGCATCGGAGAAGCTGACTGGGCTTCAGGGCTACGTGCTGAGGGGAGCAGCTGGGTGCAGAGCCTCGGGAGTAGCCTGTGTGAGAGAGACAGAGAGACAGAAAGAGGAGGAGGAGAAAGAGAGATAATCTGTTATTATGTACCACAAATGTAGCCTCCTCTCAAGATTTTGGGAGAGATTTCAGAAAAGATACATTTGGCTTTTTTCCTTATTTGACCCTTTTTTGTCCTTGTTAGTTACTGCTCTGTGTCACTGCCTTTCCAGATGGGATTTTTCATGCTGACAAATAAATTGTGAACTCCTGGGGGCGCCCTCCTCGCTTGCATGCGGATGTCTGGCTCCCATGCATCTCCTCCAGACCTGGCTGCCTGCTGCTGTGACCTCCACGGCTTTGTTCTTCATGAGTGTGTTCCATCACAGTTCCTTGGCCACGTCCACACACACAACGGTGGATTCATTGAAGGGCCTGTGCATTATTCACTCCTGTCCCCTGAGCACAGGAACAGACAGACACATAATAAAATGTGCACAGTGACTCGGTGCCCCACATCCAGAGGTAGTGCCTCACTTGGCCTTCAGAGAGCTCTCCTCTCTCTAACAGATGCATATCATAGGAGAAAGCATGCATAATTTTTCATCGCTCAGAGCAAGATATAACATTTTGAAGACCATCTCAGGCTTTTATTCTCTTCCCTTTAATAAC
Organism: Homo sapiens; assembly: GCF_000001405.40. NCBI lineage: Eukaryota > Metazoa > Chordata > Mammalia > Primates > Hominidae > Homo > Homo sapiens. The sequence goes on along the minus strand of NC_000008.11, from coordinate 591,794 downwards.
TTACATAAATGCTTTGGGAATGGAACAGTGCGCAGCTCTCAGTGCCTTGCTCTCTGAGTGAGAGTTCATCTGGGGCATCTTTGTTGGATGAAAGGGAGAGGTGCAGCCACAGCAGGAACAGAACTAAGGGCTCCAGGGCACCTTCAGGTCATTGACAGCATTTGATTCTTTGCAGCCGTGGGACTGAAACTCTTGTTTCCTCACTGACTGTCACCTGGGGCCACTCTCAGCTCCTCAGGGCACCTGCATTCTTCTCCCAGGGCCACATCCATCTTTAAAGCCAGTGACGGCAGTGAGCCCAGTCCTTTGCATGCCCTGAATCTGTCTGACTGCCCTTTGCACCAGCTGGGGAAAGCTCCCTGCTTCACCAAATATGTGATGAGATGAAGCCCCTGCCAGGTAACTTTACACAATCATAGGAGCAGCTCCAGGTGCAGGGGCATCCTTAAAACTCTGCTGTCTCAAAGTACCTCCATCCGCAGCAGACACTCCAGGAGGCCTAGAGGAGGAGCCGTCTCTGTAGAGGGAGCCAGGAAGACAGGGCCGGGAAGACAGGGCCGAACTCTTCTTCCCACTAGCGGTGCTTCTGGTAGGCCAAGCCCATCAGAGCACCTGGGCCTCGAGGGCCTGGGCCCCATCTTAGGAACCAGCCTGCAGTGCACGACGGAACTGAGCCATGGATGGAGGTGACAGAGAGGATGTACATCCTGAATGAGCTGTTCCTCAGCTCTTTTTTTTTGCTTTTACAAATGTGATCTTTCCCTTTGTTTGTAGCTTCTAGCTTGTTATTTGCTTAATGAAAGCACTTGGATCGTGTCTTTTAATTTCACACCAGACTGCCTCACTAATTCTCTCATTGTTTGAGTTTGTTTTTCAGTTCATTCTGCCAGATTCTCCAGATATATGGTCTTTATCAGCCTCCTAATTTTGTTATTATTTTATTTTATGTACGTAACATACAACTTACCACTAGTGACATTTAGTGCATTCACAATATTGTGAATCACTTCTGCCTAACGCCATCACCCCAGTGGGAAGCCCTGTCCCCACTAGAAGTCTCTCCCCATCCCCTGGCCCCCAGCCTCTGGCAGTCCCTAATCTGCCACCTGTCTCTGGGCTTGCCTACTCTGGATATGTAAGTGGAACTGTGTAATATGTGGCCTTTCATGCCTGCCTTCTCTCACTTAGTATGTTTTCAAGTTTCATGTATGTGTAGTGTGTGTCAGTGCCTCCTTCCTTTTTGTGGCTAAATAACACTCCATTGTCTGTATACACCACATTTTGCTCACCCGTTTTTCAGCTGATGGGCGTATGGGTTGATTCTACCTTCTGCCTGTTGAAAATAAAGCTGCTATCATCTTCAGCTGATGGGCGTATGTGTTGATTCTACCTTCTGCCTATTGAAAATAAAGCTGCTATCAATGTTCATGAGCAAGTTTCTCTTTGAACACCAGTTATCAATTTGGTGTGGGGGGTTATATACCCAAAACTGGAATTGCTGGGTACTTGTTGAGTTAAACTCTTCCATGGCAGCCTCACCATTTTACAAATCTAAGGCAAGGTACCAATACAGTATAAGAATTCCAATTTCTCTGTCTCTGTTCCAAGATGGCCGAATAGGAACAGCTCCAGTCTACAGCTCCCAGTGTGAGCGACATAGAAGATGGGTGATTTCTGCATTTCCAACTGAGTTACCAGGTTCATCTCACTGGGACTTGTTGGACACTGGGTGCAGCCCATGGAGTGTGAGCTGAAGAAGGGCGGGGCATCACCTCACCTGGCAAGTGCAAAGGATTGGGGAATTCCCTTTCCTAGCCAAGGGAAGCTGTGACAGACAGTACCTGGAAAATTGGGACACTCCTGCCCTAATAGTGTGCTTTTCCAACGGTCTTAGCAAACAGCACACCAGGAAATTATATCCCGTGCCTGGCTTGGAGGGTCCCACACCCATGGAGCCTTGCTCACTGCTAGTAAAGCAGGCCAAGATCGAACTGCAAGGTGGCAGCAAGGCTGGGGGAGGGGCGTCCGCCATTGCTGAGGCTTGACTAGGTAAACAAAGCCAGGAAGCTTGAACTGGGTGGAGCCTACCGCAGCTCAACAAGGCCCACCTGCCTCTGTAGACTCCACCTCTGGGGGCAGGGCATAGCTGAACAAAAGGCAGCAGAAACTTCTGGAGACATAAATGTCCCTGTCTGACAGCTTTGAAGAGACCAGTGGTTCTCCTAGCACAGAGTTTGAGATCTGAGAATGGACAGACTGCCTCCTCAAGTGGGTCCCTGACCCCTGAGTAGCCTAACTGGGAGACACCTCCCAGTAGGGGCTGACTGACACCTCATACAACCAGGTGCCCCTCTGAGATGAAGCTTCCAGAGGAAGGATCAGGCAGCAACATTTGCTGTTCTGCAGCCTCCACTGGAGTGGACCTCCAGCAAACTCCAACAGACCTGCAGCTGAGGGTCCTGACTGTTAGAAGGGAAACTAACAAACAGAAAGGAATAGCATCAACATCAACAAAAAGGACATCCACACCAAAACCCCATCTGTAGGTCACCATCATCGAAGACCAAAGGTAGATAAAACCATAAAGATGGCGAGAAACCAGAGCAGAAAAGCTGAAAATTCTAAAAATCAGAGCACCTCTTCTCCTCCAAAGGAATGCAGCTTCTCGCCAGCAATGGAACAAAGCTGGATGGAGAATGACTTTGACAAGTTGACAGAAGTACACTTCAGAAGATCGGTAATAACAAACTTCTCCAAGCTAAAGGAGGATGTTCGAACCCATCGCAAAGAAGCTACAAACCTTGAAAAAAGATTAGACGAATGGCTAACTAGAATAAACAGCATAGAGAAGACCTTAAATGACCTGATGGAGCTGAAAACTATGGCACGAGAACTACGTGACACATGCACAAGCTTCAGTAGCCAATTCGATCAAGTGGAAGAAGGGGTATCAGTGATTGAAAATCAAATGAATGAAATGAAGTGAGAAGTTTAGAGAAAAAAAGAGTAGAAAGAAACGAACAAAGCCTCCAAGAAATACGGGACTATGTGAAAAGACCAAATCTACATCTGATTGGTGTACCTGGGATGGGGAGAATGGAACCAAGTTGAAAAACATTCTTCAGGATATTATCCAGGAGAACTTCCCCAACCTAGCAAAGCAGGCCAACATTCAAATTCAGGAAATACAGAGAATGCCACAAAGATACTCCTCTAGAAGAGCAACCCCAAGACACATAATTGTCAGATTCACCAAGGTTGAAATGAAGGAAAAAATGTTAAGGGCAGCCAGACAGAAAGATTGGGTTACCCACAAAGAGAAACTCATCAGACTAACAGCAGATCTCTCAGCAGAAACTCTACAAGGCAGAAGAGAGTGGGGGCCAATATTCAACATTCTTTTTTTTTTTTTTTTTTTTTTTTTGAGACGGAGTCTCGCTCTGTGGCCCAGGCAGGAGTGCAGTGGCGCAATCTCGGCTCACTGCAAGCTCCGCCTCCAGGGTTCACGCCATTCTCCTGCCTCAGCCTCCCGAGTAGCTGGGACTACAGGCGCCCACCATCACGCCCGGCTAATTTTTTTTGTATTTTTAGTAGAGACGGGGTTTCACCGTGTTAGCCAGGATGGTCTCGATCTCCTGACCTCGTGATCCGCCCGCCTCGGCCTCCCAAAGTGCTGGGATTACAAGCGTGAGCCACCGCGCCCGGCCTCAACATTCTTAAAGAAAAGAATTTTCAACCCAGAATTTCATATCCAGACTAAGCTTCATAAGTGAAGGAGAAATAAAGTCCTTTACAGACAAGCAAATGCTGAGAGATTTTTGTCACCACCAGGCCTGCCTTACAAGAGCTCCTGAAGGAATCACTAAACATGGAAAGAAACAACTGGTATCAGCCACTGCAAAAACATGCCAAATTATAAAGTCCATCGATGCTAGGAAGAAACTGCATCAACTAACGAGCAAAATAACCAGCTAACATCATAATGACAGGATCAAATTCACACATAACAATATTAACCTTAAATGTAAATGGGCTAAATGCCCCAATTAAAAGACACAGACTGGCAAATTGGATAAAGACTCAAGACCCATCAGTGTGCTGCTGTATTCAGGAGACCCATCTCACGTGCAGAGACACATATAGGCTCAAAATAAAGGGATGGAGGAAGATCTACCAAGCAAATGGAAAACAAAAAACAAAGCAGGGGTTGCAATCCTAGTCTCTGATAAAACAGACTTTAAACCAACAAAGATCAAAAGAGACAAAGAAGGCCATTACATAATGGTAAAGGGATCAATTCAACAAGAAGAGCTAACTATCCTAAATATATATGCACCCAATACAGGAGCACCCAGATTCATAAAGCAAGTCCTTAGAGACCTGCAAAGAGACTTAGACTCCCACACAATAATAATGGGAGACTTCAACACCCCACTGTCAACATTAGACAGATCAACGAGACAAAGTTAACAAGGATATCTAGGACTTGACCTCAGCTCTGCACCAAGTGGACCTAATAGACATTTACAGAACTGTCCACCCCAAATCAACAGCATATACATTCTTCTCAGCACCACATTGCACTTGTTCCAAAATTGACCACATGGTTGGAAGTAAAGCACTCCTCAGCAAATGTAAAGAACAGAAATTATAACAAACGGTCTCTCAGACCACAGTGCAATCAAATTAGAACTCAGGATTAAGAAACTCACTCAAAACCAAATGACTACATGGAAATTGGACGACCTGCTCCTGAATGACTACTGGGTAAATAAAATGAAGGCAGAAGTAAAGATGTTCTCTGAAACCTATGAGAACAAAGAACACAACATACCAGAATCTCTGGGACATATTTAAAGCAGTGTGTAGAGGGAAATTTATAGCCGTAAATGCCCACAAGAGAAAGCAGGAAAGATCTAAAATTGACACCCTAACATCACAATTAAAAGAACTAGAGAAGCAAGAGCAAACACATTCAAAAGCTAGCAGAAGGCAAGAAATAACTAAGATCAGAGCAGAACTGAAGGAGATAGAGACAAAAAAAAAACCCTTCAAAAAATCAATGAATCCAGGAGATGGTTTTTTGAAAAGATCAACAAAATTGATAGACCACTAGCAAGACTAATAAAGAAGAAAAGAGCGAAGAATCAAAAAGACACAATAAAAAATGGTGAAGGGGTTATCACCACCGATCCCACAGAAATACAAGCTATCAGAGAATACTATAAACACCTCTACACAAATAAACTAGAAAATCTAGAAGAAATGGACATATTCCTGGACACATGCACTCTCCCAAGACTAAACCAGGAAGAAGTTGAATCCCTGAATAGACCAATAACAGGCTCTGAAATTGAGGCAATAATTAATAGCCTACCAACCAAAAAAAGTCCAGGACCAGACGGATTCACAGTAAAATTCTACCAAAAGTACAAAGAGGAGCTGGTACCATTCCTTCTGAAACTATTCCAATCAATAGAAAAAGAGGGAATATTCCCTAACTCATTTTATGAGGCCAGCATCATCCTGACACCAAAGCCTGGAAAAGACACAGCAAAAAAAGAGAATTTTAGACCAATATCTCTGATGAACATTGATGCAAAAATCCTCAATAAAATACTGGCAAACCGAATCCAGCAGCACATCAAAAAGCTTATCTACTATGATCAAGTTGGCTTCATCCTTGGGATGCAAGGCTGGTTCAACATATGCAAATCAATAAATGTAATCTGTCATATAAACAGAACCAAAGACAAAAAAACACACGATTATCTCAATAGATGCAGAAAAGGTCTTTGACAAAATTCAACAGCTCTTCATGCTAAAAACTCTCAATAAACTAGGTATTGATGGGACGTATCTCAAAATAATAAGAGCTATTTATGACAAACCCACAGCCAATATCATACTGAATAGGCAAAAACTGGAAGCATTCCCTTTGAAAACTGGCACAAAAGAGGGATGCCCTCTCTCAACACTCCTATTCAACGTAGTGTTGCAAGTTCTGGCCAGGGCAATCAGGCAAGAGAAAGAAATAAAGCGTATTCAATTAAGAAAAGAGGAAGTCAAATTGTCCCTGTTTGCAGATGACATGATTGTAAATCTAGAAAACCCCATCGTCTCAGCCCAAAATCTCCTTAAGCTGATAAGCAACTTCAGCAAAGTCTCCGGATACAAAATCAATGTGCAAAAATCACAAGCATTCTTATCCACCAGTAACAGGCAAACAGAGAGCCAAATCATGAGTGAACTCCCATTCGTGATTGCTTCAAAGAGAATAAAATACCTAGGAATCCAACTTACAAGGGATGTGAAGGACCTCTTCAAGGAGAACTACAAACCACTGCTCAACAAAATAAAAGCGGACACAAACAAATGGAAGAACATTTCATGCTCATGGATAGGAAGAATCAATATCATGAAAATGGCCATATTGCCCAAGGTAATTTATAGATTCAATGTCATCAAACTAGCAATGACTTTCTTCACAGAATTGAAAAAAACTACTTTAAAGTTTATATGGAACCAAAATGAGCCCGCATTGCCAAGACAATCCTAAGCAAAAAGAACAAAGCTGGAGGCATCATGCTACCTGACTTCAAACTATACTACAAGGCTGCAGTAACCAAAACAGCATGGTACTGGTATCAAAACAGAGATAGAGACCAATGGAACAGAACAGAGCCCTCAGAAATAATACCACACATCTACGACCATCTGATCTTTGACACACCTGAAAAAACAAGCAATGGGGAAAGGATTCCCTATTTAATAAATGGTGCTGGGAAAACTGGCTAGCCATATGTAGAAAGCTGAAACTGGATCCCTACCTTACACCTTATACCAAAATTAATTCAAGATGGATTAAAGACTTAAATGTTAGACCTAAAACCATAAAAACCCTAGAAGAAAACCTGGGCAATACCATTCAGGACATAGGCATGGGCAAAGACTTCATGACTAAAACACCAAAAGCAATGGCAACAAAAGCCAAAATTGACAAATGGGATCTAATTAAACTAAAGAGTTTCTGCACAGCAAAAGAAACTACCATCAGAGTGAACAGGCAACCTACAGAATGGGAGAACAATCTTGCAATCTATCTGACAAAGGGCTAATATCCAGAATCTACAAAGAATTTAAACAAATTTACAAGAAAAAATCAACCCCATCAAAAACTGGGCAAAGGATATGAACAGACACTTCTCAAAAGAAGACATTTATGCAGCCAGCAGACACGTGAAAAAATGCTCATCATCACTGGCCATCAGAGAAATGCAAATCAAAACCACAATGAGATACCATCTCACACCAGTTAGAATGGCGATCATTAGAAAGTCAGGAAACAACAGGTGTTGGAGAGGATGTGGAGAAATAGGAACACTTTTACACTGTTGGTGGGAGTGTAAACTAGTTCAACCATTATGGAAGACAGTGTGGCGATTTCTCAAGGATCTAGAACTAGAAATACCATTTGACCCAGTGATTGCATTACTTGGTATATACCCAAAGGATTATAAATCATGCTGCTATAAAGACACATGCACATGTATGTTTATTGCGGCACTATTCACAATAGCAAAGACTTGGAACCAACCCAAATGTCCATCAATGATAGACTGGATTAAGAAAATGTTGTGCATATGCACCATGGAATATTATGTAGCCATAAAAAAGGATGAGTTCATGTCGTTTGTAGGGACATGGATGAAGCTGGAAACCATCATTCTGAGCAAACTATCGCAAGGACGGAAAACCAAACACCCCATGTTCTCACTCATAGGTGGGAATTGAACAATGAGAACGCCTGGACACAGGGTGGGTAACATCACACACCGGGGCCTGTCATGGGGTGGCGGGGGAAGGGATACCATTAGGAGAAATACCTAATGTAAATGACGAGTTAATGGGTGCAGCACACCAACATGGCACATGTATACATATGTAACAAACCTGCACGTTGTGCACACGTGCCCTAGAACTTAAAGTATAATAAATAAATAAATAAATAAATAAAATAAAGAATTCCAATTTCTCCGCATCTATGACAACACTTGTTGTTTTCCTGTTTTTTTTTTTTTTAAAAAGTATAGCTCTCCTAGTGGGTATGAAATGGGTGTGCAGTGATTTCCATTGTGGTTTCGATTTAAAGCAAACTAAATATGCCTTGAGAAGGACTCCATATTTCTATATTTGAGTCCCTGTGGACAAACTGTAACTTAGCTTAATAGGGAGATAAGATTGAAAACCTAACTTAGGAGTATGTGCCTGTAACAATAGCTGAGTCTTGGCCAATCCCTGCGGCCATACTACAACCACTCATAGACTGCTTAGTGTTCAAACTGTGTTCAAATAAGGCAAACACCAACCTGTAACCAATCCAGTTGTTTCTATACCGCATTGCCAATTTCTGTATGTCACTTCACTTTTTTGTCTATAAATTTGTTCTGACCATGAGGCATCCCTGGAGTCTTTCTGAATCTACCATGATTCTGGGGGCTGCCCAATTCATAAATTGTTCATAGCTCAATTAAACTCCTTTAAATTTAATTCATCTGAAGTTTTTCTTTTAACATATATGTTTGTTGGCCATTTGTAAATCTTCTTTGGAGAAATGCCCATTCAATCCTTTGCCCATTTTTCAGTCGGGTTGATTGTCTTTTGTTGTTGAATTAGAAGAGATTTTATGTATTCCAGATACCTTTATGAAATACGCAATTTGTAAATATTTTCTCCCTTTCTATGGGCTGTATTTTCACTTTCTTCGTTGTGTTCTTTGATGCACAAAGTATTTTATTTTGATGAAGTCCAATTTATCTCCTTTTTTGCTAGCATTTTTGGCTTCATATCTAAGAAATCATTCACAAGTCTAGGGTCATGAACATTTACTTCTATGTTTTCTTCTAAAGGTTTTATGATGTATGCACTTGTATTTAAGCTTTTTATTCATTTTGAATTTTTGTATATGTTGTGAGAGAAGGGTCTAACCTCATTAGTTTGCATGTGGATTTCTAGCTGTCCCAGATGCATTTCTTGAAAAGATTATTCTTTCCCCATGGAATGGTCTTGTACCCTATTGAAAATGTCAACATACAGTCTTAGTACTGGTAAACAACCTTATCTCCTCCTTTCTAATTTGTATGCTCTATGTTGTTTCTTTTATCTAATTTCATGCACTGATGCCTCCAGTATAATGTTATTCAATAGTGCTGGTACTGGGTATTTTTGGTTTTTCTTGATTCCAGTGAAAGTACTAACCAACAAGCAAATTAATATTTCATATTAGATATGTTTTTAATAGTAAATATTTATCTCATTTTATTCAGTATTAAGGAATGTTTTAAAAATATGTTTACCACAATTCTGAAGATGATGTAATTTCTTCTCAGAATTATTAATATGATAAATTGTAATAATAGATACTCTATTTTAGAACCATCCTGCCATTCCTTGATCACCTTGCACTATTTTAAATGTGCTACTGTATTTCTACATTTTTCTTTTTCTCTTTATGTATTTATTTATTGCTTAGACCATTCTCCATAACAGACTATATTTTATTTACGTTTTTATTGATATGTATAGGTGAGATTGGGGACGACTTGTAGTTTTCTTTTTGGTGCAGTCTTTTCAGGTTTTGGTCACTAATGTTATTCGCTGTGTAGAAAAAAAATTGGAGGTTTACGTTCTTTTCCGTTGTTCTGGAAGAGTTTTTTAAATTATTGGAATTATCCGCTATTTAAAGTTTGTTACAATTCTCCCATAAAAATGTTTGCACCTGTTGCTTCTGGGTGTCGGTGGTGAGCACCTCTTTTTTAAAATAAAGTGACTAACTTAGATTTTCCGTCTCTTTTGAGATCCATTTGGTCCATATTTTCTTAGAAGATCGTCCATTTTTCTAGGATTTCAAGCTGATTTGAATAGCGTTGAGCAGGTGGTCTCATGATGCTTTTAATTTCATCTGTTTCCTTGTTATTTTTACCTCATCATTCCTTATTTTGTATACTTGTGCTTTTTCACCTTGTATTCTTGGCAACATTATCTATCAATTTATCTTGCTTTATTTTTCAAAGAATCGGCTTTCTAATTTGTTTGTTAGTCTACCTGTTATCTTTTTTCCTACTGTATTAGCCTGTGCTTCTCTCTTAGCTCCTTCCTTCTGGTTTCCTTCAGTTAATTTTGCTGTGTTGTTTCTAATTGTTGAGTTTGATGCTTAATTAATCAATTTTCACTCATTCTTTTTTATTGCTATAAGTGTTTCAAACTATGAATATTCATCTTCTAGCTGGATTTTTTGATGACTTCAATAAATTTGTTCTAAGATGCACATGAAAGCAAAAATGCCTATTAGTAGATGTAGTAACTCTTTCATTGGAGATCAAGGCAGGAAAATAACCTACCAATAACAAGCCACAGTACACAGCCATGGCATCAAAAGATTAGAGACCGATTATCGTTGAGGCTGCAGACGGACACATGGGTTATTTATACTACTCTCTTCTGTTATATATTAAAATTTTAATGATGAATTTTTAAAAATTAACTATAGTACTGATGTAGGAACATCTTCGTAGATGAAGGGAAAGGAGGGTTCAAAGTAGATCCACGTAAATGATGAAGAGGACATTACAGGACAATGGGAGAATGACAGTTTGGCCAGCGGTATTTAGAAAATCACAATGTGGATAAAACTGGTCCTACATTACAACATTTAAGCAAAGGTAGATTCCAGATAGGTTAATTTCTTAAATAATAAAAATGAAACTGGGAGCCGGGTACAGTGGCTCATGCCTGTAATCCCAACATTTTGGGAGGCCAAGATGGGAGGATCATGTGAGCCTAGGAGTTTGAGAGCAGGTTGGGCAACATAGACCCCATCTCCAAATTTTAAAAAAATTAAAAAATATTTTTTTAAAAACAGACAAGGACAATAAAAGTAAGGATCTTTGTAGGTTGGGAAATATTTTTTCAAACAAGAATCCCAAAGCAGCATCCATAAGGTTAAAAAAAAAGATAGAATTTTATGTCAACATTAATAATTTCCACTCAGTGAAGTCTATGGTAGGCAGAGTTCATAAACCCATCCATGCAGGGGGAAAATACTTACAGTGTTTCAGACAACCAGGATTATATTTAAAATATACAAGGAGTTCCTGCAAGTCATCAAGAAGCAGGAAACCCAACAGAAGGATGTACGAGTGCTATGGATGAGTATCTGTGGTGAGATGTGACCCTCCCGGAGCTGCTGGGTCCCTGCTCCCAGAAGCTGTGGAGATGAGTCAGGGCACAAGGGCCTTTGCGGAGGTTCTGGGTGGGTGCCTGGAGAGGAAAGGAGCCTGGTTGATCCGGATGGGCCTCGGGCTGTTCCTGGGGCCGTTGCAGAGGGAGGCAGGGGCCTTGCCCAGGAACGTGGGGCCTCACCCAGGAATGTGGGGCCTCTGGGAGCTGGGAAAGGTGAGGAAGTCAGCTCTTCCTGGAGCCTCCGGAAGGAACGCCCCCCTCCCGACCCACGTTCAGACTTCTGACCCCAGAACTGCGGGAGAAGATAAGTGTGTGTGTTTAAGCCACTGCATCCGTGGTCATTTGATAGCCACCACAGGAAGCCAGTTCAAGAGACACAAGCACCATGTGTGTGCTCATAACCTCAAAGTTACTGCAAAGGAGAGAAATGCAGATGAAAACAGTGAGACACCACTTTACACCCACGTGTCTTGAAAAGCCCGTAAAGTCAAGCCCTGAATGCTGGTGAGCACAGTGGAGCGGCAGCACATCCGGCATGTGGGCGGCGGTCAGGTGGGAAGCATGGGCAGGTGCCGCGTGGCAAGCGGGTCCCCCGCAGCAGTGAGAGGCAACCTGCAGGCTCCCACAGCACCACGGACAGATACGCCAAGCGGAATGGAGAGAACAGAGTTAGAAGACAGTGGAGTTGAGAGCCCAGTGCTGCTCACAACACACCCAGGCACGAACACTGCAAAGCCACTCATCAAACGCTTCCTGAACCTGCACTTAGCCTGGGATGTGGGTGACCAGGCAGCGAATGGGACACTGAGTTCCCAGCCTGCAGTGTTGACAGGAGCACAGGTGAGCACAGGGCCAAGCACACAGGGACTGAGACATGAGGAGGGAGTACAGGCAGCCCAGGTGAGGCTGCACCAGCAAGTGAGGAGAGGCTTCTGGGGAGCACCACGGAGTGCCCTGAGTGGCCCTCAGACAGGAGGAGTAAACACACAGGACCAGGACCACCATGCCTGACGGGCCTCAGGCAGTGCATCTATGGACGGAGCCTCCCCACAACTGACACGCTATGCCTGAGTGACCCCCGCCATGCTGACTGGCATGTTGAGACCCTCAATGGCACTGCCACTCATGTCACCGGAGGGCACCTCCATCACCTGTGCCCAGCTGGGCTCCGTGCTGGGGGTGGTACTGAGTCCTGGGCCCTCTGGGAGCCGACTCTGGCACTCAAGCACACGTGAGCCGGCATGCTGGTGTCATGAGGAAGCCATCACCTGGCCCCGACCAGACATGGCCCGGTCACTCTGGGGCTTATATCCCTTCAGCGGGGACATAGAGATGCCAAGTCCATGCTCCCAACCAGGGACCAGGTGAGGGACACAGCGTTCGGTGCATGGCACCAAGGTACCTGGCACCGTCATGTCCTTGGTCCCATGTGCTGTGGGGAAGTAGCGTCCACACCATGGAGGGAGGGGTCCCAAGCAGACCCATGTCTTGAGCTGAGTCATTGTCCACACTGCCAGGGCCACAGGGCCCCATGGATCCACTCTCCTTGCTGGAGTCTCTGCTTGGGGCTGTGGCAGATGCTCTTCTGAGGCTCGGTAGCTGCTCCCTGAGAGGAGCGGCTGTGCCAGCAGCATCAGAGCTCAAGGTCGCTTGGGTTAGAGCTGCATTCCACGGGCTGCTGTCCTGTGTCTTTGCCAATCCCATTTCCATTAGTGTCTGCTGCACTCCACAGCCCTGTGCCCATCAGAGGCCTTCGGTCGCCTCACGAAGGACCCTGAGGAAGTGCAGGGCGATGGCAACCACGGAGCCACAGTGGCTGTTTCTAACTGCTCCAGCCACGGGGCGCTTTGAGGCCACACGGCCCACGCTTCTCCAACGGAAGAGACCAAAACTAGGAGGGGAAGGACCATGATTCAAGATACAGTGTGGTCTGGGCAGCGAATGTGTTTGTTAGCAAGGTCCAGTTCGGGAGAGGAACGATTTTTACCTGAGTTTAGTACCCACAGCTGGAAATGTGGGTGTTCATGGCGAGGCAGCCATGTGCTGCCACTTCACCTGCCGAGGGACAGGGGTCTGGAACGATGCCTTGAACAGTCTCCTGTGGACTTCAGCAAACCTGGCGGGGTGTTTGGTGGGAGGGCAGGGGCGGGGGTGCACCCAGCATGGTCTATGCCTGGTCTCCAGCGCTCAGTGTCATAGAGGACATCTGGTGACTTTCCAACTCGTTACGATCAATTTTCCTTCAATAGCCACAACGAAGCTGTTAAGCCCCAGAGGATGATCCTGGCAGCTTGTGGCACTTTGGGCTTTAAAATCAGTCACATATCCCAGTGGCTTTCACAGTAATTTAAAGGACTGTGCCGAGGAAAGTGTTTTGACGACACATGAAACATGTTCCTAGCCACATGTCTCCCGGGTCCTCGGATCTGGGGGCGAGAAAAGCATCTGGGCTTGGGTGGTCCTGACCACGCCCGCCGGCCATCGCACGCTGTGAGTCCCCTGCAAGGTTGCAGACGATTCTGTCCTCATACTACGGGAGACAACTCACCCCTGCTGCATGAGGTGGGTGCCCCTGGCCCACAAACAGCCACAAACAGGCACAGCGATCAATGTGGTCTGTGCCACGTGGTTTTCACAGGAGTCCCCAGGCCAAGCTCCCAGGCGGTGTCAGGACCTGAAGAAGGATCTGAGCCCAGGGATGCCTGGCGCAGGAAGCAGGACCACAGTGTCCCAGAGGACTTGCGGGTTAAGTGATGCGGGCCCTGCCCTCTTCTATGGGCCTCCTTTCACTCAAGTTCAGAAGAAAAGAGTGGCCCAGCAAAGTCCAGGGATTGGCTGGGCTTGGACTGCCCAGGTCCTGTGTCAGCCTCTGAAGCTGGGAATGGTACCACTCAGGGAGGGCTGAGGAGGGTCAGGGAGGGGCATCAGGTGCTCCCTGGAAGGGGGACAAGTGCAGTTGGCAAATCACCAAGAGCCTAGGGTGGCAGCAGGGCTGCCTGGGAGCTGGCTGGGCTCCTGACCACGGAGCCTCCGACCCTGGCCACAGCCCACAGAGTCGGCCTCACCCAAGACAGAGCCATCGAAGGCCTTCCATGGGGATCTTCTGGCCAGAACGTCCAGGAACAAAGGAAACACAACCTGCCATTTGGGCCCTGGGTCTCTAAGGCTGTGAGCCCAGAGCTCTGCCATGGGAGAATGCTGGCGGCCTGCGGAAATGGGCAGGAGCAAGATGGAGAGAGCCAGGCTGGCCCCTTCGCTGGCGTCCAGCCTACTTTGTTCTTTCCTTCATGGGCTTTTCAGGTTTTCAGGTTGAAATAATTTCCAGTGTATGGAGAAAGTACAGGAATAACAAAGATAATTCCTGTTTGCCAATTATACCCTCAACCCAGATTCACCGACCTCTAAACTGTTGCCCTGTGACTTCTCGTCCCTCCGCCCATGCCTACCTCTCTTCCAGCCCTGCCACCTGCCCTCCTTCCGCTTCCCAGCTCATCCGTTTATCATCTATCATCTATCATCCATCACTGTATCTGGCAGAGACTCACAGGCAGGCCAGGGAGTGAAAATGGGAGACGGTCCTGCAGGATTGCGGGGGGCACACTGTGCTTTCTCTGGTTGATCTTAAATTATAAGTAGGAGAAAAACCAGGGAAGGCGGCTGGGCACAGTGGCTCACTCCTGTAATCTCAGCACTTTGGGAGGCTGAGGTGGGCAGATTGCTTGATGTCAGGAGTTTGAGACCAGTTTGGCCAACATGGTGAAATCTTGTCTTTACTAAAAATCCAAAACTTAGCTGGGCATGGTGGCATGCGCCCATAATCCCAGCTACTCGGGAGACTGAGGCAGGTGAATCGCTTGGACCTGGGAGGTGGAGGTTGCAGTGAGCCGAGATCACACCACTGCACTCCAGCCTGAACAACAGAGTGAAACTCCATCTCAAAAAAAAAAAAAATCCGGGAAGGTGTTGGTTATGAGTCAAGTCCTGGCCTCATGGGGCAGCGACTGCTACGGGGTCACTGTTTGGCCTCCTGGACTCGCTCCTGGAGCAGTGGCCACCCCCTCGCCATGGCCAGCTCCAGTGCAGGGCCTATGCTGGTCCTCGTCAGGGTTGGAGTGGCTCCTTCCCACGTCCGTCCGGGAATAGGAAACCAACCCGGTGGGGCTTAGCATGCGTTGGGGCAAGTCAGGCTCCTCATAAACTGTTGTTAATGGATGAGTGACTGATTCAAAAATAATAAATGCGTGCAGAACCCTAAAAAACTGGCCTTTCAGTGAAGGAGTTGTGTCCTCCTTGTGCTCCTTATAGCACTGGCCATGCCGCCGCCCACTGCTGAGTCTGTATTCATGGGGCCTAACTTGGGTATGGTTTCTTCCAAAATAATATTCATGCTCTCGTCTCAGCCACAAAACAGGCCTCTGAGGTTTCTTTTTCTACAGCCGCACTTTTAGTAACAGTTAGGCCAACACCAGAACATACAATTCTCCCTCCTGTTAGGGAAGTGCCAGCTGGCGGCAAGAGGACCCTGTTCCACCAAAAACTTTAGCAAGTCGTCAGTATTTCCCGGGTTTACATCAGCGTCAAGGAGGCCATGTCAACGTCCTGGGAGAAGGGAGCCAGCGGCTGAGAGAGCGTCACAGGCACGAAGGGGCTGGGCTAGTTGGCAGCACTTAGGTGTAATTTTAAACTATTTCCAATCAGAGAAAGTAGTTGCTGCCTCTTTCTCTCTCATTTCTGCACTGATACTAGTGACTCCTTCTGTAGGTAATTCCAACCGTTAAATTAAGCCACATTAAGGTCAGCCCTGAAAGAAGTCAGCACCCGGCTGCAGGGCCATCTCCCGCCATGTGCTCCGGCTCTCACTTGGTTGGGTCACCAGCAAGCCCAGTGGCAGGTCAGTGACAGGTCAGTGATTTCCCAGGTTTCAAATTGGTGCCCACAGATTTCAAAACAGGCAGGAATTATTTTTCTCTGACAGGATCCCTGGACTAAGAAGAAAAGGGGGAAACATTTTTAGTCACAATTTTATATTGAGTGTGATTAGAGAATGATGAGATCATTACAAAGTACTAATGATACTTTTGAATGCAGATGTGTTAACAAAAAGATTTGTTTTACACTAGGAAAGGAAGCAAAACAATATTCAACCTTTTGGAGACAAAATTTACCTCTTGAGATAAAAGACAAACATCTGGATATGACACAGAAGGTCCTTTTGGAAAGTAAAACCTCCTGCGGGGGTGGCAGATGGGCAGCAAGCTATTAACCTTTGGAGTATTCATTTTTGTTCTCTTCTTGTTCTATGAAAGTATCTTTTTCTTTCAGAGAACAGATTACTGGGCCTTATCTAAACTTCTTCCCCTCTCCTGTTCTTGTGTTTAAACAAGCAGCCGGAGTTCAGCTGTTTTTCACCAACATCTGAACAGGCTTCAAAGCCTGAGACCAGATTTCCTTCCAGGAAATAGGAACGGAGGGAAGGGGCTGTAAAATGACTCCATTCCTGCCCAGATAAGGAAACCTCGGGTCTGAGAGGGCTCCTGGCCTCTGGGTCTACGCGGCTCCCAGAAGGTGGTTTTCTCATGCAGAGATTTCCATCTGTACATAAAACAAATTCCTCTTCTCCTTTCTCACAAAGTGAATGGTTCCTTCCACTCTGTCCCTCTTTTAGAGTTATTTGTTCAAGAAATCTAGGGATCAGAGATTTTAGTAATAATTGCACTCTGTTCAACACTACACTCCTCCCCAGACCAACACACCCCAGTTCATGGAGGAAGGACAGAAGGATGAGGAGAGAGCACCGTAGGCTTCGTACTGGCTTCTGCCTGCTCCGTGCAAAAGCCAGTGTGGCCCAGCTGTAAGGCCAGGAGGGTGCTGACCCAGTCGGTGTGGCGGGCGACCTTGCTCTGGCCCTGCCTCTGCACCACCCATGGGATTCTCACCTGGCTATGCCTGTCCGCATTCCAGTTCTTGCCTCCTCATTGATTGCTGAGGGGAATACAAAAATCTAAATGCTCATGAACTGTTTTATAATTATGTTTGAATTAGCTTCTAATTTTGCCAGTTTGAGGGCAATGTGAGAGGTTTCCAATTGCAGAGTTCATTTTACAGACATCAGCGAACACTCAGAAAGTATCCTCAGTGGCTGGGGTTCCACTGGGTCAGCTATGGTTTATTTTGTCATTCATGGATGTGGAGATTTTCCACGTTTTCTTGAGAATTATGTCTTTCAATTCCTCTCCCATAAATAGGCATATTCACTCAGTAATTGGCTAAGCATTCTTGGTTTTAATCATTCTAGGCATAAATTAAGGTACCTTACTCCTAATTTCAGAAACTGGACATAAGAGAAATTCCGTTTCCTTCTTAGGCATCCATAAGGAAAACTGATATCTAATTTAGAATGAGATAACAATGTACGGTGGCAGGCTGCTCACCAGGATCAAATCAGATGTTCATTCACTCTTATTTGGTTTTGTTCTGTGGATTGTTTTAATCGTGTGAACTAAAAAGTCCTTCTTGGACAAATCCCAAGTACATGGATAAGACATCAGGAAGTTATAGGTGTTCCCGACAGCCTCTTCTTCAGAAAAGCAGCCTATCATAATAAATATTATCAATTACTCATCACATCGTGACGCACGTTTGTTCTCATGGGTTGGTAGTTTGGAGTCACCTACCTGCTTTTCTCAGGGGCCACGCTCTGAACACGGTCAGAAGATCACAGGTCTGTGTGTTCGCAGGTCTGGTCCCCACACTGTTTGACCTCTGGGCAGCCAGGTGACCCCTCTGTGAAGGGTGAATGATGTAGCACAGCGATGCTTGTCACATGTGTAAACCAAATATAAAATTCTAAGCCTCCCATCCAGCTAGCAGACCCTCCCCAAAGGCATTCCAGATTATCCTGAAAAACGAGTTCAGGCCATGATGGGAAGCAGGAGCCTCACAAACATCAGCACTAGACCTTAAGACAGATAAGAAACATTTACTACCTGTTCTCTGCAAAGCCTGCTACCCCAAGGCTTCATCTTCAGGATAAAACTTTGATCTCCACAACCACTTATGGTAATCCAGGCGTTCCTTTCTATTGATTCCAGGTTTTTAGATAGTAACTCTTTCAACCATTTGCCAATCAGAAAATCTTTCAATCCACCTGTGACCCAGAAGCCCCCACTTTGAGTTGTCCCCCTTTTCCAGACTGAAGCCATGTACACCTTACAGGTATTGGTTTATGTCTCTGCCTGTAACTCCTGTCTCCCTAAAATGTATAAAACCAAGCTGTGCCCAGACCGCCTGGGCACACGTTCTCCGGACTTCCTGAGGCTGTGTCACGGCTGCATCCTTAATGTTGGCAAAATAAACTAAGTTGATTGAGACCTGTCTCAGGTCCTTTTTCAGTTTACACATTTGACCCGGTGTCAGAACCGCCTGGGGGGTAGGCTGGGGGTTAAGAAAGCTCAGACTCCGGGCCCTGCTCCTGAGTGTCTGACCCAGTGGACCTGGTGGGTGCTGGACGATCTGTAACAGGGCCAGGGCTGCAGCTGTTCCAACCACACACCCAACAGTCACTGTTCTGGGAACATTATGTGACAGGGCAGTAAGAGGGCCAGTAATTCCTTTTAAAGCACCATAAATTTTAATAAGCCAATTAAAAAATGGGATGCCAAAAAACCCACTCAGCCTCTATGCATAATGATTCTATTTTCTGAACCAGAGCTCTGGATGCAAACGTGGCAAGTGTGAGTGTGTCCATGTGGAACCAGAGCTCCCAGGGCCCCCAGCATCTGGGGCTGAAAGCTCGGGGAGCCCCAGCTTTAGGAGGGTGTCATCCCCTACACGTAGGCCCAGTCTTGGAGTGGCTCGTGGCTCACACAGGATGGAGGCTCCCACAATTCTGCCTCTGCTGTGATCTCAGGAAGAGGAGGCTCTGAGCGGCCGCCATGGCCAAGGGCAGCTCCCAGGAAGGCAGGGACTGCAACGTGGCTGCCGCAGGCTCCTCTATTCTGTGGCCACGCAAGATAGCAGGCGTGGCAGGCAGACAAAAGCAAATGATTGTGCTTTTATTTTGGGGGATTTTTTTTTTTTTTTTTTTTTTTTTTTGCATTCCGCCATTTCTCATGGTGTTTAGTGACTGGCTCGATTGCATCTCCGTGAACCTCCAGGGTTGCTGAGTGACTACAGGTGCCAGTTCTTTTAATTGCATTCCGTGATCTTCCTTTCATTTTATGTCGCAAGGCCTCAGTGTATGTTGCAAACACCTTTTCTCTAGAAGGTGCCTCTGAGAGATGTGCCAAGCGCTTAGGCCTCGTTGACGTGTGTCCACCAGGGACCAAGTGCATGGACCCTATCAAGGCCTCGGCCTGGCCTGTCCCTGGCTCCCAGGATGCCTGCCCTTCTGGGGCCCTCCGGGTCAGGCCTGTTTCCGTCTTGGATACTCTCTCTCCTTTTGGGTATTTTCATGTTTAATGCATCTTCGGTGCCTCTGTAATCTTTTACTGACTCCACGTGACACCCCCCACATCACAGTGAGCTGACCTTTGAGAGCATTTCCTGTCTCCTCAGTGTGAGTATAAAATCTGTGGGCATATTTTTATGGAGATTTTATTTTTTATTTTAAATTTAGATTGCTGATTGTGTGAAAACGTGACTGGGCCTTTTCTGTTTTTCATTCAGAAAGGGTTTAGTTTACAACTGAATAAGACTCTCTTTAGGACAGGGACAAAGCATGGACAGAAACAGCACTAAGCGTGAAGATGAGCTGTGGGATTAGGAATGCCCGCGCCTTTCTCACCTGTGCCCCCAGCCCCACCTTCCTTCCTGAAGGAAAAACTCCTGGAATGTTTTTCCTTTACAGGAAGGAGAGCTGTTTGATCTGTAACCGGATCTTGGTTGTTTTATAAACTTATGAGTGGATTTTTATATTCACAAAGGAAATATTTAGAATAATGGCTGTAAGCTGCAAACAGACTTGGTCTTGCACTTTTCCTCAAGCACCGTCATTCTATTAGAACACTGCCTGTTTAGCTACTTAACATCAAAGTGTCTGAGACGTTTGAACTGGAGTGACTCCATTTTGAGTGAGGGCTAGGAAATGAGGCTGGGACCTGCTGAGCTGCATTCCTGGCCTCTAGATGTTTACCGTGAAGGGAACAGATTAATGTTTACTAAACAGACCCAGGCTTGAGAGTGTCCTAATATCCTGATATCTTGAGAACAAAGGCATTCCTAATTTTGCTTTAAAGATAACAATATGAATTCTTGCAAAATATAGTAATTAAGAAAATTAATGTAGCAGAGCACATCTCCCCATGACCTTTTTTATCCTATACTTAAGCAAGCATTGTACCTAGGGTGGACGCGTTCCTCCTCTTGCTGTCGGGAACATCCTACTGCGTCTACGGAGTAGCTGTTCTTTCACCGCTGTACTCTCTTAATAAACTTGCTTTTACTTTGCACTGCGGACTCGTCCTGAATTCTTTCTTGTGTGAGACCCAGGAACCTTCTCTTGCTGTCTGAATGGGGACCCTTTTCGTGTAACAGAAGTGTGCCAAGCCAGGCCTCCACCAGCCTGACTCCCCACCCGCTCCCCTCACGGCCAGAGGCAGGGTGTCCTGGCAGTTAGGGCCATACCAGTGTTTCCCTGTGTTAGCTGAAAAACCAAACTGTGTGAAGTATTTAAAGAGGTTTATTCTCAGCCAGTAGAGGGATCACAGCCCGGGGAACGGTCTCCGGAGGTCCTGAGAACATGTACCCAAGGCAGCCGGTTTACAGTTTGGTTTTATACATTTTAGAGAGGCAGGAATTGTGGGTAAAATCGTAAATCAATACATGGAAGGTGTACCTTGGTTCAGCCTAAAGAGGTGGGACATCTTGAAGGGGGGCGTCCAGGTCAGAGGGGGATCCAAAGATTTCCTGATTGGCAGCTGGTAGAAAGAATAAAGCTTTGTCTAAAGAGGAAGTCAGCAGAAAGAGATGCTTGGGTTAAGATAAGGGGGGTTGTGGAAGCCGAGGTTCTTGTGTAGATGAAGTTTCCAGGTAGTAGCCTTCCGAGAGAAGGATGGTGAAAATCTCCTTTCCTACCTCAAAGGTGTCAGGCTCGATTCAACTCTCCTGGATCTGGGAAAGACCTGGCAGTATGAGTGGAGACTAGCTACAGATGGAAATTTCCCCCACAAAAGGCTCTGCAGGGCCATTTCAAAATATGTCAAAGAAACATATTTTGGAGTGAAATACTTTGATGTCCTTCAGGACCTGCTATGTCATGTGGTTCTGCTCCAGAGTCAGGTTTGGAGTTTGGTTCCCACGGAGGGTCTGTTCTTATTCATTTTGGAGTTAGTGCTGGCCAGTCGTGGCTGCACTCCACAGGGAGGATGTATAATGGGAGTGTCTGACCTCCCTCCTGGAATTCAGTTTTTCGGGTTTCTCTCAGTCAATTGAGAGCTTAGGATTTTGCTTTTGGTTTACAACTGGAAAATCTTCCCTTTCAGATGTCATAGAATCTGCTTTTCACGTTGCTCCCAAGATCCATCGTTGGTGCAAAGTTCCTGTCTATCAGCCATTGGTCCAGCCTTCCCCAGACTGTGATGAGGGTGGAGGTGGCATCAGGCAGGGAGCTCGGTGCCTCTCATCTCAGAGAACAGGGGTGTTTGCAGTTGCTTGTAGCCAGAGACCTGGAAGTGGTGCTGCCTGTGTCAGCCTGAATGGAAGAAGCTGAGGCAAAATTAAGCTGAGTAGAGGGTTTATTTGGGCCACGCTTGAGTCTGCAACCCAGGAGCAGAGATCTGAGGTGCCCTGAATACACGCTTCAGTTAGCAGCAGTTACCAGTAGGTTTTTAAAGAGTAAGAAGAGGCAGTTCCTCAGCTGTTTCCCAAGAGTTCACCTTAAAATAATGTAGGCTTCTGATGGACTGTGCATGCTTCCTTGTGCCCAGATTCCAAGAGTGTGGAGATAATGGGTGAGGCAGCCATTCGGTCAGTGCATAGCTGCCACGGGTGTGGATGCGGCAGGAGGGTCCTGACGGACGTGGGTGTGGCAGGAGGGGGTCTGACTGGCTCCTGGCTTGGGATGAGCCTCTGTCAGCCCAGGGTGGGGGGCTCCTGTGCAGAGCTGGGCTCTGCAATGAAGAAAGAAGGGACTGAAGTGTCTGCCAGCACCCTCTTCCCAGACCGGGCTCCAGGGCCTGTGACTCGTCTGCAGCCAGGCCTGAGACAGGGCACGCCCCCTGCTCCTAGACGGAAGACCGAATATGCAAACAGACAAGGGACCAGCCATTTGTAAAAATAGAATTCAGGCCCACGATGCAGAGCAGCCAGCCTGGGAAGCCTCCCCATCACCTGCAGGAGCCATCGCAGCGCCCGCCTTGCAGGAGGGCCGGCTACTCACTCTAGGAACAGGTCCCAGAGGCCAAGCAGTAGCCCCTGTGACAAGCAGCCCCAATGGCCTCACGTGACCCTTCCTGGACTTTTGTCCCTGCTCATAGCTTCAGGTCAGCAGAGAAAGTTCAGTGCGCCCCCACCAGTCCCACAGTGCACCAGGTCCTGGAGAGCCGCCCCTGCCCCATCGGGCCCACCTGGGCCTCTTATTCCTGCTCCCCGGCCTGCCCGTGAGTCTCCCGCAATCACAGTGATGGTGCTGCCCCCTCACCACAGCCAGCTGTGAATGCAGGGCCTCTGCCTGTCCACATCCATGTGGCTCCTTCCCCGAGACTGGGCACACCCTGGCTTCTGCCGCTGCCCTGGACACCTGTGGTGTTGTGAGGCACTTGGTGTTGATGTGTTAGTTTTCTGTTCTCAAAATGTCACATATTATCTTGGTGTCTATAACCCATAATATCTGGGGATGAATTGACCAACCAGCATATACTTTCCAAGCTGCTATGTGCCGTTTTGAGGAAAAAGCCCCCCAAATCAGCCAACCCTCAAGGAATCTTGCTAGCCCATCGAAAGTTCACGATTCAAGTCACACTTTCAAACAATGCAGCCAACCACGTTACCTATGACAGCAGGCAGTGGCACGGTTCCTTCCTTGAGTTTGCTTTATGTCCTCTCTGATGTACTGTGTTTTGCATATGACATATTTTTCCATGTTTCTGAACCTGCTCATCTTAACAAAAATATATTCATCCAATTCACAGAATGAAAACAGTAATTCTTTTTTTTTTTTTTTTGAGACAGAGTCTTCCTCTGTCACCCAGGCTGGAGTGCAGTGACATGATCTCGCCCCACTGTAACCTCTGCCTCCTGGGTTCAAGTGATTCTCCTGCCTCAGCCTCCCGAGTAGCTGGCATTATAGGTGTGCACCACCACACCCAGCTAATTTTTTGTATTTTTAGTAGAGATGGGGTTTCACCATGTTGGCCAAGCTGATCTAGAACTCCTGACCTCAGGTGATCTGCCCACCTTGGCCTCCCAAAGTGCTGGGATTACAAGTATGAGCCACCACACCTAGCCGGAAACAGTATTTTTTTTTTTTTCTAAAATGAGGCCTCACTTTGTAGCCCAGGCTAGAGTGCCGTGGCCCAGTCATAGCTCACTGCAGTTTTGAACTCCTGAGCTCAAGTGATCCTCCTGCCTCAGCCTCCTGAGTAGCTGAGACAGTAGGTGTGCTCCACCAGGCCCAGTTCATTTTTTAATTTTTTGTAGAGATAGGAGTCTCTCTATGTTGCTCAGGCTGATCTTGAACTCCTGGCTTCAAGCAACTCCTGTCTCTCAGCCTCCCAAAGTGCGGGGATTATAGGCATGCGCCACCACACCCGGCCCTAAAGTCCTTTTCAGTCAGTGAAATTATAGCCTGTCCACCTGCGTCAGCCACATGCAGGGCAGTCACCCATGTTCCTCTGGGAGGGACTCCATGGGCATCAGACCCATGAGAACGCCACCTCCTTGATGAGGTCAAGTCCTGCATTTTCTAAGAGAATCTCATTTTTAATGGGCAAGGATCTTTCGAAAAGACCTTGGGACATGTTGAGGTGAGTTGCTTTGTGAATGGATCCGTTTAAATTTGTTCAGTCAGCCTGTCTGTTTTGAGCACCTGCTTCCTGAAAGGTCCTGAGCTCTGAGCACAAACATGAACAAGGGAGAGGCGTCTACTCCAGGGACTCTCGGTGTAGCCGGACACACAGTTGTGAGGACGATGGCCGCGTGGCCAGAGCTGTAATAAACCACGGAGGGCTTATCTCCATCTGGACACCGTCATGGTGCTAAGAAACTTGGCTGGGGGCATTCCTACAGAAATACACAGATTTGTATTATTGAGAATTTTTAATGTCTTATTAAAATTGTTATTACATGACATTAAATGGAAAAAGGCTGGATGAAAAATTTGAATTTAGAGTATTTTTTGTTTTTTGAGACAGAGTCTCGTTGTATTGCCCAAGCTGGAGTGCGTGGCGCAATCTCAGCTTAGTGCAACCTTCGCCTCCTGGGGTCAAGCAGTTCTCCTACCTCAGCCTCCCGAGTAGCTGGGATTACAGGCGTGCGCCACCATGCTTGGCTAATTTTTGTATTTTTAGTAGAGACGGGATTTCACGATGTTGGCCAGGCTGGTCTCAAACTCCTGACCTTGTGATCCGCCCGCCTCAGCCTCTCAAAGTGCTGGGATTACAGGCATGAGCCACTGTGCCCTGCCTAGAGTATAATTTTTTAAAGGGCAGAAAAAGAGTGAACAGAAAGATTCTTAAACATTGAAACAAATTCTGAATGAAGTTTCTCCAAATGCAATGAATGTCATCTATGTGTGTATTGCTGGTAAAATAATGACCACAAACAAATTAACTTATGGTCTGGAAGTAAAAATCTGAAGCAGGTCTCACTGGGCTGAAACCAAGGAGTTGGCAGTCCTGGCTACTTCTGGAGGCTCCTTCTCCTCTTCTTCTCGGCTTCCGAGGGTCCCATGCTCCTGGGCTCAGGCCCCTCCATCTTTGCAGCCAGTGAGGCTGCCTGAGTCCTCCTCGAGATCTCTGGTCATCTCTTCTGCTCCTGCCTCCACTACTAAGGATACTGGTGGCTACGATGGGCCTACCCAGATAATCTAGGACAATCTCCATATTTTAAGAGCAGCTTTGGTGAAATTAATTGCATCTGCAACCACAATCCCCCTTTCCCCTTTTTCACATAGTCACAGGTTCCGAGGCTTAGGACGGGGACATCTTTGGGGGAGGCCATTATTCTGCCTCCCAAACTATGAGCGGCAGGAATCAATGTTCATTGCTTTATTTTGGCATTTTCTCAGCATTGTTTAATTTTTTTTTAAATGAACACATATTAATTCTTAGACTTTAAGAGTTTGTTGTCTTTTTCCTTTAATTTTTGGGGAAGCTATTTTTATAAATGACTAAATCATATTTTGAGGTCCGGATATCCCTGCCTGGGGATTTTGTGGATAGGGTCCAGGAAGAACATCTCACTCTCACGTAGGTAGCTTAGTGAGGACCCTGCCTGGCCTGAGATCTTGGGATGGCTCGCATCTGCTTGGAGGTGATTTCAGATCTCGACACTGTCCTTCCTGCATTTCCCAATAAGCGCATGGACTGCGGCTATATTGGGGATCCCGTTGTCACCAGCATGAACCTGCCAACCAGCCCAAGCCAGAACCATCCTGAGCATGGGGGCCACTTTCCCAGGGCAGACTCAGACCTCGAACTGGGGGTTTTGCGCCCGTTCCCTTCCCTACACACGCCCTGCCTCTCTGGGGGTCTCTGAGCCCTCCTTGGACACAGGACACGCAGCCCTTCAGGGTCGGGATTCTGGCTGAACTGGCCCAGCAGGGTTCCTCCAGAAAATGTGACACGGAAGTCTAAATTTGAGGCCTGGTGGGGAGAGGATTTGGAAGAGCCTGGCTGGAGAGGTTCTAGGAGAGGCTGCCTGGCAGGACTCTGGGAAGGGGCTGATAGAGGCCGTTCTGTGGCCCCTGAGAAGAAGGAGTGGCGTGGCACTCACCCTACTGCGGCGGGCTGGGCCCAGAATGGTCACTGCGGCGGGCTGGGCTCAGACTGGTCACTGCGGCGGCCTGGGCTCAGACTGGTCACCGCTAGTCAGTGGGAGGACGAGAGGGAGGGGAGGTGGAGGAGGCGATTGCTCCTGAAAGGAGATATTGGAGAGTTCCCAAAATTCCAGCCAGGCTGGACCCAATCCTAGGGGATGACTTGGGGCCACCTGTGAGCTGTGTGGCTGGAGGGAGGGCAGGAAAGGGAGCCTTGGGGTCTCATCACAATTTTAAGTCACCAGGCGTTTGCCAAATGACGCATTGGGCTTTCCCTGTGTTAGGTGAAGTGCCAAGTTGCTCGGCTTGATTATTAGGTTATCATATTGGCTAATTTCTAGTTACTTTGTGCTTTTCATTAGCTACCAAGTAGCCTATTATGAAGTGTATTATTCATTAAAGCAGGAAAAAAAGTACATACAATATATTTTAAAAGATATAGCATATTTTAACACCATTTTAGCAAATATTTTACTACTAAATGGGACAAGCAAATTGGCTAAGGAGAAACCTTTAAAAATGTAATCACTAAAAAAATAAGCAGATGCCAGCGGCCTCAGCCAGGGAGCAGAAAACCTGAAAAGGGCTGGGAATGACCAGGCCATTGTTGACCGATACCTGAGCTTCCTCACATTGTTTCACCCAGAGCTTTTCTGGGCAAACCCTGGAGCGGCGAGGGCGGCGTCCAACTTCCTGACCCTGGGTCTGGCTTTACTCCTCTGGGGTTTGGAATTTGCCACCGAGAAAGCAGGAAGGTCGGCCTGAGACTGCAGTTGCGCGTCCTGCTGCGTCTCTGCTTTAAAAATGTTCTGTGTTGACATCTTTACAAAAATGACAAACTCCGTGGTGGAGGGGCACCTAGCTGTGGGTCACTGCCACCCCCTTCTCCTCCACTTCCTTTCCCTGCAGGAGGTCAGGCCGAGGTCCCTGGCACGGACTGGAACACAGGGAGGGAGGCGGGCTTGCATCCCGCCGGTATTGTCGGTGTGTGGTGTGTGTAGAGTATGTGTGCCTGTGTTATGTGTTGTGTATGGAGCGTGTGTGTGGCATGTGTGTATACGGGGTGTGTTGTGTGTGTCGTGTGTGGCATGCGTGTGCATAGCGTGTATTGTGGGTAGTGCGTGGATGGCCCTGAGCTCAGGCTGCTTTGGCCTGGCCAGCTCTGAGTGGTGGAAGGAGAAACAGCTCTGGGCTGGGGAGGAGAGAGGCCCCTGCCCGTAGCTCTGCGCCCGCCCAGCCTGCAGGGCCTGCCGCCGGTCTCTCTCCTCCTGGCCCTGTGGTTCAAAACCAGTTTTCCAGTCTAGGCATGGCCGTGCCTCTCAGGGTGACTCTGCAAGTCCCTAGAGATCAATAACCATAGAAAAGGCTTGGTAAGCACCTCCTATAGCCAGACACTATTGTAAGATCTTCACAGCCACCCCATGGGCTAAGCACTCCTATTACTCCTGTTTGATAGATGAGGAAACCGAGGCACGGAGACAGCATGTGATTTACCCAAGCCTCGGAGCTGGCGGCTGGAGCCTGGATCTGCGGTCAGGCTGGCAGCCGTCCATGGTCTTCACCTGCACTGCTTTGTTGTGATTCTAGGTCACGGACTTTAACAATGCACGTGTTTATGAGGTTCAGTTTCCACATTTTAAAGGCATATAAATATAATTATTTAAGTACAGAAGAGCATTTCACAAAGCTTGTCTCCTTGACCAAACTCCAGTTGGACTTCTGAGTTTGGTCCAACTATGCCTATCCGTGGATGTCAATCAAGAAAAATGATGAGACAAGTCTCAATCATTTTAGGAGATTTATTTGCCAAAGTTTGACTTGCGCCCGGGAGACAGGTCTAGGCCTTTTTCTGAAGGTGATTTTGAGGGCTCCGAATTTAAAGAAGAAAGAACAGGATATTGAGAAGTACACAATTTTCATGTGAGGGGGATGGGGAAAAATATGCTCAGTGAATCTGCATTTTTACATAAGATAATATAGACAAATGAGGCAGGGGAACAATCAGATGTGTATTTGTGCCAGGTGGGCAGAGGGGTGAGTGCACCTGTAACGATAAGCTGTCCATTGACATTGCCATGGTGAACTTTAACAAAAATGCTTTAGGGTATTTTTACCCTAAATAACAAGATATTTAGGGTAAATATCTTGGAGCTCCCTGGGGATTTCCTTGTGGGAAATGTGTAGCTTTTCACCTTGTAGCCATCCTATTTAGGAACCAAAAAGGGGAGGCAGGTTTGCATGACCCAGTTCCTAGCTGGACTTTTCCCTTTGGCTTAATGAGTTTGGGGTCCCAAGATTTATTTTCCTTACACATGGACACGTCCTCAAGAGACTGATTTAAGCAAGAATCTGAGGTTGGTTTAGTAGGAACCCCTGACCCTCGACACCTGATAGGGTTTCTCACCCCACCCCACCCCTAGGTGATGTCTGATGGCCCCACCTGTCTTCAGCAAGAATCCTGGTGGGTCAGTTCAGCCAGAATCCCGCTCTAATGCCTAACCCTAACCCTAACCCCGACCCTGCTCCTTGGCTATAGATTCCCACTTTTCCTTGTCGAATTTGGGGCTGAGCCCAGTCTCTCTCCCCTACTGCAAAATTCCATTTCAGTGGTCCCCACACCTATGACGATGTCCTGAATGGGGTCTTCCTCACCGTGCTCTGACAGGTGCCAGGGAATTGTTCTGCCCTTGACAGCTGTGGGGCCACAGCTTGGATGAGATCAGGTTCACCACTGGGCCCGGACCTCTCGCCCAGGCCCCTGAGCGCTCACCTTTGAAGCGTTTGTGTTTGCTCCTGATTCAGTGGATCCACTGGAGAGTCAGGCTCCAGACAAACGTCCTCTGGAGGTCGGGGCAGGTTTCCATTCCTCAGGTTCTGAGCATGCTCCAGGAGTGGGGCTAGGGCCAGGTTTCCTTTGAATGGTGCCTCCTGGGCTAGAAGCTCTTCTCCCAGCCCTGCACATTGAGTGAGGCTTCTTCAGCCTCTTGGGCTGGAAGCTTCTTTCTCCCAGCTCTCTGTGAGACCCCCTGTTCCGTCTGTTGGATCCAGGGCTGCTTCCCTGGGCTGAACCCCCTTCTTGAGCCCTGTGGAGTGCGTGCTCCACCTCCCACCCCTCCCTGCTGGCCGGAGTTTGCTGAGGGTAATGTGGAGCTTCCCCAGCCTCTTTGGAACCTGAAGCTCTCCCAGGTTCTGGCCGCTCCTTCTTTTTCCCTGCTTCCCCTCCCTGTAGCCCTTGGCAGGCACCCTTCATGCCCCACCACCCTCTGTCCACCTGCCAGACCTTCCCTTCCCACCCCAGCCCCTCAGTCTCTGGAACTTAGGGCCCTGCCCCCAGACGGACTGTTGAGGGACTCAAAGAATCCCTTCAAGGAATTCTATTGAAATTGACTTAGAGATAAATGAGCACTTATACTAATTAAATATTTCCCAACTCTCAGAATAGGAACTACTCCAAATGCCTTTTTGAGCTCGCATGGCTTGAGCAAATCTTTGGTAAATAAGATTAGTTTACTATTGTCAGTTTAATAAAAACACTGTCGTCTGAGTTTTTAGCATTAAGTATGATACTTGGGTTTACTAGCCAAATAAGGTTAAAGGAGTTAACAGGGAAACAACTTGAGATGATGACTAGTCTTGTGTAGTATTATGTCTGCCTAAAAGAGTTCCTTGTTAGTAACTTGAAATCTTGAAGTTATACTAGGTTAAATTAAATGATAGATATTCATTAAATATCTGCAGTCCAGGGAGTTATATTCCTTTGGGTGTATACCCAGAAATGGAATTGCTGGGTCAAATGGTATTTCTGGTTCTAGACCACACTGTCTCCCACAATGGTTGAATTAATTTACATTCCCACCAACGGTGTATAAGTGTTCCTATTCTCCACAGCCTCGCCCACATCTGTTGTTTCTAGACTTTTTAATAATCACCATTCTGACTGGCGTGAGATGGTATCTCATTTGATTTTGATTTGCATTTCTCTAATGATCAGTGATGATGAGCTTTTTTTCATATGTTTGTTGGTCGCATAAATGTCTTCTTTTGCAAAGTGTCTGTTCATGTCTTTTGCCCACTTTTTGATGGGGTTGTTTGTTTTTTTCCTGTAAATTTGTTTAAGTTCCTTGTAAACTCTGGATATTAGACCTTTGTCAGATAGGTAGACTGCAAAAATGTTCTCCCATTCTGTAGGTTGCTTCTTTGCTCTGATGACAGTTTCTTTTGCTGTGCAGAAGCTGTTTAGTTTAATGAGATCCCATTTATCAATTTTAGCTTTTGTTGCAGTTGCTTTTGGTGATTTCATCATAAAATTTTTGCCCATGCCTATGTCCTGAATAGTATTGCCTAAATTTTCTTTCAGAGTTTTTATGGTTTTGGGTTTTACATTTAAATTTTTAATCCATCTTGAGTTAATTTTTGTATAAGATGTGAGGAAGGGGTCCAGTTTCAGTTTTCTGCATATGGTTAGCCAGTTTTCCCAGCACCGTTTATTAAATAGGGAATCCTTTCCCCATTGCTTGTTTTTGTCAGGTTTGTTGAAGATCAGATGGTTGTAGATGTGTGGTCTTATTTCTGAGGTCTCTATTCTGTTCCATTGGTCTATATGTCTGTTTTGGTACCAGTACCATGCTGCTTTGGTCACTGTAGCCTTGTAGCATAGTTTGAAGTCAGGTAACATGATGCCTCTGGCATTGTTCTTTTTTTTTTTTTTTCTTTAATTTTCTTATTTTACTTTGAGTTCTGGGATATATGTGCTGAATGTGCATGTTTGTTACATAGGTATACATGTGCCATGGTGGTTTGCTGCACCTATCAACCCGTCATCTAGGTTTTAAGCTTTGCATGCATTTGGTGTTTGTCCTAATGCTCTCCCTCCCCTTTCCCCCATCACCCCAACAGGCCCCAGTATATGATGTTCCCTTTCCTGTGTCCATGTGTTCTCATTGTTCACCTCCCACTTATGAGTGAGAACATGCGGTGTTTGGTTTTCTGTTCCTGTGTTGCCCACCAGTGATAGACTGGATAAAGAAAATGTGGCACATATACACTATGGAATACTATGCACCCATAAAAAAGAATGAGTTAATGTCCTCTGCAGGGACATGGATGAAGCTGGAAACCATCATCTGGCTTTGTTCTTTTTGCGTAGGATTTACTTGTATATATGGGCCCTTTTTTGGTTCCAAATGAATTTTAAAGTAGTTTTTTTCTAATTCTGTGAAGAATGTCAGTGTTACTTTGATGGGAATAGCATTGAATCTATAAATTACTGTGGGCAGTATGGTCACTTTCATGATATTGATTCTTCCTCTCCATGAGGATGGAATGTTTTTTCATTTTTTAATGTCCTCTCTTATTTCTTTGAGCAGTGGTTTGTAGTTCTCATTGAAGAGGTCCTTCACATCCCTTGTTAGCTGTATTCCTAGGTATTTTATTCTCTTTGTAGCAACTGTGAATGTGAGTTCATTCATGATTTGGCTCTTTATTGTTGTTGTAAAGGAATGCTTGTGACTTTTGCACACTGATTTTGTATGCTGAGACTTTGCTGAAGTTGCTTATCACCTTAAGGAGCTTTTGGGCTGAGATAATGAGGTTTCTTAAAAATAGGCTCGTGTCATCTGCAAACGGACAATCTGACTTCCTCTCTTCCTATTTGAATACCCTTTATTTCTTTCTCTCATCTGATTGCCCAGGCCACAACTTCCAATACTATGTTGAATAGGAGTGGTAAGAGAGGGCATCCATCTTGTGCCAGTTTTCAAAGGGAATAGTTCCGGCTTTTGCCCAATGAGTATGATATTGGCTGTGGGTTTGTCATAAATAGCTCTTATTATTTTGAGATATGTTCCATCAATACCTAGTTCATTGGGAGTTTTTAACATGAAAGGATGTTGAGTTTTATCAAAGGCCTTTTTTTATATCTGTTGAGATCATCATGTGGTTTTTATCATTGGTCCTGTTTATGCAATGGATTACATTTATTGATTTGCCTATGTTGAACCAGTCTTGCATCCCAGGGATGAAGCTAACTTGATCTTGGTGGATAAGCTTTTTGATGTACTGCTGGATTCGGTTTGCCAATATTTTACTGAGGATTTTCACATCAATGTTATCAGGGATATTGGCCTGAAGTTTTCTTTTTTCATTGTGTCTCTGCCAGGTTTTGGTGTTAGGATGATGCTGGCCTCATAAAATGTGTTAGGGAGGAGTCCCTCCTTTCCAATTGTTTGGAATAGTTTCAGAAGGAATGGTACCAGCTCCTCTTTGTACCTCTGGTAGAATTTGGCTGTGAGTCCATCTGGTCCTGGGCTTTTTTTGGTTGCTAGGCTATTTATTACTGCCTCAATTTCAGAACTTGTTACTGGTCTATTGAAAGATTTGATTTCTTCCTAGTTTAGGCTTAGGAGGGTGTATGTGTCCAGGAATTTATCCAATTTCTTCTAGATTTTCTAGTTTATTTCTGTAGAGGTGTTTATAGTATTCTCTGATGGTAGTTTGTATTTCTGTGGGGTCAGTGGTGATATCCCCTTTATCATTTTTTTATTGTATCTATTTGAGTCTTCTCTCTTTTCTTTTTTATTAGTCTAGCTAGCGGTCTGTTTTATTAATTTTTTCAAAAAACCAGCTTCTGGATACCTTGAGTTATTGAAGGGTTTTTCATGTTTTTTTATCTCCTTCAGTTATACTCTAATGTTAGTTATTTTTTGTCTTCCGCTAGCTTTTGGATTGGTTTGCTTTTGCTTCTTTAGTTCTTTAGGTGTGATGTTAGGGTGTCAATTTGAGATCTTTCAAGCTTTCCGATGCAGGCATTTAGTGCTATAAATTTCCCTCTTAACACTGCTTTAGCCAAGCTTTCTGTTAACCTTTGTTATATCTTGGATTACTTAAGAAAATGGAGATTTCTTGCCTTTATAATAGCTAAGGTTTTTAAAAAATATTTTCGACAATTTTGCCTTCCCAGATCAAATCCTAAATGAAATCTTGTTTTTGAACGGACCTGGAACTTCCCATAAGGTCCCAGATAATTCCAAAGGACTTCTTTCACTTTTGCTATGGTTTGAATGTGTCTCCCAAAGTTCCTGTGTTGGAAACTTAATCCTCAATGCAACAATGTTGAGAGGTGGGGCCTTTGGTAGGTGATTAGGTCATGAGTGCTCTGCATGAATGGGTTCGTTATTACAGGAGTGGACTCTTATAAAAGGATGAGTTCAACCCCTTTTCCTCCCCCCATATCCCCCCACCTTCCACCATGGGATGATGCAGCCAAGAGACCACTGCGAGATGCAGGCCCTCAACCTTGGACTTCCCACCCTCCAGAAGTGTAAGAACTAAACCTCCCAGGTACTCTGTTATAGCAGCACAGCACTGACTAAGACAACCTTGTAGGAGAATGTCAAAACCTAATTTGGTTTATTTGATATGTTGAATTGCATGAAGAGTCATTGTTAAATAAGAAGGGTGTGTAACCTTCTTTAGGTTGTATTTATATGGGTAAATCGTCTTAATGTAACTCTTTCAGAAGTTGTGCAGAGCTATGGACAACTGTCAGTGCCTGCACTGGCCATGCTTTATCCAGTTCCATATTATCGGTCACAATTTCAATTGTTTTTATTAAATGTTGTATGTTATAAAAAAAGTCTTTTGTCAAATGCATTCTCATCAGATATCTAAGCATACCCATTTAAAATATTTTGTTATTCACAGATGGTTTTGTGTTACTCTGATTCTTCCCTGAAAGCATTTGCAATCAGGTGTAGGCCAGAATGATTTGTGATGGCATCGTTTGAAAACTTTGAGACCTGTATTAGTCAGGATTCTCTAGAGAGACAGAACCAATAGGAGAGAGATGGATAAGAGGGGATTTTTTTAGGGAAATTGCTCGTATAATTATGGAAGCTGAGAAGTCCCACAACAGGCTGTCCGTAAGCTGGAGACTGAGGGAAGCCAGTGGTATGGCTCAGCTCAAGTCTGAAGGTTCCAGAACTGGAGAAGCTGGTGGTGTAACTCTCAGTCTGAGGCCAAAGGCCAGAGAACCTGAAGTTTTGATGTCTCAGGACAGGAGAAGAAAGATGTCCCAGTTCCAGAAAAGAGACAGGGAAAGAATTTGCCTTACCTTTGCCTTTTTGCTCTATCTGGATCCTCAATGGCTTGGGTGATGACATCCACATTGGTGAGAGGAGGTCTCCCTTACTCAGTCCACTGATTCAAATGCCAGTCCCTTCCAGAAAAACCTCACCGACATACCCAGAAATAACACTTTACCAGCTATCTGGATATCCCTTAATCCAGTCAAGTTGACACCTAAAATTGACCATTATAAGACCATGCTGGGCTGAGTCAGAATTTTCAG
Organism: Homo sapiens; assembly: GCF_000001405.40. Lineage (NCBI taxonomy): Eukaryota > Metazoa > Chordata > Mammalia > Primates > Hominidae > Homo > Homo sapiens. The sequence continues at coordinate 557,232 of NC_000008.11, read as the reverse complement.
AGCTCTTGTGGAGAAGGTGATAGTTCATGAAACTGCTATCTCAAGGTCACACAGAACAAGATTTAATCACATGGGACCGAATGAATAGATAAAAGATGATTATAGTTATTGTCTGGAACACTGATGATCCTTTAATGTTCTCTTTTCTGGACATAAGAAACCCCTTTCTCTTTTCTCTTAAGTTATTGTACTTTTATAAACAGAAATGAAACATTTATTCTTTCTCCCCTCCTGATTGCTCCAGGATTGGAAAACTCTTATTGAGTATTTTTATTTTCATGGCAACACAGTTATTTGCATGCATTCAATAAGACTATGTTTTACTTGTAACAGGATACATTGGATAGATTACCAAGGCTTTTACTGGAATGTCACATGTGAGAATCTGCGGTGACCAGACAGCTTTAGGGAAGTAAGGTTAACTCCAAAGAGCCAATGCTTACAGAGTCCACTTGGAAAAACCATCTTGGTACCTCAATTACAGGACTCCCCGCCTTGCAGGTGACTAAGGAAAGTCACTTCCTGGCAGATCCAGGAAACTTAAGATATCTTAGGGATGTCTGGTAGAGAAGAATTCGCCCAAATCTATAGATATTGCAGGCAAAGTCTGGGTCAACTCCCGAATTGAAGAATCTTCCTTGAAGATGTTTCCTTGAAGAAGCTTCAAGGAATCCCCCACAACAGATCACATCTGAGTAACCCATGCGCCCACTGCTGAATAAGCCACTCAGAAAGTTCACTGGAACACCCACTGCAATCACCAAAAACATTAAACTGCACACCAGGAAACTGTCAGATCACCCCTGCGGTCCTCACACCTCCACTGAATGATGCTTTGAGCTTAATTCTAGAAATCTTGACTAGCTGCCGTGTGGATTCAGAAGCTGGGTTTCTAACCATTAGTTATGGCTTTTCTTTTCTTTTTTTTTTTTTTTTTGGAGTGGGGGACAGAGTCTCACGTTGTTGCCCAGGCTGGAGTGCAATGGTGCGGTCTCGGCTCACTGCAACCTCCACCTCCCAGGTTCAAGTGATTCTCCTGCCTCAGCCTCCCGAGTAGCTGGTATTACAGGTGCCCACTACCACGCCCAGCTAATTTTTGTATTTTTAGTAGAGACAGGGTTTCACTATTTTGGTCAGGTTGGTCTTGAACTCCTCACCTCAGGTGATCCACCTGCCTTGGCCTCCCAAAGTGCTGGGATTACAGGCATGAGCCACTGTGCCCTGCTGGCTTTTCTTTTATTTTCACAGAAACATCCTTCATTAAATGCCTGACTGCTCACACCATCCTGCAAATGCCCTCTACCACAAAGTCTCACCAGATGAATCAGCTGGTCCTTAATAAACAAGAGGGAACACAACAAGTAATAGATTTACATTGTTCATAGGAAAGAAGGACATTTGACTGATGGCAACTCTCTCCTGGACCAAACTTTAGTCAGCCTCCTGAGCCCTCCCCTCCACCAGGCCTGACCCGGGGCTTCTGTCTCCACCTGCAGGGCACATCTTTAGCAAGAACTCTGCTAGGTTGGTTTATCCAGATCCCCCCACTCTCAATATCTGATCACGCTTAATATCAGTCAAATTCCTTATCCCCACCATCCCCCAGGAATCACCCTGGCCTGTCTTCAGAAGATTCCTAGTCACTCAGCTTAGCCAGAATCCCCCTTAACTCTTATGTTTCCTCTCAGCATTTTTCATCCACATACCCCCACACTGCTCCTTTGCTATAAACTCCCACTTTTCCTTGCTGTATTTGGAACTGAGTCCATCCTTTCTTTGCCACTGCCAAACTTCCGTTGCAGTGGTCCCTGCAACTGTTACAGTGACCCCTGAATAAAGTCTTCCTCTCTGTCTTAACACATGCCATGGATGACTTTCTAACACCTTTAACCACAATTATAATTTTTAAAAAGGAAATATTACCCTTGTTAATTAAGATATTGGGAATGACTCATACAAGACACCAGATACAAATGTGCTTTGAAAATAAAGCCTGCTGAGCAAGTGCAAGTGTATTTATTGTTCTTATAATTGTATAATTTCCTTGCAGTGAAGTGGGAATTAATGAAAAGACAATGGCCTCTGGTATGGTACTGAGAGCATGGTGGTCACCACTGGCCTCAGCAAGGTGAGGCACCTTGGATGGGGGCACTCTTCTGGGAGGGGGCCCTAGGGGCTGGGGTGGGGCACTCCTGCTTTTCCTTGCCTTCATACTTCATTTAGGAATGTGATTGGGGAAGGCTGTCCTGATGAGGAATTAGGGCTGTGTCCAGATCCCCTGAGCAGCCTCAACACCCCACACAGAGCTTGTCTGCCAATGAACTAGTGGGTTAATGGTTTTAGTGCTTCACATATTGCATGCGTCCATTCTGTGCTAGTGTGGCTCTGCAGGTGGTAGGGGTGTCATTCTCAGGGTGTGAGTGAAGAGCTGAGGCTCAGGGTTGGGCAGGCACTTAACCTCCCCAGCCTCACAGTGACTTGCATGACATCTCATTGCCAATATTGTGCCCCATCCCTGTCTCATCTGTTCATCTCTGTGACCCCATGAAGAAATATCATCCCTATCTTATAGGATGATCATAGCTACAATGCTAAAATGCCTTGCTCAAGGTCACAACAGTTAGGAAGCTATAGAGCAAAATTATTTATATTTGTCAAATAACTTTTTAATTTGAAAAATATAGAAAAGTAGCAAGACAAAAAACAAATTTTGTATATATATGTGATTGTTAGCATTATTATGGTGTACATTATATTTAATGGCAGAAGTATGACCTTTTATATATGCACATTATTATGTATATATTTGGATATGGTCACAAAGGTTATGGCAGGGCTTTGAACATGAAAAATAAGAGAAATGAATTAGAAAATATCAATCATATTTAATTTAAATTTGTTGTAAATTCCCTATCTGTTGCAATGTTTAAATGTTTTACATTTTATAGAGTACTAAATTTCTTAAAAATTCAAAACAGCAGATAAGTTTTAAACACTTTGCCTGCATAACACATACTAGATTTATAAGGCTTATACAAAATGTGTGTGTGTGTTATAATTCATGCATCTATGACTATATAAACCAAAGTGGAATTTTCTCACTCTGTTCCCCCAAGCTTACCCCCCACAGGTAACCAGCATTACAGTTTGGTGGAAATCCTTTCAGATTGTGCTTTCTTAGCAGAGCTAAAATTGCAGTCCAGCTCAATTTGCTCTGGTCTTTCCATTAAATATGATAACGTATATAACATACTAACAAATGCCTGGCATAGAGAAAGCAGTGAATATTAGATGTAACTTTTATTTTTATTTTGTTAATACTGTTCAATGAAGAGAATTGATCAATTAGTGAATATTTATTTGGCAAATACTTTGTTCTTACACTACAGCAGACATGGTATAGTCATAGAAGAATGTATATGAGAAGGTTTACAGAAGGTAGGCAAGGGTATAGAATGTTATATTAACATACTCTTACAGTTTCAGGTAGTGCAGAGAGAAATTTGGGTGGATACAAATATAAATTTTAATGTATCAGGATATGAAGGTTGATTTTTAAGGCCATATTGATCTTAAAGTTCACAGATTACCTGAACTGTCCAGATATTATTGATTGTTTCCTTGATATTAATAAAAACCACTTTCAGGGGAGTGGAAGTTTCTATGTGAGTCTCACTTTAACTTGGTGAATATAACCACTAGGTGTAGGGAGCACAGTCTCTGTTGGACACTCATGCCCTCCATGGTCCATAGGTGTCTGAGGAATGAGCACCATGGCAAAACATAACCCACCTCATTGATTTCAAAGTCTGAGAGGAGGGGACTGGCCCACCTAGCCCATTGGGGCTACCACCACGTGGGAACCAGAGGGTTGTCCCTCCACTACTACTGCCATTGCCCATGTCATGCTTGCTACCAGGGGCCCAAGGACCTACCCACTCCCCTGGCCCACCACTGTCACCACTGGCACCTAAGCAAGCCACCTGGAGGACGAAGAATTGGCTCACGTAGACCGGCTAACGTCAGCGCCAGCAGAAGCTGCCCTGGCAAGGACAGGCATGCCTGACCTGCTGCTGCCACCACTGGGGCCTGAGGACTGGCTGACCTGGTGTCCCTGTCTCCAGCAAAACTCTACCACAGCCTCCACTAACAATTGCACCCTAAGCCACTGAGGAAATCACAGATACCACTGACACTATTTATAGCCAAAGAAATCATATGGAGACTAGACCACTGCATGCATCCAGAATCAAAGCCAAAGTGCCCTACCCAACCAAAAGCATAGATACATCTTCAGAAAAAATCCTATCCTACAAAAGTCAATTTAAAAAATTGGAAAAAGCAACTGTTATACCAGATACACAGATACAAACATGAGGATGCAAGAAACATAAAAAAGCAAGGAAATATGACACCTCTAAAGGAATATAATAATTTTCCAGCAATGAAAAAAAAGCTGTAAAATCCTGGAAAAAAATTCAAAATAGTGATATTAAAGAAGTTCAGCAAGATACAAGAGAACACAGATAAACAAATAAATCAGAAAAACAGTTTAGAATATAAATGAGAAATTTACCAGAGATAGATATCATAAAAAAGAACCAAGTATTAGTTTGGTGCAAAAGTAATTGCAGTTTTGGACCATGCATTTTAAATCATTAAAACTAGGCTCAAACACATCTTTATTAATCAAAACAGGAACCATTACAATCAACACATTTTAGCCAATGGGAAATAAGGTTGTTTATTCCGGTAGTGTAAAAATCTGTGCTTTGGGATTTGATGAACTCTTGGAAAGCATTTTCTGCATCCTGCGGGTTGTGGAGGCATTTTCCCAGAAAAAGTTGTCAAGGTGCTTGAAGAAGTGGTAGTCGATTGGCAAGAGGTCAGGTGAATATGGCAGATGAGGAAAAACTTCATAGCCCAATTCGTTCAACTTTTGAAGCAGTTGTGCAATGTGCAGTCAGGCGTTGTTGTGGAGAAGAATTGAGCCCTTCTGCTGACCAATGCTAGGTGAAGGCATTGCAGTTTTCAGTGCATCTCATTGATTTGCTGAGCACAATTCTCAGGTGTAATGGTTTTGCTAGGATTCAGATAGCTGTAGTGGATTAGACCAGCAGCAGACCACCAAACAGTGACCATGACCTTTATTTTTGGTGCAAGTTTAGCTTTGGGAAGTGCTTTGAAGCTTCTTCTCAGCCCAACCACTAAGCTAGTCATCGCTGGTTGTCATATAAAATCCACTTTTCATTGCACGTCACAATCCAAACGAGAAATGGTTCATTGTTGTTGCATAGAATAAGAGAAGATGACAGTTCAAGATAACGATTTTTTTAAATTTTCACTCAGCTCATGAGCCCTCACTTATTGAGCTTTTTCACCCTTCCAATTTGCTTCAAATGCTGAATGACCACAGAATGGTCGATGTTGAGTTCTTTGGCAACTTCTCGTGTACTTGTAAGTGGATAAGCTTTAATGATTGCTCCCAACTGGTGGTTGTCAACTTCTGATGGCCAGCCACTGTGCTCCTCATCTTCAAGGCTCTTGTCTCCTTTGCAAAACTTCTTGAACCACCATTGCACTGTACATTCATCAGCAGTTCCTTGGCCAAATGTGTTATTGATGTTGTGAGTTGTCTCCACTGCTTTATGGCGCATTTTGAAATCAAATAAGAAAATCACTCAAATTTGCTTTTTGTCTAACATCATTTCCATAGTCTAAATAAATATAAAACAAACAGCAAGTAGTGTCATTAGCAAAAAACATAAAGCAGTGTACGTTAAAATGATGTATAACATAACCACATTTATTTAAGACTGTATTCCAATATCAAATGGCAAATTCCAACCATGCCAAAACCACAATTACTTTTGTACCAACCTAATAGAAATTCTAAAACTGAAGAACTTACTGAATGAAAAAAATATGTATTAAATATGTATTTGAAAGCTTCCCCAATAGATCAAGCAGAAGAAAAAAATTTCAGAATGTGAAGACAGATCCTTTGAAATAACCCAGTCAGACAAATATTAAAACAAAAGAATAAAAAGGAATGAATAAAGACTACATGACAAATGGCACTCCACAAAGTGACCAAATATTCAAATTTTCAGTGTCCATGAGGGTAAAAAGCAAACAAAAGGGATACAAAACTTTTAAACAAAATAACAGCTAAAAATTTCCCAACTCTAACAAGAGGTTTAGATATTCAGACACAGGAAGCTCAGAGATCCCCAAATGGATACAATTCAGAAAGGTCTCCATAGCACCTTATAGTCAGACTGTCAAAGGTCAAAGGCAAAAACAGAATTCTAAAAACAGAAAGAGAAAAGCATCTTGTCACTTATAAGGGAAACTCCATCAGACTAACAGCATATTTCTCAGCAGAAACCTTACAGGTCAGGAGATAATTGGACAATATAGTCACTGTGCTGAAAGAAAAAATGTTAGTCAAGGATACTGTACTCAGCAGAGTTATAGTTCATAGATGAAGGAGAAATAAAGTCTTTCCCAGATAAACAAAAGCAGAAGGAAGTAATCACCACTAGACTGGCCCTAAAAGAAATACTTAAGGGAGGCTGTATTAGTCTGTTTTCATGCTGCTGATAAAGGCATACCCGAGACTGGGCAACTTACAAAAGAAAGAGGCTTAATGGACTTACAGTTCCACGTGGCTGGGGAAGCCTCAGAATCATAGTGGAAGGCAAGGAGGAGAAAGTCATGTCTTACATGGATGGCAGCAGGCAGAGAAAGAGAGTTTGTGCAGGAAAACTCCTGTATTTAAACCCATCGGATCTCATGAGACTTACCACTATCATGAGAACAGCACGAGAAAGACTCATCCCCATGATTCAATGATCTCCCACCAGCTCCCTCCCACAACATGTTGGAATTATGGGAGCTACGAGATGAGATTTGGGTGGGGACACAGAGCCAAACCATATCAGAGGCCTACATCTCAAAGTAAAAGGACAATACCTGCCATCATGGAAACACATGGACGTATAAAACCCACTGGTAGAACCAATATTCAAATAAGGAAGAGAAAGGAATCAAATGTTACCACTACAGGAAACCACAAAACCACAGTGACAAACAATAAGACAAAAAGAAAAGAACAAAGGATATACAAAACAACCAGAAATCAATTAATAAAATGACAAAGATAAGGCTTCATATATCAATAATTGCCTTCAATGTAATGGATTAAACTTTTCACATAAAATATACACGTAAGTTGTGTGGATTTAAAAATGACCTTTAAGTGCACAATAGACAACTGTTGAAAGAAACGAACAAAAATATGACCTAATTATGTACTGTGTACAAGAAAGTCACCTCACTTGTAAAGTGAGACACATATAGTCTGAAAGCAAAGGGATGGAAAAAGATACTCCATGCAAATGGAAACCAAAGGTAAGCAGGAGTAGTTATACTTATATCAGATAAAACAGACTAAGTGAAACATAGTAAAAAAAAGACAAAGAAGGTCATTATATAATGATAAAGGGATTCATTCAGCAAGAGGATATAACAATTCTAAACATATATGCACCAAACACCATAGCACCTAGATAAATAAAGCAAATATTAGATCTCCAGGGGGAGCAAGACTCCAATACGATAATAGGTGAAAACTGCAACACCCCACTCTCAGCATTAGGCAAATCATCTACACAGAAAATCAGCAAAGAAGCATGGGGGTTTAAACTGTACTTTAGACCAAATAGACCAAACTGACATTTAGAGAACATTTCACCCAACGACTACAGAATATACATTCTTCTCATCAGCACATGGAACATTCTCCAGAATAGACCGTATGTCAGGATACAAAACAAGTCTCAACAAATTTTTAAAAATCAAAATCATACCAAATATCTTCTCAGACCACAGTGAAGTAAAACTATAAATCAATAACAAGAAGAACTTTGAAAACTGTACAAATACATAGAAATTAAGCCACGTGCATCTGAATGACCACTGAGTCAAGGACGAAATTAAGAAGAAAATAAAAAAATGTTTTGAAATAAATGAAAATCAAAACACAACATATCAAAGCCTATGGGATAACAAAAAACCAGTGCTAAGAAGGAAGTTTACAGCTATAAATGCTTACATCAAAAAAGTAGAAAGGCTAGGCATGGTGGCTTATTCCTGTAATCCCAGCACTTTGGGAGGCTGAGGTGGGAGGATTGCTGAGGACAGGAATAGACATTTCTCAAAAGAAGACATACTTACAAATGGCCAACAAGTATATGAAAAAATGCTCAACGTCACTAATTATCTGGGAAATGCAAATCAAAACCACAATGAAATATCATCTTACTCCAGTTATAATGGCTATTACTAAAAAGACAAGAAATAGGCCAGGTGTGGTGGCTCATGCCTGTAATCCTAGCACTTTGGGAGGCCGAGGTGGCCAGATCACGAGGTCAGGAGATAGAGACCATCCTGGCTAACGCGGTGAAACCCCGTCTCTACTAAAAATACAAAAAATTAGCCAGGCATGGTGGCACGCGCCAGTAGTCCCAGCTACTCGGGAGGCTGAGGCAGGAGAATCGCTTGAACCTGGGAGGCGGAGGTTGCAGTGAGCCGAGATCGTGCCACTGTACTCCAGCCTGGGTGACAGAGAGAGACTCCGTCTAAAAAAAAAAAGAAAAGAAAAAAATAAAGAGACAAGAAATAACAGATGCTGGCATGGATGTGGAGAAAAGGGAGCTTATACACTGTTGGTGAGAATATAAATTAGTACAGCCATAGAGATTTCTCAAAAAAAAAAAAAAAAACCCACTAAAAATAAGCTACCATATGATCCAGCAATCCCACTATTGGATATTTATCCAAAGGAAAGAAAATTGTTATATCAAAGGGATATTTGCATACCCATGTTTATTGAAGCATTAATCACAATAGTAAAGATATGGAGTCAACCTAAGTGTCCATCAACAGATGAATGGATGAAGAAAATGTGGTGCATATACAGAATGGAATAGTATTTGGTCATAAAAAGGAATCATATCCTGTCATTTGCAGCAACATGGATGGAACTGGAGATCATTATGTTAAGTGAAATAAGCCAGACATAGACAAATATCACATGTTCTCACTCATATGTGAGAGCTAAAAAAAAATCCTGATATCCTGGAGGTAGAGAATAGAATGGTAGTTACCAGATGCTGGGAAGGTGTGTATGTTGGGGGAGAAGTAAAGTCAGGTTGGTTAATGAGTACAAACATGCAGTTAGAAGGCAATGTTTGATAGGAGAGTAGTGTAGCTATAGTTAGTAACAATGCATTGTATAGTCCAAAATAGCTAGAAAGGAAAACTTGAAATATTACCAACACATAGAATTGAAAAATACCCAAGTTGATATATACCCCAAATATCCTAACTTGATCATTACACATTCCGTGCTTGTAACAATATATCAAATGTACCCCCAAATATGTAAAATATTATGTATCCATTTTTTAAAAAAGTCAGAGGACTGAGGGTACAACTGTCTTAAGATCCAGCCTCTGCCGAATCACCTCCATGGATAAGAAACTTGTAGTTTTTAAACAGCTTTGGTTGCTAGAAAGTTCTATATGGCACCCCAAACCCCACTCCTATTTAAAATTAAGTCTGCCAGAGCAAAATCTCACTAAATTGAGCCTTATGCATTTTGAATTCAGAGAGAGATGACACGCTTGATCTTTACATCTAAAAAATTAGAGTTCCTGTACCAGTGAATTTTCAGTGGCCAAATTAGCCAATAAGGGCAATTCAGTTTAAAATGAATAGCTTCCTTCAACTGAGGCCTCAGCAGATGAAAAGGTTGTTTAACCATGACTTTCTCGATCCCAAAATGGATTTTTAGTGGTAACAATTGTATTTTTATGACACTGGATTGTGTAAAGTATGCCTCTTATGGACCTTAACAATAGCATGACTTAATTATATAAAACTCATAGAGGAGCTAATGAATGAACTGAGTCAAATTCATAGTACTCGGGAAAGTTCTTCTCAAAATTCCAGAAATGCCTGCTGCTCCGTAACAGCCGTTTCACCGGCTTCTCCCACCCAACCCCCTTCCCTCTCATTTGTGCCAGGCCTTTAGGTTGTAGATATCCTGACTAGCTGTGCTCTTCTTCAGAAGAAAGCTAAATGTCTAAAATATTCAGTAAGTTAGCTTTTTTATTTAGCAAGGCTCACCTTCTTCCAGATTGTCATAGATTTGCAGGGGATTACAGTTTAATGACAATTCATGGAGTGGATGTTGCTAGACTGAGAGGAAGCCAGCTGTCTGGGCATAAGCCCTGTGTTCCTTCGCATTAGCCAGGGGGATTTGTGTTATTTGTCCAAGTGTTCTGAGTTGGTTTTCTGTGTTTTATTTGTAGCGTCTTTATATGGGCTGTGTTTGGATCCTGACTTTGTTTTGCAACCTCTGTTTGATAGTTTTTGACTTTCATCAGTTTGTGCTTGCAATGTGCTTATTTTGACAGCACCCCGGAGCCACACCATGCCATCTTGCATTTGCAATTTTCTAAGCCCCCTAGCCCAGGAGGCCAGGCCTATTAGGCCTTGTTTGAAAAGGAGCATATATACATTTTTAACATTCTTATTATTTGCGTGAAGATGAACTCTCAAATTTAGTTTGTACTGGGTGGAGTGGTCCTTAGTAGGCGCCAGTGTTTAATTCTATTTCGTGATGTTTGCGGCCGGTAGGTTTAGCGGTCACCGGGGGAGGGAGGCATGTGGGAGGGGTGCTGCCCTCCTCTCTGGGTGACGGTATAGTTAGGTTAGTATCGTTAGGTTATTATCTGGCTCTTCCCACTCGGCTGGGGGCTCCTGCCAGGCCCAGCCCCCGCCCTCCCTGTGCGTCCCGCGCCAGGGCCCCAGGTCCCCCCAGGCCTTGGGCACGGGCGCCACCCCCTCGGTTCTCCGGGATCCTGGCCGGCATCTCCCAAAGGCAGTTCAGAGCCCCTTTCATCTTAAAAGCTTTGCTGCTCATCACTTCTGGGAAACTCAAAATGTACATTTCATTTTTTTAAGAGTCGTAAAGTTACGAAGCTTGCAGTTTTCAAGGGAGCTCATAGTTCTGGATCCTCCTTCAAAATGCGCTTTTACATGACTGAACACATGAATACATATTTGGTGTAAGAAGCGATACGAAGCGCGTCGCGGGAAAAATTAACCTGCTGGGCGGGAGCGGACGCCTAGAATCCCCCGTTCCCGCGGCTCCGTCCCGGGATCGGGGGTCGCCTCGCCGGCTCCTTTCGGCCTGGGAACCAGGCGGTTCTGCCCTCAGGAATCTGTGGGCGCCTCTCCCGCTCCTGATTCTGACAAAGCCATAGCCACGCGGGAAAACGTTCTCCGGGCCCTGAGCCCCAACCTGGGCGCCGCGGGGGTCCCAAGGGTTCTGCGCGGCCCGGCACCACGGCCCCATCCCCGCCCCCCACCGCCGTCAGTCCGGGCCGAGCCCGCGGCGCCCCAGGCCCCAGCGGCCCCACCGCCCACCAGGGCTGGGCGAGGCTTCCTCCCGGCGCCCCCACTATCCCGCGACCTCGGGCGCCGGAGGGGATGAGTCCCGGATGCCCGGCGCCCAGGCCCCGAGGGATGCCCTGAAGCGCTGGGGTACAGGCGCCGCTCCGCGGACTGTGCCCCCTCCACCTTCCCCTCAGCCTTGCCGCGGCCTGAGCGCCAGCGGCGCGCATGCGCACTGCGCTCCCGGCCGTTGCCTTGGTGACCCGAGCGGACGTGGCCACGCCCTCCGGCCAGGGTCTGGGAAAGGGTGGGGGGAGGGGGCAGTCCGGGAGTAAGTGGGGGTCGGCGGGGGAGAAGGAGAGAACCGGGAGAGGGGAATTTGCGGGGGCCGGGTGGGGGCTCGGGGGTAGAGGAGGACCCAGGGAACCGGGGATAGGGCAGGGCTAGGGGCTCGGTGGGGGCTCAGGATGGGGGCGTTTCCGGGTGAGGAAGCAGCTAGGGGCGGGTAGGTGGGGGTCAAGGTGGGGGGACCAGGTGACGGGGTAGCCTGGGGTGAGGACGTCGTTCAGTAGAACAGTGAAGGGCGAGGGTCTCGCCGGGGCGGTGGCGGGGACCACACTGGGAGGAGGGGGCCGGGGTTGACCTTTCTGTGGGGGATGGGATTCGGAGCCCCGTCGAATTTGGGGGTGGGTCTGGTCCTGGGGAAGGTTTGGGGGCGGGTCTGGTCTTCGGAAGGGTTTGGGGCGGGCCTGGTCCTGAGGAGGGCTTGGAGCGGGCCTGGTTCTGGGGATGGTTTGGGGGCGGGCCGGGTCCTGGGGAGGGTTTGGGGCGGGCCTGGTGGGGAGGGGGCGGGCCTAGTTCTGGGGGTGCCCCGCCCCCGCCTAGCCCCGCCCGGCCCACTGGGCCCGCGTCCCGCAGGAGCCGCAGGCAGAGCGTCCGGCGGCCGGGAGGGACGCGGAGCCACAGCCCGACGCACGGACGGAGGGACGCCGGAGCCCGCCTGACCATGTGGAAGCTGGGCCGGGGCCGAGTGCTGCTGGACGAGCCCCCCGAGGAGGAGGACGGCCTGCGTGGGGGGCCGCCACCGGCCGCCGCCGCCGCCGCCCAGGCGCAGGTGAGGGGGTGCGCAGGTGGGGAGTGCTAGTAGGCCGGGGGCGCGCAGGTGGAGGGCGAGGGTGGGCGGCGCGCAGGTGGAGGTGCGGGTAGTTGGGGGCACAGTTTGGGCGGGCAGGTGAGGTTGGGGCCGCGTAGCTCCGGGGCGCGGCCCGCTAGGTGCCCGAGTGCGGAGTCGGAGAACTTGACCCGAGGCTCGTCCTGGGCTGAGTTGCCGCTGTGGTCCGCGTGGACCCACTCCCCGCTTAACTGGCCAGGGCTGCCGGCGTTCTCGCCGCTTGCAGGGGACCCAGTGCCCCCTGCACGTGTTACTCGGGGCGCAGTCCCAGGAGAGCGGGGACGCAGTGCGCGCACCCCGCGGCGCGGGCGTCGTGGGCCCGGGACGCAGAGGTCCACGCCGGGTGCTCGCGTCCCGGGTGGAGCTGGCGGAGAAGGCCTGAATCATCGCGCATCCGGACGGCCTCCTCGCGGACACTAAGCAGCTTTGGACGACCGTAGCTCAATGTTAAGTGGGCTAAATGTTTGTTTGCATAACAAGTATTTTCTTAAATTCTTGATTTTTCTGAAGGAAGCCGGCAGAAGTCCTTTGTACTGAAAACTGAAAGGCCTTTACCTGACGAGTGTAGAGATATGTTTGGTATGTCTAGAATTTTGTAATTGAAAGGGCTCCCAGGTGGGCCCTGTGTGCCTTAGACGTGCCCTCCCCCACCCCCTCCCCCCCCCTCCCTTTTTCCATTGCAGTGCTCTTTTTCATGTACAATGAAATTTAGGTCAGAAATCCAGCATTCTGGATCATAAAATATCTCTTTCTGTTAAACGTGTGGCAACTTCCTCCTGATGCTGTTAAGGCCGAATGGAATATAAGGATTTGTACCTGTCTTCCGAGGACTTGGAAATAGTTTCTGAGCAGAAGAGTTTCTCTTAGGGTCTGGAGTTGTTTCTTCTTGATAGAGATTTTCTATGAACGTTAAATTCCATTCCTAACTCATGGAAAATGGAGCCGATTATGTTAAGCGCTTAAATATGGTTACTATCTGAACTTGTCTGAGAAATTTCTTTTAGGTAGCGTTAGTGCTTACGTGCCTTTTTTTTTTTTAATTTCAGAATGTTATAGTTACTCTAAACAGCTCTCTTCTTGAATGTAATGATGAGAATTTATATGTGGCTACAGAGTTAACTGCAGAAGCTACAAATAACTAATATTGGTCAAAGATGAGCCATATTATTGTTTCTGGATAGAGCCTTGAGAATTTTAAACTGAGTCTTCCTATGTTCTCCCATTTTTCCTAATGAATCCTGAAACCCACTTTTTTTTCTTAAGTTTTTATTTTTTATTTTGAGACAGGGTCTTGCCCCGTTTACTAGGCTGGAGTGCAGTGGCGCAATCTCGGCTCACTACGGCCTCAACCTGCCTGGGCTCAAGCTATTCTCCTCTCTCAGCCTCTGTAGTAGCTGGGACTACAAGTGCGCACCACCTCACCTGGCTAATTTTAAAAAACCGTTTTTGTGGAAATGGGGTCTTGCTATGTTGTCCAGGCAGATCTGAAACTCCTGGGCTCACGTGATCCGCCCGCCTCAGCCTCCCAAGGTACTAGGATCACAGGCGTGAGTCACCACGCCTGGCCTTAAGTTCTTACTTTGAAAAATTTCTAACATGCGGAAAAGTAGAAGAATAGGAGATTCTTCCTCGTATCCTCCAGCTAGATTCAATTGCTGGCAGTGCCTTCGTTAAAGCTCCTTTTCTGATTTTCCCTTTACACAATTGTCATCTATACTTTTTTTTTTTTTTTTTTGAGATGAAGTTTCGCTCTTGTCGCCCAGGGTGGGGTGCAGTGGCGTGATCTCAGCTCACTGCACCCTCCCGGGTTCAAGTGATTCTCCTGCCTCAGCCTCTTGAGTAGCTGGGATTACGAGCATGTGTCACCACGCCTGGCTAATTTTGTATTTTTAGTAGAGACAGAGTTGTCCATGTTGGTCAGGCTGGTCTCGAACTCATGATCTCAGGTGATCTGCCCTCCTCGGCCTTCTGAAGTGCTGGGATTACAGGCGTGAGCCACCGCGCCTGGCCTGTTATCTGTACATCTAAAGTGTGTGTTGGTTTTGGGGGGAAAAAACTTTAATAGACTCTATTTTTCAGGTATCCAGTTTTAGGTGCCCAGCAAATTTGAGGAGAAAGTACAGAGAGTTCTCATGGATCCCCAGCCCCCCACTATCATCACCCCCACAGAATGGTGCGTTTGTTACAATCTGTGGACCTACACGGGCTCATGGTCCTCACCTGGGAGGGCTCACTCGTTGTGCATTCTGTGGTTTGGACAAATGTGTACTGACGTTTGCCCACCATTGTAGTGTCACACACAGGAGTTTTGCTGCCTTAGAGACCCTCTGTGCACCCTCCCTCCCCGGAACCCCTGGCAAACATTGATCTTTGTACTGTCGCCATAGTTTTCCAGAATGTCATTTGGTTGCATTCACAGTGTGTAGCTTTTTCAGGTAGGTTTCTCTCACTTAGAAAGATGCATTTAAGGTTCCTGCATTTCTTTTCACGGCTTGTAGCTCGTTTCTTTTTAGCACTGAATAGTATTCCACTGTTTGGGTGTACCACAGTTTATCCCTTCACCCTCTGGAGGGCATGTTGGTTGCTTTCACGTTTTGGCAATTATGAATAAACATCAGTTTATTCATAGACCAGCTGTAAACATCAGGTGCAGGTTTTTGTGTGAATTTAAGTTTCCAACTTGGGTAAATACCTAGGAGCCTGATTGCTGGATTGCATGGTGAGAGTGTTTAGTTTTATAAGAAACCGCCAAACCGTCTTCCAAAGTGGCTGCACCAGTTTGCACTCCCATGGACAAGGAATGAGATTTCCTTTTGCTCCACCTCCTTGCCAGCATTTGGTGCTGTCAGTATGTAGACTTTGTCCATCCTAGTAGGTGTGTGGTGGTTTCTCTTTGTCTTGAATTGCGATTCCCTGATGATAAATGACATGAGCATCTTTTCAGACGCATACTTGTCATCTGTGTCCCTTTTTTGGTGAGGTGTCTGTTTAGATCTTTCTCCGCATTTTTTAATTAGGTGGTTTGATTTCTCATTGTTGAGTTTTAAGAGTTCTTTGTATGTTTTGGATACTAGTTCTTTATATGTATGTGTTCTATAAAGATTTTCTCCCAATCTGTGGCTTCACATTCTCTTGACAGTGTCTTTTTCAGAGCAGAAGTTTTTAATTTTAATGAAGCTTCACTATGAATTATTTCTTTGATGGATGTGCCTTTGGTATTATATTGAAAAAGCCATCACTGTACCCAAGGTTTTCCCAGTTATGTGCTAGTTGTGAATTTTGACTGTGGTTTTTATGTTACTTTATTAAGGTTATCCAAAGTTTGTGTTGAAAAACATTGCTATATAAAAATAGAGAAAATTTGTGTTAATTATGACAGATTAGTCTTATTCTAAATTTAGTTAATTTCTTCAAGAGGACTGATCTTTATTGCAAAGCTAACTTAGAATTAAGATGTTAGAATTAAATTAGAATTAAATTTTGAAATTCATGAAGAGTCATAAAACTTCTGCCTACAAAATTTTAAAGTTGAGAGAAGTAGGAATTAATATGCAAATAGGATTTAATGAATCTGTTAAATTCACTGTCATGTTAGAAGTTCTCAATTCTGTTTCATTCTTGGTCTTTTGTCCTACCCTCCAAATCTGTCAGTCAGTGTGATGTTAAACGTGCAGGTTGAGAGCACATTCTGCTTGATTCTAGAAAGGCATTCAGTTTGCAATCATATCCGTCCTGTTGCCTTTCTTGAACATCAGGTTACACACCTTTTTTTTTTTTTTTTTTTTTACGTGAAAAAGTAGATAATATTAGGTTCCAATAAATTTGAAATGTGAAGCATTCAAAATTACTTAGATTTATGGGACACTTAACTATTACTAAAATAATTTTAACATTTTAGAAAATAAACTTCTCTGAGAATCTTTTTAGGCTATGGGCCCTTTTTTTTGGTCATAAATACACATCTATTTTGTATTAACATATAACCGCAAGGTTTGTAAGGAGAATCATTCATTGCAATCCTCCAACAGAAAGACGCAAGTTTTCATGAATCTAATGTTACTTGAAGAAAAACTGCTAATGCATATGGTAAAATATTTGTTGAGATTGTCAGGTCTTAACTTCTTCAAAGTTTCTAATGGGAAACATTGTTAAGCTCTTTTGTATATCTGTCCATGAAACATTTATGCAGATACATAGGTGTGTGTTCAGAAACAAAGATTTGCTGTCTCACTGTTAACATTTTTCTGTACCTTGAGTTCCCTTCATAATATGTGTCTCATGGAGTGCTTCCCGTTTCAGTACTGCTAGTTGGAAAAAATCCATTTTAAGGCTGTGGGATACTAAATGATATTAAATTTCTGTGACAAAATTTATTTCATTGGGCCTCTTACGGTGAATATAAAGGTTGCTGAGCCGTCTTCTAACCTCTGCCCTCAAAGTTTTATGCAAATAGTAGAGAAAAGAAGTGCAGAGATCTGTTCAACATGGATGGTTTAGATGGGTCTGACATGGACAGTGTAGAAGAGTTCATCAGTTGCCTCTAAACTGGATTGCATAGGGATTTGGCTAGGCTTAACTAATGGCTTTCTAAACAAAACTCAGAATTTTTGACATATTTTCACTTACAAATTTAAAAAGCTTAGACATATTCTGTAGACATTGCAAAGAAAAAAGACATCAAGGAGTGTTTCAGGTGTTTTAAAATCATGCTTGGAGATGGGGAGAGCCAAGGAATAGTGAATCTTAGTTTAGATGACACAAAGTCACACTTTTATGACACTGTGAGGCTCTGTGACGTTTGCTTTAGTGGTGTCTGGGAAGAAAGAAGTGGAGTAACGTATTGACGATCGCTCTGAAATCCAGAAAAGGCCTGATGTTCTGCTGGAGGGCGGGTATGTGGGGAGGCAGAGGCCTTTCTCTCCCTGCTTGTATAGCTAACATTTTGTTACTGTTTTCCGTTATTTCTCTTTAGAAATAAAGCTGTTTTCTTAAGCAGACATTAACCTGCAGTAAACACCTTCACACCTGCCTTTTCCCATTTGCAGTAAGTTGTAGCCCTTACCAGTACATGAAGAGCTTCCTCATTCTTTCGTCTGTGTTTGTGTGTTAAATGTTATACAGTCATCCTAGTTCATTCAGGCCACTGTAACAGAATAGGATAAACTGGGCAGCTTCAACAACAAACATTTATTTCTCCAGTTCCAGAGGCTGGAAGTTTTAAATCAGGGTGCTTCGTTCTTGGTGAGGGGCTGCTTCCTGGTTTGCAGAGGCCACTGCCTTCACACTACATCCTCTCAAGGCAGAGGGAGCTCCAGCTTCTTACCACCATATTAGGACACTCATCCCATCGTGCCGGCCCCACCCTCGTGACTCCCATCTCACCCTGATCACCTCTTACATACCCACCTGCACATGCCATCACATGAGGGGATGTGAGTTCTGGGGACACAAACATTCAGTCCACAGCAATTGCATTTCCTTACGTGGATATACAGGATTTTAAATACAAATTGAAAAAACGAGTCCCCTATTGATGCCTTCAGGGGGATATTTCTAGTCTCTTTCTATTATAGGCCTGCAGGATAGTTATTTCACAAGTCTAGAAGTGGAGCTGTCCGAGGATGCGTGCATTTGTGGTTTTGATGGATGTCTCCAAATTGCCCTCTGAAAGAGGCGGTCCTGGTTTACGTTCCAACCAGCAGCATATGCGAATGTTTCTCACCAGTGTGGTGAGATGCGCATGTCTTCAAGATTTTAGATCTGATGGGGGGAAAAGTTGCATCTTAATGTGATTTTAATTTGCCTTTCTCTTATTTATATTCAATAGCTTCTTAGATGTTCACAAGCCTAATGAAGACTTCTAAAGACTTCTCCCCCAGTCCCACTACCATGTCATTGAATGTATGGAACTGTAGTCAAGATAACTGTATTTGCATGAAAATACAGTTGGGTAGTTTAGATTTGGACTTGGTTTCTGGTGAGCCTTGATTGAATCTACACCCTATCTCTGCCTTTTGTTGAGCCACTTGACCTAGCCAAGTATCAGTTTTGTTTTTTAGCTGTAAAATTGGGATAAATAGAGCTATCACTAGTGTTTATTGAGGCGGTGCTTAGCCCCTGTTCATAAATTCTTGATATGGGTTGGTGCCACCATCTGACACATGGGCACAAAGGAGGAGGGACCGGGAAGGCTACACAGCTGCCAACAGACTCTATCTGACCCAGCTTTAGTCAGGACCTCGCTTTTGTCCTTCCCAGCCTCAGTAGAAGTCCCTGCAGTGCGAACCTCCTCACCCTTGATGTCTGATTGAGTTCCTCATCCCCTGGCCTTGATGTCTGAGTTCTTGGCCCACCTGTAGCAAGAATCTCCCACCCTTGATGAAGTCTTCTCTTGGTCACTTCCCATCCCGAGACTCCTTTGCGGTTGGCTGCAAATCACAGCTGTCTTTGCCTGTTGGGAGCTGAACCAAACCTCTCCTCTATTGAGATAGCCTTGATTGGAGTCTCCCTGTTTTAACAATGCCGCAGAAGCTTTTTCTTTATCAGTGGTGAAAGGTTGCAGACATTTTGTTTTAAAAACAAAACCTCTTCCCAACCAAGAAAACTTAACAATATAGGAAGAGAAATAAAATAATTTTATTATGAAGGAGCACTTAGCTAGGATGGGACACATCATAGGCACAGATTGTGAAGATGAAAGAAGTCTTACTCTTTTATATAACCAAGTAGGTAAAACCCATTGTATTCATGTTTTCAAGATAAAATTGCTAAATTTATCCTATCTTTACAGGGAGGCAGGATTTGCAACTTGGAGTCAGGTGACAGCTGAAGTTAGGCTCGTCTCCTCTGGGAAATGTCCTCTTTTGTTTCAGGTAGTTGTGAGACTGATAGGAGGCTAATTTAGCATTCGACTTTAAAGGAGTCATAATTCTCAAACCCCGGTGAATTCTTACTTGTTTACAAGACCAATGAAGACTTCTAAAAACCTCGTAGTCCCCATGGCCAGTGTGTGCAAACCAGGCTGTCCTGCCCCTGGGATGAAATGAAAAAGTGAAAAGTAAATGAAGTCATCCATATCCAGCCCTTAATATTTTTCTCTGGCAAACAGACACACTAAAAGAAGAAAAAGGAGGTCTTGTTATTAAATAATAGAAATAGTTAATGCTTTTTACTGACTTAGGATTTGGTTTTCTGGTATCCCTTGCTCTGGAATGTGCTCATTGCCCGAGTTGATGTGGACAGTGGGGTGTGGTGCAGGCAGGAGGGTCCTGGGACAGCTGCATTCAGGCACTTCTCACTTGTGCGACAGGCATTCGGACATCACAAGCCTCTCTGGAGGACCATTTCATCCTAGGCTGAATGCTCAGTGCTGTATCCCCAAGACCAGGCAGGGAGCCAGCCCAGGAAGGGAGCCAGGCCCACGTGGGGCTCAGCAGTGCCCCTGAGAGGAGTGTACCTGGTGTGGGGTTTCCACATTACGGCACCTGATGGGAGCTGCAGAATTGAGTCAGGGTGGGAACTCTGGAGTCTGGAGCGGGGAGCAGGAGTTCTCCAGCCTTAGGGGAGCTGATCTTGATGCAGATTCTTTCTTGGGTAAACAGATATTTGTAGG
Source organism: Homo sapiens (assembly GCF_000001405.40). Taxonomy (NCBI): domain Eukaryota; kingdom Metazoa; phylum Chordata; class Mammalia; order Primates; family Hominidae; genus Homo; species Homo sapiens. The sequence goes on along the minus strand of NC_000008.11, from coordinate 536,980 downwards.
GTTAGTCTCATTGGACTCTCATATGAGCTGAGTCAGATACTCAGTCAGCAGAAGCACTTGAGTCAAGTCTCTGTGGGTGATTACTTGAGAGGAAGCAGGAAGGGTCAGTTACGATATTATAGAAGGGAAGGAGGATCCTGGGCGCTGCTTATTCGCTCCGGATTCAGCTGGCTCCTCTTAACTGATGCTTGGGGAGCTCCTGCCTGTGGAACAGAGTGGTGCTTTCCTCCACTGAAACATAGCAAAACATTTTCTGGTGGCCACATTAAAAAGTTTTAATTCAATATTTAAAATTTGATATATTCAGCATATTACATCAATAGGTAATCAATATAAAATTTGTTAGAGATCCTTTACATTTTTTTCATACTCTCATATCTATGTGTATTTTACATTTACCAGCACAAGATATTAATATGTATCAATTTGTATGCCAAGTTTTCTTCAGAAATACTTGATCAGTATTTAGAGTTTATAAAATGTACAGGTGAAAAAACAGGTTGCTTTATCTGAGTTCTTCCAAACATACTTAAAAGTTTTCCAGTATGGAATGTTTTTAACTTGAAATTTGAATAATTAAAAACTCAGTTTGACTAGCCCTATTTCAGGTCCTCAGTAGTGTTTTTAGTGAATGCCAACTGATTTGGAAAGCACAGCTCTAGAATCTTCTCCCAGACTCAGATCAGCTCACTAAAGACGGTGGTGGATTCTTCTACTTGCTTGGGCCTGTGGAATTCCTCAAGCAATTAGCTAGGTAAATTCCAGGTGTCTCAACTGTGTGCTTTTAGTAAGCCACTGAAGGGTAGAATGATGAGGGCTTAAATATCTGCCTTTCAGGCCTTAGCATATTACTCTGTATAATCTTCACCTGTAAATGTTAATAATAGGTTGAAATTTTTATTCCTGAGAGTTTAAAACCCTAATTGATAAGGTGTACTTTTACTGATTTTTGCTAGGGCTTAAGGTGGCATGACTTAGAATGTCTAAAAGCTGCTATTCTTATTAGAGTTAGGCTGTGGGTTTCACTTTGTGAGTCAGTCACTGTCTTGAAAACTGAACGTCACTGAATGTGGAGCCCAGCTTGCTCAGCCAGGGCTGGTGGGTTCCACCCCTACACTCACACCTGCCTCGGGTGGGCCCACCCCTACGCTGAGACCTGCCTCGGGTGGGCCCACCCCTACACTGAGACCTGCCTCGGGTGGGCCCACCCCTACGCTGAGACCTGCCTCGGGTGGGCCCACCCCTACGCTCAGACCTGCCTCTGGTGGGCACTTGTCCATATGGTGGGAGGCCCTGCAGTCTGTCTTCTGCTTTTTTAAGATCACCTGTTGGGAGGAATGGGCGACTTGGCTTTACGTCTGCCTTTGGGGAGTGGATGTACATGTGGGGCTCATCAGCCTTGTCTTAGGAGTTAAAAGCCAAAGACTGAAGCTCAAGAGGATTTTACCTGTTATTTCAGAGTGAGTCAAGATGCAGTCCACGGACCAGGGACACTTCCTTTTTCTTTCCTGTCTGCTCAGGGCAGGGAGGTCGTTTTATGTTCGTTTTATCTGATCCTTCACCCCACGTTAGCTGGGGTTCTGTCTTGGTGCTGTATATAACCAGGCGAACCACAGTTTCTGCTTTGGGAGTTCTGTGGGGGTTGCTGTGAGGGAAGACTGCCTCCTCTCACCTTGGCTTTGTCTAGAAATGGTTGGACCATGAGCTAGGGTGGTGCAGCTGCTCCCAAAGACTTGGGAACCAGGCGAGTGTGTGGACAGCCCGCAGACCAGTTTGAATCTAAGGAGAGGCCTTGGGGGCTGTGGGTGTGGCTTTTTTCAAGATATTAATAAATGTATATTAAAACCATGATGTAGCTTTCTAATCTTTCAGATGGAAGTACAATATTCTGTACAAAAATGTTATAGACTAAATGGCAGATATTCTAGTTCTAGTGTTTGAAAGATAACGAGTCCTTTTATCAAGGCTGCTGTTGTGGGCAGAGAATGGAATGCTTTTTACTCAGAATGCGTTGTGTCGTTTTTAGTCAGAGCGTGTCTTGGTTTGGAGGATAGAATCCTGGATAATGATACTGGTGCCTGCCATGTGCTGGGCATTGGAGTGAGTGCTTTACAGCTATTGCAGCTTCTCACAATAGCCCAAAAAGTAGTTACAGTTCATATTCATTATTTGTGGATTCCATATTTGCAATTTCAGCTTCTTGCTAAAATTTATTTGTAATCCGCAAATCAGTACTCACAGTGCCTTCAAAGTCGTCCACAACTTGCAGAGCAGCAAACACTCATCATCACCCAGCGAGCTCCTTCCCAGCTGAGGCATGTGTCTTTCCTGCAGTCTATTGAGAACTACCTTTTTTTTACATGTTTGTGCTTGCGTATGATTTCACTGTTTTTCACAGCCCCCAAGTATAGTGCTAAAGCACTGGCTAGTGTTCCCAAGCACAAGAAAGCTGTGGCACTCCCTACGGAGGGAGCACCTGTGTTAGAGATGGCTCAGGCATGAGTTACAGGGCTGGTGGCTGAGAGTTCGGTGTGAATGAATCAACAGCAGGTATTAAAGCAGGCATCTTTAAACAAATACATGTAAAACAAGGTCACACATTGTTGATGAAAAGTTGTTATTCAGAGGCTCGCGGGAACCCTAGCCTTGTGTTTCCCTTAACAGCAATAATTTAGTATTTGCTAATTGACTGTGGCAACTTTGTACAACATAACTACTGTGAATAATGAGATTAAACTGTATTTTATATTCGATGATCTTAGAGAAGTTAAATAACTCGTGTAAAGTTACAACCTTGTAAATAATTTGTGTTAGTAGCCACCAGTAGGAATTTGAATCCAAGTTTCTCTGGGTTTATATTCTTTGTTGAATTCTCTTACCTTATAGGTTATGACAAATTTCTGATACCATTTTTCTTCATTTTCCAATTTTTAAAAATATTAAATAACTAGGGCTTCAACAATCAGTGCCTTTTGAAAGCACTGATAAAATTGTGTTTTGGCTCAATTTTCAATACAGTAAACATGACAGTGTACTTTTAATTTTTGTCATGCTTGAGTTTTGTATTAAAGAGTTTCTTGTATTAAAGAGTCTTACTATGGGAGATAAACAGTTCTCGGTAAATTAGCAAGTGAGAAGCGCTAGAACATTGCGAGGAAAGAGAACCGGTGTACATCTGCCTACCCTATACTTTATATACTTCCCTTTTTTCTTCGTGATCGGGGGAGGGGGATAGAAAATGAAGCAGTTGAACTGACACAGGAGGGCTGTACAGGGAAGAACTGGGAAAATCCCATTAAGGAGTGGAGGCTTCATTTCTTAGCTGAATGTTGAAGAATTCTGAGTAACCCCTTGGTTGTATTTTGCAAAGACTACCTGTTTAAGGAGGAGGGGTTGGGGGCAAGATGCCGATGAAACGTCTGGGGTTCTAGTCAGGGAGGTCAGCTGTGAAATGAGAACCTGAGTTTCAGATGGAAGATTTGTCAGGACATGTAGGAAAAGGTGAGCTTGCCAAAGAGTGCTGATCAGAGTTGGTGCCTTTGGATGTGGAGATGAAGGCAGAAAAGCAGCTGCAGGTGAAAGTTTTGAGCTAGGGTTGTCAGGAGAAGGGCGTGCCCTGACAGTCGCAAGGAACTCCCTGGGGTGGCCTGGCTGTGGGAGCAGCCCAATGAGGCTGCGATGGACGTGCTGGCTTTGAAATGTTACCTGCTGTCCAGAGTTGAGGAGCCCAGCAGTGACATGGGGTCAGAAGGGAGAGGCTTATGTGCTTCTGGCTTGTGACACTGTCAAAAATGTACAAGAACCTGGTTCTCCACTTCAGAACTCATAATTTGTTGTTGAGTGGTTGAGACCAGGAAGAACAAGGGGAGACAGCATGGTGCTAGAAAAGCCTCTCTGAAGTGGTCTGGAGGCAGGCCTGGGTCCCAGCGCTGGTACTCATTTTGGGACTTTGGGGCAAATGAGTTCCTCTCTCCAGACTTCCTGTTTTAAGTAAGGGCTCTAGAGCAGGAGTCAGCAAACTTTTACTGTAAAGGAAGGGATAGTAACTGTTTTAGGCTTTGGGGTCCATGCAGTGTCAGAACCACTCAGCTCTGCAGTTGCAGGTGAAAGCAGCCGTAGGCAACTTGTAAATGAACGATCGTGGCTGGGTTCCAGTATAGTGACTTTATTTACAAACACAGGCCGTTATTTGCTGACCCTTAGTTTAGACTAAAGGATCTTTGAAATCTCTTCTGACTGTAAGGTAACTTATTAGAGTTTGTGATACAGAATTTGTTGTGATTTAGGGTAAAAATAGGAAGTCTTAATGCTAAACTCAGAAATAAATAGCATAGTCATGAAGCTGACTTATATTCTTCCGGAGCTTCCATTGTATTAGCAAGTGTGCATTTGTATAGTTTTAAGCGCTTTTGCATAAATGGTCTTATTTGGTCCTTATCCTATGATAAAATGAACAAGATGATACTCAAGGAGAAAACATTTAGAACAGTTGTGATTGTATTCATGGTCTTCACCCTAGCAGAGTATAGAAGCTAGAAGAGCTGGAGTGCATTTCTGTAGTCAGCAAGAACTGTGTGATGGGTTCATCATCTTGCTAGGGAGCCTGGGGGCTAATATGTGCCCTTCTGAGACAGATTGCAGGTTTCCCCCAGTAGCAGGTTTCAGTGGGTGCATGGCTGCCACACAGCCTGAAGTCCCAGCATCCTTCACCCTGCAAGGCTCATGACTGAGTGCTGGCCACCACATGTGAGCAGATGCAACACAGGCACCTTCCTGGATGTGTCCTGCTGCCTCTGTTTCCCCTTCACAGAGGTTAGTGGATGTGGTGCACTCTCTTTCACCCTATGGATGAGAGCAGTGTCCAGAGGTGGCAGAGGAATTAAAGGCAAGAACCTGGATTTCTGACACTGTTGAACACCTAACTGTTCTCCTGGACTTAGGAGAAAAAGAAATATAAACCATGTCTTTTGTTTGTTTTGTTCTGCTATAGCAGCAAAGTGTATCACAGTCAGGAGATTTTATTACGCAACCACCGCAGGGCCCACTGTCAGAGTACTGCTTGAAATCCCCCCATTCCTGTTCCAATTTCTTAAACCATAAAATACTAGGTTGAAATAATATGTGGTGTGATTCAATGTTTTCTTGTAACTACTCACATCTCCTTTTAGCTATTCTTTGCCAGATATTTGGCTGTGGTTAATACTAAGCTTGTGGACTGAAGATGATTAATATTTCAAAATAAAGTTTTATAGTGATATTTTTAAAAAATGAAGTTTTGTCCCCACAGTATAACTCAGACATTTGTTTGATGTGGAAAGAAGTTGTGCCAAGAAATTTTAGAGAAAAGACAGTCTGTAACTGTGATTAAAGATGGCATCCTTACGCCTTTTCATTTTTGTCGTAGATAAAAAGTGTCCGTATGTGTGGTTTCTTCTGACACCAACCAATTCTTCAGTACCAGCTGGGTGTCCTACAATTCAGTTTCCTTCTGACATTCCCTTCCCAGAATTAGCACAGATCCTATGGATTAAGGAGTCATTCCCGCAAGACTGCACCCACTTCAGATGCCAGATACCAACGGGTGCCCAATTCACCATAAGTCTCTTATGCCACTCCACATAAAATGTCTGATGTCAGCACAATGGTGGAGTGGAAAGTCCCGGACCTTGTTCCCCCACGGACTCTGACTGACAACAATATACAGTCCAAAAGGATGTATGAGAATTACAGAAACCAGTTTAGAAGTCACAGTACCCCAGGCAAGCTCAAAGCCAAGAACAGCTGCATTGAAGTAGGAGAAAAAAAAAGCCATTTAATTTCACCTGCCTTTCCCTGAAGGTGGCACAGCTTGGCATGATTGGTAGTAAACACCCAACTCTCTGCTGGGTAGAAAGTGAAGAAAGGAAGTCCACCATTCTGAATTTTGGGGGGTCACCTGATGGACTGGTTTCTGTCTCTCCTGACTCAGTGCTGACTGGGAACTGGCATACTTTGGATGCCTGGGGGCTTCAGAGAAAAAAGAGTTAACTGGCTTTTTGCAGCATCAGAGACTCAGCAGTGCTGCGGATGGAGGTCGGGACAGCTCAGCACAGTCAGGAGAGAGCGTGTGGTTCTTGGCTTATCCCTTGGGCAGGAATGGGAAGAGTGGAAAGTGCATTTAACATTCTGGCTTTTCAGGGGGACTGCCCAAGAGACTGATTCCTGTTTTGCCTGACTCAGAGCGCTGAGAGAACCAAGGGTATGTTGGATGTCTGGGGGCTGCTGAGAACAAGCGAGAGCTCCACAGCCTGTTGCCCTGCCAGACAACTTGCAGTGCCACAGACAAGCACCAGAGGGATCGAGAGATTACAAGCAACTGAAAAGAAACTGGCAGACCTCTCTAATTGGGACATTCCATGTACAAGCCCAGAGAAGATTCATCCCCAGAAAAGGTTTGAGAGGCCCCAGAATCTCTAGCTGAGCTGATTGGTGAAGTTCTTCTCCTGTACCAAGCCAGTCCATAAAGACTGGGAGAGGTGGCTGTTTTTTCAGATACCCCAAATCCCAGCAAAAAAATAATGAGACATATGAAGAAACAGAGAAATATGGCCCAATTAATGGAACAAAATAAATCTCCAGAATTTGACCCTAGAGAAACAGAGATAAATGAATTATCTGACAAAGAATTCAAAATGATCATCTTAAAGAAGCTTAGTATGCTGTGAGAGAACAGAGATAGTCAAGCAAATGAAATCAGAAAAAATGCAATAACAAGAATATCAACAACAAGACAGAACTATAAAAAAAGAACCATACAAATTCTGCATCTGAGAAATAACTGAATTGAAAAATTAACTAGAGGGATTAAAAAGCTGACCCAGTCATGCAGAAGAATCGTCAAACTCAACAGCTCATTTAAATTCATCAAATCAGAAAAAAAAAATGAAAAGTAAAGCCTAAGGGATTTATGGCACACCATTGAGTGGACCAATATACATATTGTAGAAGTCCCAAAAGGAGAAAAGGGAGTAGAGAGCTTATTTGAATAAAGAGTGGTGCAAAACATCCCAAATATGAGGAAGAAAATGGACATCCAGATTCAAGAATCTCAAAGGACTCCATGTAGGAAGAAACCAAAGAAAGGGTAAAGAAGCCCACACTGAGAAAGATTTTAATCAAATTGCCAAAAGTCAGTGGTAGAGAATTTTGAAAGAAGAAAGAGAAAAGCAACTTGTCATATAACAAGGGAGCTCCCATAAGATTATCAGCAGATTTGTCAGCAGAAACATTACAGTACAAAAGGGAGTGGGGTGATACAGTTCAAGTGTTGTTAAAAATAAAAATACACCCAGCCAGCCAAGAATACTGTAGCTGGCAAAACCATCTTTCAAAAATGAACAAATAAAGACCTTCCCAGATAACCAAAGCCAAAGAAGTTCACCACCACTAGATCTACCTTGTAAGAAATGCTAAAGAGATTCTTTGAAGCTGAAGTGAAAGGATGCTAAATAGCAATATAAAAGTATATGAAAAAACTCTCTGGTAAAGGGAAATATGTGGACAAAAACAGAATCCTATAATATAGTAATGGTGGTGAGCAAACAACTTTAAATTCTGGTATAGAATTAGACAAAAGCATAAAAATAACTAAAACTATGTTAATAGATAAAAATATAAAATACTCGATTTGGTTTTTTAATTTTTAATTTTCGTGGGATCATAGTAGGTGTGTATATTTAGGGGATGTGATGGTTAATACTGAGTGTCAACTTGATTGGATTGAAGGATGCAAAGTATTGATCCTGGGGTATGTCTATGAGGGTGTTGCCAAAGGAGGTTAACATTTGAATCCTTGGACTGGGAAAGGCAGACCCACCGCCAATCTGAGTGGGCATCATCTCATCAGCTGCTGGCACAGCCAGGATATAAAGCAGACAGAAAACATGAAAAGGCTAGACTGGCCTAGCCTCCCAGCCTATATCTTTCTCCTGTGCTGGATGCTTCCTGCCCTCAAACATCAGACTCCCAAGTTCTTCAGTTTTGGGACTCGGACTGGCTTCCTTGCTCCTCAGCTTGCAGACATCCTGTTGTGGGACCTTGTGATTGTGTGAGTTAATACTACTTAATAAATTCCCCTTTACACACACACACACATATATACACACACATATATACACACATATACACACACACATAGTTATATATAAATAAATATATGTATATATCCTATTCTATTCCTTTAGAGAACCCTGACTGGTACAGGGGTACATGAGATTTTGATACAGGCATATAATACATAATAATCACATCGGAGTAAATGAGGTATCCATCACTTTATGCATTTATCCTTTGTGTTACAAACAATCCAATTATACTCTTATTTTTTAAAAGTACAATTATTTAATATTATTGGCTGTAGTCATCCTGTTGTGCTGTCAAGTACCAGATCTTATGCTAACTATATTTTTGTATGTTGATGTTGATGGATACTTAGGTTGCTTCCAAATCTTGGCTGTTGTGAACAGTGCTGCAATATATATTGGAAGCACAGATATCTCTTTGATATATTGATTTCCTTTCTTTTGGGTATATATCTAGCAGTGGGATTGCTGGATCCTATGGTAGTTCTATTTTTAGTGTTTTGAGTAACCTCCAAACTGTTCTCCATAGTGGCTGTACTATTTTACATTCCCACCAATAGTGTACAACGGTTTCCTTTTCTCCACATCCTCACCAGCATTTGGTATTGCCTGTCTTTTGGATAAAAGCCATTTTAACTGATGTGAGTGATATCTCATTGTAGTTTTGACTTGCATTCCTCTGATGATCACTGATGTTGAATACCTTTTCATATACCCATTTACCAATTATATGTCTTCTTTTGGAAAATGTCTACTCAGGTCTTGTGTCCATTTTTTAATTGGATTATTAGGTTTTTTCCTATAGATGTGTTTGAGCACCTTTTATATTCTGATTCTTAATCCCTTGTCAGGTGGGTTGTTTGCAGATATTTTTTCCCATTCTGTGTGTTGCCTTTCCATTTGTTGATTGGTCCCTTTGCTCTGTAGAGGCTTTCTAATTTGATGTGATCCCATTTGTCCAGTTTTGCTTTGGTTACCTGTGCTTGTGGGGTATTAAGAAATCTTTGCTTAGTCCAATGTCCTGGAGAGTTTCCCTGATGTTTTCTTTTAGTAGTTTCGTAGTGTGAGGTCTTAGATTTAAGTCTTTAATCCATTTTGATTTGATTTTTTGTGTGTGTGTATGGTGAGAAATAGGAGTCTAGTTTCATTCTTCTGCATGTGGATATCCAGTTTTCCCAGAACCATTTATTGAAGAGATTGTCCTTTTCCCAATGTATGTTCTTGGTATCTTTGTAAAAAATGACTTCACTGTAGATGTATGGATTTGTTTCTGGGTTCTCTATTCTCTTTCATTGGCCTATGTGTCTTTTTGTGCCAGTTCCATTTGGTTACTCTAGCTCTGTAGTATAATTTGAAGTCGGGTAACATGATTCCTCCAGTTTTGTTCTTTTTGCTCAGGATAGCTTTGGCTATTCTGGGTCTTTTGTGATTCCATATACATTTTAGGATTTTTTTTTTCCATTTCTGTGAAGAATGTCATTGGTATGAATGGGATTACATTGAATCTGTAGATTGCTTTGGGCAATATGGATATTTTAACAATAGTGACTCTTCCAGTCCATGAACATGAAATATCTTTTCATTTTTGTGTCCTTTTCAATTTCTTGCATCAGTGTTTTATAGTTTTCATTGTAGAGATCTTTAACTTCTTTGGTTCAGTTACTTCTTAGGTATTTAATTTTTTTTGTACTTTTTTAATTTTATTTTTTCAGATTGTCTGCTTTTGGTGTATAGAAATGGCAAGTGTTTTTGGTCTGTTGATTTTGAATTTGTTTATTAGTTTTAATAGCCTTTTGGTGGAGTCTCTCTAACTCTGGGCCTCAAGCCATCCTCCCATCTCAGCCTCCCAAAATGCTGGGATTACAGACATGAGTCACTGTGCCTGCCCTATTTGGTTGAGTCTTTAGGTTTTTCCAAGTATAAGATCATGTCTGCAAACAAGGATTATTTGATTTCTTCCTTTCTAGTTTGAATGTCTTTTATTTTTTTCTGGTGTCTGATTGCTCTAGCTAGGACTTCCAGTACTACGTTGAATAACAGTGGTAAAAGTGGGCATCCTTGTCATGTTCCAGATCTGAGAGGAAAGGATTTCATTTTTCCCTTCAGTATGAAAAATAGAGGAGAAGGGAATAAGTCCAAAGCTATTCTACAAGGCTAGTATTGCCCTCATATAAAACCAGACTAAGACATACCAAAAAGAGAAAACCACAGGCCAATATGATGAACATAGATGTAAAAATTCTCAATTAAATACTGGCAAACCAAATTCTACAACATACTAAAAAGATAATTATGATCTTTTTATCCCAGGGATGTGAGGATGGTTCAGTATATGCAAATCAACCAACGTGATACATCATATCAACACAATGAAGGACAAAACCCATATGATAATTTCGATTGATGCTGAAAAAGCACTTGATAAAATTCAACATCTCTTCATAATAAGAACGCTCAAAAAACTGTATAGAAGGAACATAACTCCACATAATAATAGCCATATGCAACAGATTCATAGCTAGTATCATACTGACAACCCAGTGGTGCATTTTAAAGAACTAGAGTCTGGGCATGGTGGCTCACATCTGTAATTCTAGCACTTTGATAGGCTGAGATGGGCAGATCACTGGAGGCCAGTAGTTCAAGACCAGCCTGGCCAACCTAGCGAAACCCTGTCTCTACTAAAAATACAAAAATAAGCTGGGCATGGCTACAACAAATACTGCAGAAATTCAAAGGCTCACTAAAGGCTACTCACTAAAGGCACAATAAAGGCATATTGTGCAACTATATGCCAATAAATTGGAAAATCTAGAAGAAATACATACAACCTGTGAAGTTTGAACCATGAAGAAATCCAAAACCTGAACAGACCAATAACAATAAGATCAAAGCCAGAATAAAAAGACTTCCAGCAGAGAAAAGCCCAGGACCCAATGGCTTCACTGCTGAATTCCACCTAACATTTAAAGAAATACTAATAGCAATTGTACTCAAACTGATTGGAGAGTTTCGTCCATTTACATTCAGTGTTATTGATAAATAATGACTTACTCCTGCCATTTTCTTACTTGTTTTCTGGTTGTTCTGCGGTCTTTTCTTCTTTCCTTCCTTCCCGTCGGTGATTTTCTCTTGTGGTATGTTTTAATTTCTTTTTATTTTTTGTGTATCCATTGTATGTTTTTTGATTTGAGGTTACCATGAGGCTTGCAAATAATATAACCCATTATTGTAAACTGATGACAATTTAACACTTATTGCATTAAAAAACGAGCAAAAACTAGTAAAAACTCTACAGTTCCACTTCATCCCCCTGATTTCTCTTTGTTGTTTCCATGTATATCTTATTGTATTACATCTTAAGAAGTTATTTTTAATTGGTTTGTCATTTAAAGTATAAACTACATAAGATATGAGTACTTTAACAGTATAATACAGTGTTATAATATTCTGTTTTTCTATGTACTTAGTATTACCAGTAAGTTTTGTACCTTCAGATAATTTCTTCTTTCTAATTAACATCCTTTTCTTTCAAATTGAAGAATTCCCTTTAACATTTCTTGTAGGACAGATCTGGTGTTGGTGAAAATCCTCAGCTTTTGTTTGTCTGGGAAGATCTTTCTCCTTCATGCTTGAAGGACATTTTTGCCAGATAATCTAGGGTAAAAATGTTTTTCCTTCAGCACTTTAATTATGTCATGCCGCTGTCTCTCTTGACCTGTAAGGTTTCCACTGAAAAGCCTGCTGCCAGACCTATCGGAGCTCCATTGTATGCTATCTGTTTCTTTTCTCTTGCCGACTTTAGAATCCTTTCTTTATCTTTGGTCTTTAGGAGTTTGATTAGTAAAAGCCTTGAAGTAGTCTTGTTTGGGTTAAATCTGCTTGGTGTTCTATAATCTTCTTGTACTTGAATATAGATGTCTTTCTCTAGGATTGAGAAGTTCTCTGTTACTCTCCCTTTGAATAAACTTTCTACCCTTCTCTCTCGTTCTCTACTTCTTGTTTAAGGCCAATAACTCCTAGCTTTGCCTTTTTGAGGCTATTTTCTAGATCCTGTAAGCAAGCCTCATTGTTTTTTATTCTTTTGTCTCATGTCTCCTCTGACTGTGTATTTTCAATAGCCTGTCTTCAAGATCACTAATTCTTTCTTCTGCCTCATCAATTCTACTTTTGAGACTGATGCATTCTTCATATGTCAGTTTAATTTTTTAGCTTGTAAATTTTTCAGAATTTCTGCTTGATGTTTTAAAAGCTTGATGTAAGAACACTTATTTCAATCTCCTGGTCAAATTTATCTGATAGGATTCTGAATTCCTTCTCTGTGTCATCTTGAATTTTGTTGAGTTTCCTCAAAGTAGTTATTTTGAATTCTCTCTGTGAAAGGTCACATATCTCTGTTTCTGAGGCCTTTAGTTTGTTTGGTGAGGTTATGTTTTCCTGGATGATCTTGATTCTTGTGGATGTTCGTGTGTGTCTGGGCATTGAAGAGTTAGTAATTTATTGTAGTATATGCAGTTTGGGCTTGTTTGTACCCATCCTTCTTGGGAAAGCTTTCCAAGTATTCAAAGGGACTTGGGTGTTGTGATCTAAGTTTTTCGTCACTGTATTAGGGGCACCCCAAGCCCAGTAATGCTGTGACTCTTGCAGACCTGTAGACATACCAACTTGGTTTTGGTTAAGATCCAGGATAATTCCCAGGATTACCAGGCAGAAACTCTTGTTGTTTTCTCTTACTTTCTCCCGAACAAATGGAGTCTGTCTGTGCTGAACTGCTGGGAACTGGGAGAGGGGTGACACAAGCACTCTTGTGGCCACTGCCCTGGGACTGTGCTGATTCAGACCAGAAGCTAGGACAGCTCTGGATCTCGCTCAAGGCCCTGCTATAACCACTGCCTGGCTACCACTTTTGTTCGCTAAAGGCCCTAGGGCTCTACAATCAGCAGGTGGTGAAGTCAGCCAGGCTTATATCCTTCCTTTCAGGACAATGAGTTCCCCCTGGTCCCTGGATGTATCTAGGGATGCTGTCCAGGAGCCAGGGCCTGGAGTCAGAAACCTCAGGAATCAACCTGGTGCTCTATTCTACTGCAGCCTAGCTGGCACTCCAGCCACTAGACAAAGTCCTTCCCACTCTTCCCTCCCCTTTCCACAAGCAGAGGAGCCTCTCCCCTTGGCTACCACTGCCCCAGGCCCTCGGAGAGTATTGCCAGGCTATTGCCGATGTTAACTCAAGGCCCAAGGGCTCTTTAGTCAGCTCGTGAATGCTGCAAGGCCTAGGACATATCCTTCAGGGCAGTGGGTTCCCCTTTGGCCCAGGGCAAGTCCAGAAATGCCATCCAAGTAGGAAGGCCTGGAATCAGGGACCCCAGGAGCTTGACTGCTGCTATACCCTACTGTGGCTGAGCTGGTACCCAAGCTGATTTTTAGTTCTTATAAAGGTGATTTTTGTGTAGATAGTTGTTAAATTTGGTGTTCCTTCAGGGAGGATGATTGGTGGAGGCTTCCATTCAGCCATCTTACTCCACCTCCATTCCCCCCGAAAAAATTAATTTGTGATAGGAATAGCATAAAGGGGAGACATAAAGTAATACATTTATATGCGGGGTTAAGTTAAATTATCAGTTTAAAATAGATTATTATAACTATAAGATGTTTTATGTAATCCCTGTGATAACCAGAAAGAAAATGCCTAGGGGATACAGAAAAGAAAAAGGAATAAAAACATTTCACTACAAAATATTAAAGGAAGTCAGCAAGAGAGGAAAAGAGGGTCAAAATTACTACAAGACTTAAAGAACATAATTAACAAAGTGGCAATAGTAAGTCCTACCCTATCAGTAATTACTTTCCATGTAAATGGATTAAACTCCCCAACCAAAACTACGTGTGGTTTAATCGATTAAAAAAAGATCCAATCACATGCCACCTACAAGATACTCACTTTAGATATAAGGATACACGTAAGCTGAAAATATGGAAAAAGATTCCATGCAAGAGATATTCCATGTTCTCTACTAAAAGGGAGTAGGAGTGGCCTACTTATATCGGATAAAAGTCAAAAACTGTCACAAAACACAAAGAAGGACTATGTAATTGCTGTGGGATAATTGAGGAATCAGAGGCAGGGGTTGAGGAGGAATTATTTAATTATTTAGGTGCACCGAGTCAGTCGGATTAACATCCAAAGGACTGAGCCCCAAACAAAGAGTCAAGCTACCTTTTAAGCATTTCATGGGGCGGAGGGAGATCTGTGCGGGGCAAAGCATATTACAGAAGCGAGAAACAAAGACAGTTATTTAATTAAGACATGCATTACATTATTTCTTACTTTTCAAGGAACAACATGTTTTACGACTTGAGATTATCTGTCTAGTGACCTTAGAGCTGCACAGCTAGAGAAACAGAGTCTTCACAATGCATGGCAAAGGGAGAGATGAGTCTCACTAGCCACAGAGAGAAAAACAGGCAGTTAATTTTAAAGGACTCCAGCCCTTTCTCTTCCTCAAGGGGAATTGGGTTTTCTTACATACAACTGAGTTTTTGCTTACACAGTCTTTAATTTCTTTTAATTCCTGTTCCATAATGACAAAGGGGCCAGTTCACCAGGAAGATATAACGGTTATATCTGCATCTGACAGCAGAGTGCTCAAATGTGTGACATAAACGTTTAGAGGATTGAAGGGAGACATAGTAGCACAATGTAAATAGGGGACTGTCTGACCTTGTATGTAGAGAACCCTAAAGATCCCAAACACACAAAAAATGTTACAGCTCATGAACAAATTCAGCAAGGTTGCAGGATACAATATCAACATGAAAAGTCAGGCACATTTTTACACTAATAATGAAAAATCCCAAATGGAAATTAAGAAAACAATTAATAAAACACTTATAATAGCATCAAGAAAAAAGGTACTTAGAAATAATGAAGGAGGTGAAAGACTGAAAAAATATAAAACATTGCTGAAAGTTATTAAATAAGACATAAATAGACAGCCCATGTTGATGGTTTGGAAGACTTATATTGTTAAAATGTCCATATTACCCACAGCAATCCACTGGTTCAATGCAAATCTCATTGGCATTTTTTTTGCTGAAGTAGAAAAGAAATTCTAAAGTTCATATAGAATCTCAAATGACCTGAATAGCTAAAACAATCTTGAGAAAGAAAAAAACAAAAACAAAAACTGGAAGCCTCACACTTTCCAACTTGAAAACAAATTATACAAGTACAGTAATGAAAGCAGTATGATATTGGCATAAACACGGACATATAGAACAATGGAACAGAGTAGAGAGAAATAAGCCCTCATGTATATGGTCACATGATCTTAAACAGGGCTGCTTGGATTACACAATGGAGAAAAGATAGTCTCTTCAACAAATGCTGTTGGGAAAACTGGATATTCACATGCAAAAAATGAAGTTGTATCTTTTTTTGTTTTTTGGGACGGCATCTCTCTCTCTTGCCCAGGCTGGAGTGCAGTGGTGTGAGCTCGGCTCACTGTAAGCCCCGCCTCCCGGGTTCACGCCATTCTCCTGCCTCAGCCTCCCAAGTAGCTGGGACTACAGGCGCCCACCACCACGCCTGCCTATTTTTTTTTTTTTTTTTTTTTTGGATTTTTAGTAGAGACGGGGTTTGACCGTGTTAGCCAGGATGATCTCTATCTCCTGACCTCATGATCCGCCTGCCTCGGCCTCCCAAAGTGCTGGGATTACAGGTGTGAGCTGCTGCTCCCTGCCAAAGTTGGATCTTTAACACCTGTACAAAAATTAATTCAAAATAGATTAAAGACCTAAATCAGAAATTATAAAACTCCTAGAAGAAAACGGGAGAAAAGGTTCAGGGCATTGGATTTGGCAATGATTTCTTGGATATGACACCAAAACACAGGAAAAAGCAAAAATAGACAAATTGAAGCATATCAAAATTTAAGACTTACATGTAACAAAGGAAACAAGAAAGTAAAAATGCAACGTTTGGAATGGGATAAATATTTCTCAGCCATATCTCTAATAAGGGGTGAATATCCAAAATATTTAAAGAACTCCTATGACCAAACAACAACAAAAAACCTGATTAAAAAATGGGCAATGGACTTGAGTAGACGTTGGTGCACAGAAGATACACAAATGACCTATAAGCATATGAAAAGATGTTCAACGTTGCTAATCATCAGGGAAATACAAATCAAAACCATGATGAGATGTCACCTCACAACCATTAGTATGGCTACAATCAAAAAAGCAAAATAACCAGTGTAACCAAGGATGCGGGGAGATTGGAACACCTGTGCACTGTTGGCAATCTTGTAACAATGATTTAGCTGCTGTGGAAAACTGTATAGAGATTTATCAAAAAGTTAAAAATAGAATTATATGTTTCAGCCATCCCACTTCTGTGTATATATCCCAAAGAAAGGAAAACAGGATCTCAAAGAGATTTGCACACCCATGTTCATTACAGCACCACTTATAATAAGAGGAGAAGCAGCCTCCATGTCTGTGGATGGATTAATAGATAAGGAAAATATAGTACATATGTTCAATGGAATATTATTCAGCCTTAGAAAAGAAGGAAATCTGATAATATGCTAGTATATGGATGAACTTGAGAATATTATGCTTCATGAAATAAGCGAGGCACAAAAAAACAACTAATGCGTGGTTCTACTTACATGAGGTATTGAAAGTAGTCATGTAACTGAGCAGCTTGGCTTCAAACCGTGTTTTAAAATGTTTTCTTTCCACTTTTCTCCCCAACCACAGGATATAACTTTGAAACAAAACTGCCTATGTGTTTCCTTTCATTTTGAAATACAGCTTCTGAACGTGCTGTGACCTCCATTCCCTTTCTTTCCCATTCTGTGCCTTACACGCATTTATTTAGCTGGATGCCGGTAAAGCACATAAATTGCCCACTTATCTGGTCATATATTTCCTTAGAAGCTTCAGGGGCCAGATGCTGATTCGGATCAGACACCTCTGGCCACAGTGGCGCCAGCCCCTTCACCAGGTGGAACAATAATTCAAGATGAGCCATCAGGGTGGGTCACATACCACTTGACAATGCCTCGCCCCACTGCCTCTTCTGCATTCCAAACCCTGTCTTTAAAAAGTACGTTCCCTCCACAAATTGAAGAGTAGATTTTTTCACTCTCTTTTAGTCACACCTCATTATTATTTTGGGTTCTTTTTACAAGCAGTGAGCAACCCAACCCTTTGAGGGTTACAGCAAACTCTTAGAGAAAGCAGAATGGTGGTCACGAGGGGCTGAGGGTGGGGGAGAGGGGGGTTTTTCAGTCTGTATATAGAGTTTTACGAGATGAAAAAGTTTTAGAGATCTGTTGTACAACAGTTTGCATGTAGTTAACGCAATTGAACTCTATACTTGAAGGTAGTTAAGATGGTAGAGTTGATGTCATAGGTATCCATGCTACCCTTGCTTCTACTCAGCTGACTCTAAAGTGGGGGTTTCCCATGACTCTCTGTCATGTCCAATAGTTTACAGAACTCCAGAAAGCTCATTTTTCAGGATTGCTGGTCACTTGAAAGGATACAGCGGAGGAACAGCTCAACAGAAGAGAGATAGCAAAGGGGAAGGCATGGGGAGGGCACACAGCGTCCATCCCTCTCAACATGCATGCTCTCAGCACATGGATGGGTTCACTAACCTGGAAGCTCCAGAACTCTGTCATTTAGCTTTTTAAATGGAGGTTTCATTCCCTAGGCATGACTGATTAAATCTTTGGCCATTGGTGACTGGATTCAATCTCTAGCCCTCCTTCTCTCTTTGGAGGTCAGAGGAGGAGGTGGGTGTGGGGCTGAAAGTTCTAGTCCTGAAATCAAGGTGTTGGCATTTCTGGTGACAGACTCCATCCTGAAGCTCTACCAGCCTCCTGTCAGTCATCTCATTAGTGTACGAAAGGCAGTAAATTCCAATACTTTCAGGAACTCTGTGTCAGGAACCAAGGATAAAGACTAAACATTGAGTTTTTTATACCATACTCCAGTATTTGATTTGTTAATAAATTTGTATGAATTTCAAATTAGACTTTCTATTAAGATATTTATGTAAATGACCTTTTAAGCTAAAAAAAAAATGGTGGAATCTATTTACTTTTCCAATTTTTTTTCATTTGCCCTAAGGCTTAGAAAGGAATTTCTTTCCCTGAGATCAGATTCTTTTAGTTCCTTTATGGCTTCATTTAAAAGGAATAACTCTTTAACTGGTCGAAGTTACTTTGCTGTGAAGAAAAGATCCTTTTCTCTCAAAATAGTTACTCAGCTTTCCTAGACTTTTGTTCTTTTTCCTTTTTTGTCATGCACCTCTTACTGTATACTAAAATCTCTATATACATGGGTTTGTTGGGTTTTCCATCTGTTTTCTTTGTTCTTTTATATACTTTTATTCCATTTCTACAGTTGTCTTAGTGAAGTTTTCTAATACATTTAATAACTGGTAGCACAGGTTACCTTTTATTAGACTTATGTGTACCCATGCCTGTTGGCTTTGTTGTGTGTGTTATTGAGCCAGTTATTGTTGTCATCTTCTCTTTTTCAATAGACTCTTTTTTATAGCAGTTTCAAGTTCACAGCAAAATTGAAGGGAAGGCACAGAGTTCTTAGGTGCCTCCTGGCCCCTACCTTCCCTACCTTCCCTACCTTCCCTGCTACCAACATCCCTCTCCAGAGCGGTGCCTTTGTTAAAATTGACGAACATACATTGATGCATCATTGTTAGCCAAAGTCCATAGTTGACATTAGTGTTTACGCTGGGTGTTGTCTGTTCTGTGAGTCTGGATGAGTGTACGGTGGCACGTGTCCACCAGTGTAGCATCAGGCCTGGTGGTTCCACTGCCATAAGATTTAAAATTCCACTGTGCTCCACCTTTTCATCCCTCCCTCCCCTGAACCCTTTGCAACCACGGATCTTTTTACTGTCTCCATAGTTTTGTGTTTTCCAGAATGTCATTTGGTTGTAATTACACAGTGTGTAGCCTTTTCAGATTGGCTTCTTTCACTTAGTAAGATGTATTTGTTGGCAGAAAAATCCAAACTCTGTAAAATATTTGAATAGATTTATTCTGAGACACAATGACAATTTTGCTGTATAGCCTCAGGTGATCTTGAGAACATGTACCCAAGGTTGTTGGGCTACAGCCTGATTTTCTACATTTTAGGGGGACAAAAGTTACAGTTTTAAATCAATACATGTAAGGTATATATTGGTTTGGCCTGGAAAGGCTGGACATCTTGAAGTGGGGGCTTCCAGGTTGTAGGTGGATTTAAAGATTTCCTGATTGGCAGCTGGTTGGAAGGGTTAAGCTCTGCCTGAAGTCAGAAAGGAATGGAATGCTTGGGGTTAAGATAAAGGAGGTTGTGGAAGCCCAGGTTCTTGAAGCTTCCAGGTAGAGGCTTCAGAGAGAATAGATGGTAAATGTCTCTTAGCAGACCTTAAACGGTGTCAGATGCTTCGTTTAATCTCTCCTTGTTCAGGAAAAGACCTGGGAAGGGATGGGGATGCCCCATAGAATGTAAATTCTCCCCACAAGAGACAGCTGGGCAGGGCCATTCCAAAATATGTGAAATATATTTTGGGGTAAAATATTTTTATTTCCTTTAGGGCCTGCTGTCATGTGATGCTGTACCAGAGTTAGGTTGGAATTTGGTATCTCACTGATGCAAAGAGTCCCTTCTGTCAGTCTTAAGGTCTCTGTTTTAATGTTAATGCTCTTCAGTTTTGCCTGAGCGCCAAAGGGAGGAAAGTATAATGAGGCATGTCTGACTTCCTCCTTCCCATCACGGCCTGAACTAGTTTTTCTGGTTCCTCCAAGAGCAGAGTCCATTCAGTGCATCAGGAGGCTTAGAATTTTAGTTGGTTTATACATTTAAGATTCCTTCATGTCTTTTCATGGCTTGATAGTGCATTTCTTTTTAGCACTGAATAGTATTCTATCATCTGGATGTACCAGCTTATCCATTCACCTGCTGAAGGGCATCTTGGTTGCTTCCAAGTTCTAGCATTTCCGAATAAAGCTGCCATAAACATCCATATGTAAGTTTTTTTGTGGACATAAGTTTTCAAGTCATTTGGTTTCAAGTCATTTGGATAAATAGAACCGTGATTGCCGGCTTGCATGGTGAGAGTGTTTAGTTTTATAAGAAACTGCCAAACTGTCTTCTGAAATGGCTGCACCATTTTCCCACCAGCAGTGAACGAGAGTTCCTGCTGCTCCATGTCCTTGCCAGCATCTGGTGGTGGGGGTCTGGGTTTTGTCAGTTCTGATAGGTGTGTGGCAGTGTCTTGTTGCTGTCTTAATTTGCATTTCCCTGATGACAGATGTTGTGGAGCATCTTTTCAGATGCTTATTTACCATCTCCATGTCTTTGGTGAAGTGTCTGTTAAAGTCTTTTGCTCATTTTTTATAGGGCTGTTTTCTTATTGTTGGGTTTTAAGAGTTCCTTGTATATTTTGGACAACAATCCTTTATCAGATGTGCCTTTTCCAAATATTTTCTCCAAGTCTATGGCTTTTCCTCTCATTCTCTTGAATGTTTTATTTGTATTCCACATTCCTGAGGGACACGCCATAGTCCCAATAGTGATAGTAGCTCACTTGGGGGAGATTTTATGACAAGGGAATAGGTTAGATGTGAACCTCCTGAGACCTGTATGTTTTCTTCTCCATTCACACCACCACATTTAGGAACCGCTCTACCGGACCAGTGTAGTACTTTGAGGATAAATTATATATTTTTTTAATGTTCAGCCATCCATTCAGGCATTCAGGTATGATTTTTCTCTTTATTTATTCAAATCTTGTTTTTAATGTAATTTTTAAGGAAACTTGTAACTTGTTCTTTTGGACATTTTAACTATGGTTCTTGTGAATGGCATTTCTTTTTCTATTGTCTAACTGTAATAAAGCCATTTATTTTTTATTTCTTTTATATTCAGCCATTTTTTGTTAGGTCTAATCGTTCTTTGATGCTCTCCCATTTTCTAGTTATGTAGTCATTGTCTAAAAGTAATTATATAATCTATAATTCAGTTTATATATTTAGCACATACTTATTTAATTATATAGTGATAAAAATTATATTTTCCTTTCCAGTAACTGTAACTTTTATTTCTCTCTTATGCATTGTCTTGATTATAACTTAACAATTAATTGTCAGTAAGTAGTAATGTTAGAGGCTGCCCAATCCTCTTCCTGACATCAGTGGGTTGTGCCAACTAGAATGTCATTTATTTTGATAGTACAGGTTGAGCATCTCTAATCTAAAAATGTGAAATGCTCCAAAATTCAAAACTTTTTGAATGCTGACATGATGATCGACAAAAATGCCCATTGGAGCATTTTGGATTTTGGATTTTCAGTTTAGGGATGCTCAACTGGTATAATGCAAATATTTCAAAATCCCAAAATATCTGAAATCTGAAATACTTCTGGTTCCAAGCATCTCAGATAAGGGGCACTCAAACTGTACTTTCAGTGTGCTAATATAGACAACACTTTACATGCATAATGTATATACTCATAGTTTTAATCAGAGATTTCCTAATTTTACATTTTTTTCTGTCTGAATGATTGCTAAGTGAGCAGTTACAAAGTCATAGAAAAGATAGAGCAGAAAAGACACTGAGAATGAGGGGAAGAGAACCTATCAGTGTGCTTGTACTTGGATCTCTGGCTGTGCACAGAACATACATCAGTGCCGTCTTCTCTTTGGTGAACTTCAGGCCAAGGAGGCTCTGTGTGGATTCCCACAAGGTTACAGAACTGGTGAGTGGAGCCCTGAAGCCTGACCTGTGTCTCCAGTATTGATGGAATATTTAATCATACATATTAGCTGAATTGGAATAAAGTCTGAATTGTATGACTTTTCCTGATTGTCTTTTGCAGGATAAATACCATCATGATCCAATTCCTTCATTTGAGAAAGTGAGAATCTTAATTTTAAAGTAGCCCTCCCCGTGAAAGAAAACTCTCCTGCCTGTTGGTGCCATTCCTTGGAGGACCAGGGTGGGAGGAGGCTGAGAGGTGGTAAACTGGCACACTCAACACATGTTCCCGTTGCTTCTCGGGTGGGCCTTCCCCTATAGAGCTGGAATGCAAAAATAGACATTTCCCAGTGTCCCAGGGAAAGGCTGCATCCCCACTGAGGCACTGAGGTGACTGGTAGTGGAGAGAGGGCTTCAAGCTCCTTGGCTTATGTGGATCCGGCAGTCACAGGGTGGTTTTGTGGCCACATGGTTCCTCGTGTTTCCATACACAGAGCTAAGGTCATGTGTTTCTGAGGTCAACAGACTTGGCAGTGGTGTCCTGGTCCCTGCATTGAGGCAAATGTGGATCTAGAGTCTGCGTTCAGCATCCTGTCCCCAGTTTTGTGGTTGTGTGGGTGGCAGTTCCCTTGGTGGGAGGCAGGTGTGAAGATCCAACTTCATTTTCTTACATGTGGCTTTCCAGTTGTCACACAGCCATTTGTTGAAAAGATTATTTTTTCCCCATTGAATTGTCTTGGCACTCTTCTTGAAAATCAATTGACCTTATATGTATGGGTTTATTTCTGGACGCTTAGTTCTTTTCCATTCATCTGTCATTGATTAATGCCACTGATTGCATTGATGTGCTAGTACCACACTGTTTTATTACTGTTGCTTTGTGGTAAGTTTGAAATGGCAAGTGTGAGTTCTCTTACTTTGATCTTCTTTTTCAAGATTATTTTGGCTTGAATCCCCTGTTATTTTGTATGCATCTTAGAGTCAGCTCATCAGTTTTTACAAAGAATCAGCTGGTATTGTGATAGGGGTTTCATTGAATGTGTAGATCAGTTTGGGGAGTATTGCCATCTTAATAATGTTATGTCTTCTGATTCATGACAGTGGAGTAGTTTTCCAGTTATTCAGATCATTTAAACATTTTAAGCATATTCCTAAGTATTTTATTATTTTGATGTAATTGTAACTGGAATTGCTTTCTTAATTTCACTTTTGGATTGTTCCTTGCTGGTGTGTAAGAACGCAATTGATTTTCGTGTATTCATGATGTGTCCTGTAACTGTGTTGAACTCTTTTATTAGTTCTAACATAGGTTTTTAGTGGACTACTTCATATTTTGTATGCAAAAGATCATGTTATCAGCAAATAGAGATAGTTTCATTTTGTTTCCTTTCTGTATGCATTTTACTTTTCTTGTCTAATTGCTGTGGCTGAAATCTGCACGGTGTTGAATAGAAGAGGCAAGAATAGGCTTCCTTGTCTTGTTCCTGCTCTTGGGAGGCAAGCTTTCAGTCTTTAACCATTTAGTATGTTGTGTTAGCTGAGATATTTTCATAGACACCCATTACTAGGTTGAGGAAATTCCCTTCTTTTTCTACTTTGTTGAATGTTTTTATCATGAAAGAGTATTGGATTTTGCCAAATGTTTTTTCTGCATATATTGAGATGCTTATATAATTTTTTTTATTCATTTGCTATATTAATGGATTTTCAGATGTTGAGCTAACCTTTCTTTCCTGAGATAAATCCCACTTGATTATGGTACATAATTCTTTTCATTTTTTAATGTTTTTGGATTCAGTTTGGTGGCATTTTGGTGAGGAAGTTTTTTTGGTCCATATTCATAAGAGATACTAGTCTATAATTTCCTTTTCTCGTGGTGTCTTTGTCTAGTTTTGGTATCAGTATAATAGTGCCCTCACAAAATGAGTTAGAAAATGTTCCTTGCTCTTCTATTTTTTTTTTTTTGAAATAGTGTGAAGAATTGGTATTAATTCTTTAAATAGTTGGTAGGATTTAGTAGCAAACATATCTGGGCCTGAGCTTTTCTTTTTGGGTAGCCTTTTGATTACTAATTCAATTTCTCCACCTTGTTTTTTTTTTTTTTGAGGTGAAATCTTGCTCTGTCACCCAGGCTGGAGTGCAGTGTCACAATCTTGGCTCACTGCAACCTCCACTTCCCAGGTTTAAGTGATTCTCCCACCTCAGCCTCCTGAGTAGCTGGGATTACAGGCACATGCCACCATGCCCAGCTAATTTTTGTATTTTTATTAGAGATGGGGTTTTGCCATGGCCAGGCTGTTCTCAAATTCATGGCCTCAGGTGATCTGCCCACCTTTGCCTACAAAAATGCTGAGATTACAGGCATGAGACCACTGCACCTGGTCTCTTCACTTGTTATATATGTATTCAGATTTTGTGTTTCTTCTTGAGTCAGTTTTGGTAGTTTGTGTCTTTGTGGGAATCTGTCCATTTCTTCTAAGTTGCCTTTTTTTTTTTGATGGACAATGTTTCTTTATATTCTTGATTTATATAAGGTCAATAGAAATGTCTCCTCTTTCATTTCTGATTCCAGTAATTTAAGTCTTCTTTTTTCTTGGTCAGTTTCAAGATTTATCAATTTTGCTGATTTTTTTTTATTGTTGTTGAGATGGAGTCTTGCTCTGTTGCCAGGCTGGAGTGCAGCAGCACGATCTTGGCTCACTGCAGCCTCCGCCTCCCGGGTTCAAGTGATTCTCCTGTCTCAGCCTCCCAAGGAGCTGGCACTACAGGTGTGTGCCACCATGCCCAGTCATTTTTTTTTTTGTTGTTGTTGTTGTTGTAGAGAAGGGGTTTCACTGTGTTGGCCAGGATGGTCTCAGTCTCCACCTCGTGATCCACCTGCTGTGGCCTTCCAATTTGCTGGGATTACAGGTGTGAGCCACTGCATCCGGCCCCAATTTTGTTTTTTTTTTTAAAGAACGAAATTTTGGTTTTGTTTATTTCTCTTCTGTTATTCTCTATTGATTAATTTGTGCTTTAATCTTTGTGATTTCCTACCTTTTGCTTCCTTTAGGTTTAGTTTGCTCTTTTTCCACTGCCTTAAGATAGAAGTTTAAGTTATTGATTTGATATCTTTTTTTCTTTATAGACATTTACAGCTATAAATTTCCTCCTAAGCTTTGCTTTAACTGAATCCCATGTTTTTTGGTATGTTGTGTCTTCACTTTGTTTACAAGTATTTTCTGATTTCCTTCTTAGACCCATTGGTAATTTAAGAGTGAGTTTTAAAATTTCCACATATTTGAGAGTTTTTCCTGCCTCATTTCTAATTTCATTCCATTATGGTCAAAGAAAGGACTTTGAATAGTTTTATCCTGTTAAATATATCCAGGTTTGTTTTATCACCTAGCATATGATCTGTCCTGAAGACTGATCTGTTTGCACTTGAGAAGAATGTACATTCTATTGTTGGAGAGTTCTGTAACTATCTGTTAGGTCTTATTAGTTTGTAGTGTTTTTCCACATCTTCTGTTGTTAATCTTCTATCCATTATTGAAAGTGGCATGGTGAAATCTCTGTGAATATTGGATTTTTCTAGTTCTCCCTTTATGTCTGTCCATTTTTGTTTCTTGTATTTTGTTGCCTTGTTACTATGTACATGTAAGTCTTTAATTGTTATATCTTCCTGATGGGCTGTTGCATTTATTTTGATGAAATTCTCTTTAGCAACATTAAAAAAAATTTTTTAAACTCTCTTTTGTTTACATAGTCACTTTAGCTTTGTTGTGTTTGCTGTTTGCATATCTCTGTTTCCTTCCTTTCACTTTCAGTCAGTTTTTATCTTTGATTCTAAAGTGTGTCTCCTATAGGCAGTATTTAGTTGGATTGTATTTTAAAAATCCAGTGTGACAGTATTTGCCTTTGCTTGGAGTTTTAATCCATTTACATTTAATATTGAATTAGTAGGGTTGGGTTTACATCTGCCATTTCCCTTTTTGTTTTCCATATGTCTCATGCCTTCATTTTGTTCCTTTGCTGCTTTCTTTTGCATTGTGTATATTTTTAAATTCAACATTTTCATTTATTATCTTACCATCTGTAGCCGATTTCTTAGCCTGATGTAGCTTTGCTTCTACCCTCATCTTTTGTGGTGTTATTGGCAAATATATTACATACACATTACATTTCTATGTAGTATATGCCTATTCTATGCAATTGCTTTTCAGACTAGTTCTGGGAAGAAATAAGAATGTATCTGTACTGTATTTTATAATTACATAATTACCATTACCGGTGCACTTTGTTTTCTCATGTGGATATGAGTTGCTGTATGGAGTTCCTCGTTTTCAGCTGAAGAAGTTCCTTTAGTGTTTCTCATAAGGTGGGTTTGCTAACAAGAAGTTCAGATTTATTCATCTAGGAAAGTCTGTATTTTACCTTCATTTTTGAAAGATGGTCTTTGCTGGATATAGGATTTTTGGTTGAGAATTTTTTTTTCTTCATTGAGTGCTCTGATTGTGTTATTCCACTGCCTTCCGGCATTCATTGTTTTTACTGAGAGTCAGCTGTTAATCTTATTGGGGCTTCCTTTATAAGCTATTGGTCATTTTTCTCTTGTAGCTTTCAAGATTATCTCCCTGTCTTTGGTTGGTATAATAAAGATTACATCTGATCTTTTGTCTGTGGTTCCTGGCACAGAGGTTCAAAAACTCTTGGGATTTCCTGAGTGAGAAGAGTGTCCTCTTATGCTAATGAAGTGACTTGAAGTGGGCCCCTAGATAGCCTCGGGATGGGGGGTGGTTACCAGAAAGACAAACATGCAATTAGAGGGTTGGGATTTTCCAGCTGCCAGACTTCTGGGGATAAGAGAGGAACTGGAGACTGAGTGCAGTCATGTGGCCAATTATTTAACCAATTATGCGTACCTATTTAAACCCCAGTCACAACTCTGGATGCTGAAGCTTAGTGGAGCTTCCTGGTTGGTGAACACACTGGCGGGCTGGGTGAATGACACACCCTGATTCCCTGGGGAGTGGGCACAGCTCTGTGCTTCCTCCTGGAGGTCACATCGCATGTGTCTAAATTCGGTTGCTCTGTCACCCAGGCTGGAGTGCAGTGACACAATCTTGGCTCACTGCAACCTCCACTTCTCAGGTTTGCCCCAAGCAGTTCCCAGCTTGACTTTTCCATTTAGCTTAGTGATTTTGGAGTCCCAACATTTATTTTCCTTTCACAGAACTTATGTTAAAAGGGAAACAGGCGTCAAAGTTTGGAAACTTTGCAGCCTGACAAAGTAATAGAAAAGAAAAAGCTATTTTTGGGGGAGAAATTCAAGCCAGCTGCAGAAATTTGCGTTAAGTAGCAAGGAGCCAAATGTTAATCATCAAGACAATAGGGAAATTGTCTCCAGGGCATGTCAGAGACCTTTGGGGCAGCCCCTCCCATCACAGGCCTGGAGGCCCGGAGGAAAAAATGGGTCAGATGAGCCAGATCCAGGGCTCCCTTGCTATGTGTAGCCTGGTTCTTGGTGCCCTGTCTCCCAGCCGCTCCAGCCATGGGGAAAAGGTACCAAGGTACAGCTCAGGCCATTGTTTCAGAGTGTGCAAGCCCCAATCCTTGGCTGCTTCCACTTGGTGTTGGTCCTACGACTGCACCGAAGTCAAGAATTGAGGTTTGAGAACCTCTGGCTAGATTTCAGAGATGTATGGAAACACCTGGATGTCCAGAAAGAAGTTTGCTGCAGGGGCAGAGCACTCATGGAGAACCTCTGCTGGGCCAGTATGGAAGGGAAATGTGGGGTTGGAGCCCCCACAGAGAGTCCCCTCTGGGGCACTGTCTAGTGTAACTGTGAAAAAAGGGCCACCATCCTCAGATCCCAGAATGGTAGATCCACCGACAGTTTGCACCATATGCCTGGAAAAGCTGCAGACACTCAATACCAGCCATGAAAGCAGCTGGCGCCAGGGGGCCATACCCTGCAAAGCCACAGGGGTGGAGCTGCCCAAGGTGGTAGGAGCCCATCTCTTGCATCAGCACGAGCTGGTTGTGTGAGACATGGAGTCAAAGGAGATTATTTTGGAGCTTTAAGATGTGATGAGTGCCTCACTGGATTTTGGACCTGCATGGGGCCTGTAGCCCCTTTGTTTTGGCCAGTTTCTCCCATTTGAAGCAGGAACATTTACCCAATGTCTGTATCTCCATTGTATCTAGGAAGTAACTAGCTTGCTTTTGATTTTACAGGCTTATAGGCAAAAGGGACTTGCCTTGTCTCAGATTAGACTTTGGATTTGGACTTTTGAGTTAATGCTGAAATGAATTAAGACTTTGGGGAACTGTTGAGAAGGCATAATTGTGTCTTGAAAAGTGAAAAAAATGAGATTTGGGAGGGGCCAGGGGTGGAATGATACGGTTTGGCTGTGTGTCCCCACCCAAATCTCATCTTGAATTGTAATTCCCATAATCGCAATGTATCAAGGGCAGGACCTGGTGAGAGGTGATTGGATCCTGGGGGTGGTTTCCCGCATGCTATTCTTGTGATAGTGAGTGAGTTCTCATGAGATCTGATGGTTTTATAAGGGAGTCTTCCCCCTTCACTCATTTGCTCTCTGTCTTGAATGCTGCCATATTAGATATGCCTTTGCCTTTTGCCTTCCACCATTTTTGTAAGTTTCCTGAGGCCTTCCCAGCCATGTGGAACTGAGTCAATTAAACTGCTTTTCTTTATAAATTACCCAGTCTTGGGCAGTTCTTTATAGCAATGTGAAAATGAACTAATACACATATTATCTGTAGCAGTCTGTCTTCAAGTTCACTTAATTTTTTCTTCTCTAAATTAAAATGTACTGTAAAACCCCTCTAGTGAATATTTTATTTCATGTATTATACTTTTCATTTCTAGAAATTCCAGTTGGTTCTTTTTGATAATTTCTGTCTCTTTACTGGCATTCTCTCTTTGATGCAACATTGCCGTCGTACCTTCCTTTACATCTTTATCATACTTTCCTTTAGCTTTGTTAACATATTTATAATGGTTCTTTGAAGTCTTCTTCTGTTAAATCCACAGATCTGGCAGTTTGTGTTGCCTGCTGTTGTTTTCTGATGTATGGGTCTTCCTTTTTCTTTGGCTGCCTCAAAACTTTCTGTTGAAACAGGACACTTTATATATTTTATTTTTATTTTTTAACTTTAAGTTAAATAGTACAGGTGAAAGTTTGTTATATAGGTAAACTTGTGTCATGGGAGTTTGTTGTACAGATTATTTTGTCACCCAGGTATTAAGCCTAGTGCCCACTGGTTAGAAACTGGACATTTTGGATGATACATTGTAGCCACTCTGGGTACTGACTGTTCCCCCTTTCCCATTGTTGCTGTTGTTATTTGCCTCTTTATTTGCTTAGTGATTGGCTGGATTATTTTAGAGAAGTCAATTCTCCACCCTGCCCCCAGTGGTGTAATTTAGCTCCTGATGTGGCTTCTGGTGGGGCACGGCACTGTTGGGTGTGGCCCCTCTTACCTGGGATGATGGAGGTGTGGCAGGCTTTCTTCCTCTGTCCGTGACCGCATGCAGCTGCTAAATTCCAGTAATTGCTGCTGATTGCTGTATGGTTTAAAAAATGTCCTGGGGCATACATTGCTCTACAAATGAATCCAGTCAAATTGTGGCTTCTGTGAAGGAACAGTTTGAGGTCCCTGCTTGATATTTACTCTGACCCCAAGAAGGATCCTTCCAGCTGTCTTATTCCCTAGTTCTTCCCTGAAAGCCAGCAGCCTCAGGTCTCAAATCTTAGGCTTGTCTCAAATCTCCTTCTGATATGGCTTGGCTCTGTGTCCCCATGCAAATCTCATCTAGAATTGCAATCCCCATGTGTTGAGGGAAGGAAGTGATTGGATTATGGGGGCAGTCTCCCCTACACTGTTCTCATGATAGTGAGTGAGTCTCATGAGATCTGATGGTTTTAAAGTGGCAGTTCTTCCTGTGCATGCTCATACTCCCTCCTGCTGCCTTGTGAAGAAGGTGCCTGCCTCCCCTTTGCCTTCCGCCATGATTGTAAGTTTCCCAAAGCTTCCCAGCCATGCTTCCTGTTAAGCTTGCAGAACTGTGAGTCAATTAAACCTCTTTCCTTTATAATTACCCAGTCCCAGGTATTATTCTTTATAGCAGTGTGAGAATGAACTAATACCTCCCCATTGCACTTCACCACAGACTCCAGTGTTCCTAAGAGCTCCCTTATGTTTAAGCTTCTCTACACTCTGTGCAAATGAAGTGGGCTCCTTTGGAAAGAGATTTTGTCTTCCACAGCTCTGAAGGTTAGTGCTGGTCCATAGCTGTCTGCTTTATGTCCTGCTTCTCCACCAGGGACATCTCTCAGCCAAGACTCTGGAGCTGGGGATGGGGACAAAGGCAAGCTGCTCTCCGAGTGACAGTCCTGCTCTGGGAACTGAGCATTTGCCGTAGTGGGGAGTCGTATCAGCTTGCTTCTCCTGGGGTGGAACCGTCACCTCTCGAGCCCAGGAAGGGTGATCAGGGCTCCACTGTTTGCAGTGCAGCACATGCACAGCAGCGCCTCCTTCCCGGGAGTGGGGCTGGAACAAGGGAGTCCTCACCTCTGTGTAGCATTCAGCTGCGGCTTAGTGTCAGCCACAGGCAGCTGGGGACGGCATGTGAGAAGCTGAAGTCCAGTTCCTCCTGGGATGAAAGTCGTTCCACTTGGAGCTGGAGTGAGAGGGAGCCTGTGCTGTTGGCTGTGGCTGATCTGAGTGGATTCTCCTCCCCTCCCCCCGCTGCCGAGCTGGGAGGGTAAATGGTCTTGTTTGCTCATCTTTTGTACCAAATGTTTAAGAATTTTCATGAATAGATATTTCTTCACTTACTATGTGCCCTTGGGAGCATTTCCAGAGATCCTATGTGTGTTTTTTGTTGTTTAAATAATTTCAATTTTCTTACAGCAAAAACAGGGAAATCTGGAGTATTCGTTTCTTGAAAAAATAGTGTTCATGTGGCTCTGCCCCTCTGTCTTTGTGGCAGTGGAAAGCGGCCATGGCTGAATGGGTGAGGAGAAAGAGGACACCCAGACCCCCAGCCATTAGGCCACAGTGATGTCCATGCCCACATTTCCAGATAGCTCCCACTACCCTGCTGCTTAGGGACCCTGTCCTGGCTGGCACTGGGTGAAGCTAGCAAGTTGATATCTACGTGCCGACTTTGGGTGTGATTTGAGGGTTTGTGTGTCTGCCTACGTGCTGACTTTGCGTGTGATTTGAGGGTTTGTGTGGCTGCCTCTGGACCCTGCAGTTTGAGAGTTTTTCATGTTCATCGGAGGGTGTTTACACAGCAGCTCACGATTTCTCTTCTGGTATACACAAGCCTGGGCTGTGAGAGTAATCATTTTTCTTACAGTTCTCAATCTAAAGCCTCAGTGAAGCACTGACAGATGGCATTGGTTTCTGTTGGCCATGCGTTCCTGCTGCTGTGGCTGGAGATCTTCATGGCCTTCATGGGAAATGGCTGGA
The DNA here is from genome assembly GCF_000001405.40 of Homo sapiens. NCBI lineage: Eukaryota > Metazoa > Chordata > Mammalia > Primates > Hominidae > Homo > Homo sapiens. The sequence continues at coordinate 505,586 of NC_000008.11, read as the reverse complement.
AGTTGATGGAGGCTGACATTGGCTCCTGGCCATGGGTTAAGTTCCCGTCTGAGGTATTTCTAGCAACCTTCCTGCACCTGCAGTCTGGATTTCGGTTCGCAGTAGTCATGGATTATGTTTCTTCATTGGGATTGCTTGTTCTAGTTTTATAAAAACAGAAGAGAAATTTTACACATCTTCAATATTATGGAAAACAATATTTACCCTTTAACAGGATCCTTCCCACCCCTGTTTCACAAGACTCATATTGAACCTGTTATTAAAACTGCTTTAGCACTTGGTGGAAGAGGTATTTGTGGACTTGTACAGTTAATGCACTTACGGAATTAATCCTTTTCAGTTCTTAACAAACCTGCTGAACAAAAGAATATTTGTACCAAGGGTGGCTATAGCTGTTTTAGGTCTGTGGGTCCGTTTGCAGGTAGGCAGTGTTGAGAATTTTTGGTTTTAGATTACATAAGTAATTCCAAATGTGGTAATTAATGTTTGTTTTTATCAGGCATACAAAATTATCTGAAGGTTATGTGTATTGTTTTTGTAAATTGAATATGAAGTCATCATGTATGAAATATTTTTATTTCATCAAAATACTTTGTTAAAAACGGTGTGGGAAGTAAAAGTTCCCTTTCCCTGTTCCCCAAATCTTTCCAAATATGTATCTTAAAAAGGACATAGGTAGAAGTTTTTCAGAATGAGAAATGATTAATAATGCCTCTCATGGGCTTAGAATGAATTTATAAGTCTGGGTTCCGAAATGTGAATGAGCAGAGAGCACAAGTTCATTTGTCTCGATGACTGTTTTGAATGCCAGTTTCTGGTGTGTTCAAACTTAACTGGCATCAAGATCTTCAGATTGACTATTGTGAAATAAATGGCAAAGTCTGTTGACCCAAATTGTAACCTGGTGATTCTTACAAGAATTGCCAGTTCACCAAACAGGGCTGGAGTGCTGACTTCTTATTCCCAAAACTGCAGATATTGAACATGAGTGGTTTTACGGTTTGCACTGTCTGCGAATCACGGTTTGTGGCAGAGCCCAGAGTCTGCCTCTTTGAACATTCTGCAAACTGGATCCACCCTGCAGGGTAGGGGGCTCCGTTCTCGTTTCACTTGGTGAGTGGGTTTCTTAGGGGCTCCTGGACTGCTCTAGGCCCTTCCCCTGCCTCCCCCCACTGACTTCAGGACTCTTGAAGTGAATGCTTTATTGCTGCACCCCCAGGTTAAAACTCAGGGAAAAAGAAAACACTACCCAAAACATGCTGTCTGGAGCATATCAAAGGAAACACAAGACCCAGTGCTGCAGTGGGGCCTTTTTTGAGGCCAGTCCTCCGTTTGTTTTTAAAAGATATGTTTGCAGAAATTAACAGGAGGAAAAACAACTCCTGGAGGTCACACAGCTGGCATCTGACAGATGAGGGGACTGAGCAACCAGTGACAGGGCTGCGGTCAGAACCCAGGGCAGGCTCAGGTGGACTGGGTTCCGACACGTGGCTCTGGATTCCGTGTTGGTGCTTGCTGAGGTGGGTGTGGGTTACCCTTTTGTGGCTCTGGATTCCGTGTTGGTGTGTGCTGAGGTGGGCATTGGTTCCAGTGTGTGGCTCTTGATTCCATGTTGACTTGTGCTGAGGTGGGCATTGGTTCCATTGTGTGGCTCTGGATTCCATGTTGGTGCGTGCTGAGGTGGGGGTGGGTTACCCTTGTGTGGCTCTGGATTCCGTGTTGGTGTGTGCAGAGGTGGGCATTGGTTCCAGTGTGTGGCTCTTGATTCCATATTGACGCGTGCTGAGGTGGGCATGGGTTCCAGTGTGTGGCTCTGGATTCCGTGTTGATGCGTGCTGAGGTGGGCACGGGTTCTGATGTGTAGCTCTGGATTCCATGCTGGTGTGTGCTGATGTGGGCGTGGATTCCGTGTTGGTGTGTGTTGAGGTGGGCATTGGTTCCAGTGTGTGTGGCTCTGGATTCCGTGTTGGGTGCGTGCTGAGGTGGGTACAGGTTCTGATGTGTGGCTTTGGATTCTGTGTTGATGCATGGTGAGTGGGCATTGGTTCCAGTGTGCTGCTCTGGATTCCGTGTTGGTGTGTGCTGAGGTGGGCACGTGTTCCGATGCATGGCTCTAGATTCCGTGTTGGTGCGTGCTGAGGTGGGCACGGGTTCCAATGCGTGGCTGTGGATTCCGTGTTGACGCGTGCAGAGGTGGGCATTGGTTCTGATGTGCAGCTCTGGATTCCATGTTGACACGTGCTGAGGTGGGCATTGGTTCCAGTGTGTGACTCTGCATTCCATGTTGGCGTGTGCTGAGGTGGACGTGGGTTGCCCTAGTGTGGCTCTGGATTCCATGTTGGTGTGTGCTGAGGTGGGCATTGCTTCCAGTGTGTGGCTGTGGATTCTGTGTTGGTGCGTGTTGAGGTGGGCATGGGTTCTGATGCGTGGCTCTGGATTCTGTGTTGACACATGCTGAGGTGGGCATTGGTTCCAGTGTGTGGCTTTGGATTCCATGTTGACACATGCTGAGGTGGGCACAGGTTCTGATGTGTGGCTCTGGATTCCGTGTTGTTGCATGCTGAGGTGGGCATTGGTTCTGATGTGCGGCTCTGTATTCTGTGTTGACGTGTGCTGAGATGGGCATTGGTTCCAGTGTGTGGCTCTGGATTCAATGTTGACACGTGCTGAGGTGGGCACAGGTTCTGATGTGTGGCTCTGGATTCCGTGTTGGTGCATGCTGAGGTGGGCATTGGTTCTGATGTGTGGCTCTGGATTCTGTGTTGACATGTGTTGAGGTGGGCATTGGTTCCAGTGTATGGCTCTGGATTCCATGTTGATGCATGCTGAGTTGGGCATGGGTTCCATTGTGTGGCTCTGGATTCTGTGTTGATGTGTGCTGAGGTGGGCATGGGTTCCGGTGTGTGGCTCTGGATTCCGTGTTGATGTGTGCTGAGGTGGGCATTGGTTCCAGTGTGTGGCTCTGGATTCCATGTTGACACGTGCTGAGGTAGGCGTAGGTCCCACTGCATGGCTCTGGGTTCCATGTTTGTGTGTGCTGAGGTATGCCTAGGTCACCCGAGCTAGTTTTTTGAGTCAGACTGTGTTCAGGCAGGCTGGGGGTCAGATCAGCAGCCCCTCTGGTGGGAGCCTGGTCTCGCTATGGCCGCCTAGCCCCACCACACCCTGAAGGGTCGTTGGCCTGGCACCCTGCAATTTGGTGAACACGGCTGCGGGCCTTCCTGTGGCCTGATGGGTCTCATCTGATGACTGTGGGATTTGGTCTCACAGTTTGACTTGGATGTCAGGACTGGGTTCATCAACCAATGTTTTCCAGAATGGCCAGTTTCTCAATAGCTTCAGTGTGTTTAAAGATAAGTTCACTGTGAGTTCCCAAATTTAGAAGGGATGAAAGAAGACTAAGCTGTTCTGTGCCTTTTTGTTGTACGTAATTGAAACCTTAGCCTGTTGGGGGCACTGTGTTTTGTGTTCCCAGGATCACAGCATTTTCACAGTATTCAGGAAGGTGGGAGGTGGTAGCCAATGGCGATGCCAAGAAGAGGCCTGGGGCCTGTGCTTTCACTCTTCCCAGAGTCCTCCCTCACCACGTCACCACCCCCAGAACAGCTTTAAGACACTGAATGCCAGCGCTAAGCCTTTGTCCAGAACTGTTCTGGGGGTGGGCTTTGGAGAGGGTGGGTCAGGGTCATGCACAGCTCCTTCCATGTTCCCCTCATCTTCACAAAGAGCTGTATTTCTGGGCCCATGACTGCAGGGACGCCAGTGCCCTGTGGTTGATAACGGCAAACCGTCTGTACTGAGTCCCATGCTGGCCCTGCACATGGTCACCCTGCTGTGATGCAGTGTTCCTGATGAGAAATTGGGATACCTGGCTTAAGAAAGGTTTCTAATTTTTCCTGACCTATGACTTTAAATACCTTTAAAACGTATAGCAGGAAAGGTCCGGGCGCGGTGTCTCACGCCTGTAATCCCAGCACTTTGGGAGGCTGAGGCGGTTGGATCGCTTGAGGGCAGGAGTTCGAGACCAGCCGGGCCAACATAGTGAAACCCTATCTTTACTAAAAATACAAAAATTAGCTGGGTGTGGTGGCCATCGCCTGTAATTCCAGCTACTCAGGAGGCTGAGGCAGGAGAATTGCTTGAACCTGGGAGGTGGATGTTGCAGTGAGCCAAGATCACACCACTGCACTCCAGCCTGGGCAACAGAGAAAGACTCCATCTCAAAAAGACAAAACAAAAGAAGTATACCAGGAAATTTGCTTTATAATGAAATACTAAAATTACATGGACTCTGGACTGAACTGGTAGGTGCAGGTTATGTGGCATGCAGTGAGCTGACCCGAGCATTACGCTCATGTTTTTTTTGTTTGTTTGTTTTTTTGAGATGGAGTCTCACTCTGTCGCCCAGGCTGGAGTGCAGTGGCGCGATCTCAGCTCACTGCAAGCTCCACCTCCTCGGGTTCACGCCATTCTCCTGCCTCAGCCTCCAGAGTAGCTGGGACTACAGGCGCCCGCCATCACGCCCGGCTAATTTTTGTATTTTTAGTAGAGACGGGGTTTCACCGTGTTAGCCAGGATGGTCTCGATCTCCTGACCTTGTGATCCACCCACCTTGGCCTCCCAGAGTGCTGGGATTACAGGTGTGAGACACCGCGCCCGGCCTGCTCATGTTCTTGTTAACCCTCTTGCTGGATTCTGTCCTTCACAGGTACTGTGGTGTAACACTTCCTGGTCTTGCCCACATTACTGGGTTGGTCTTAGGTGTCACTGTTCAGCCTTGCTGTGCTATTTCCTGCCCTGGTTGTCAGGACCCAGAGTTGCAGGGAGCAGCCTGGAGGCTTTCTCCCAGGGCCGGAGTCCGATACACCTGCCCTTCCTGTGGCAAAAGGAGAAATTTCCATCTGCTTTATTGGGATAATTCAGAACTTAATGCTTGAATTTTACATTTAATGAAAAATAGGAGAAAACGCAAATGACACTGTATCTTGGACATTTTGTTTAAGATTTCAAGATTACAAATTGTGAGATTAAGTATGAAGGATGGCACTTCTGAGAGTGTCACTTGGTTAGATGAGGATCTCTTTTCTGATTACAGGAGGTGAAGATTGGCAGGTTCAGTTCTTCTAAACAAGGCCTTCAGGGTTGCCACACCCAAGCTCTGTGCTCATGGACAGGATCTGGACGTGCGCACTGGTGGGGCCTGCCGATGAGGTTTATTGCTCCCTGTGTATTCAATGCCAGCCAGAGGTCCTGGCCTCTCTGCACATTTTTGATAAGACACTGCCGTTTAACCTAACAGGAATAATTTTGGTAAATTATGGATATTAATTTTCTTTACAATATTGCATAGATTTTCTTCATGAAACATGAAGCACTTTTTTACAACTAAGGTATAGCTAAAACAGGAAAAATAATTTTTCGTTGTTTTGTGCAGGAACTTACTTTCTCATTTCTGTGGCCTAACTTCTTGGTCATTACCAGCGTTTTACGGCACATCTCATCTGTCTTCATTGTTTTGGATGTCACTTTCTCTCTGAATTGAATCCTAGTTTTAAGAATGTTTTACCATCATTCTTCTTGGTCCTCAAGAGGTGTTTAGGTTTTTTCTGCCTTCCCATAGAACACTCTACAGGGCTTTTCCCGTGGAAGAGGAGAACTTTCTTCATGCCCCATACCATGAGCAGCACTTAGGCTGTCGCCACCTAAGATTTTGTCCACCTCAGGACAATGTCCATGTCCTTCCTGGGCCCTTCAGGAACTCCACCTCAAGGGCCAGCCTTGCTGGCTACAGGAGCAGAGTGCTCAGGTGAGGACTTTCCCTCCTGTCCTTCCCGGGGGATGCTCAGAGGGAAATGTGGGAGACTTCAGGTGAAGACCGAGATATCTGGTTTTGATGGATTCTTTCTGCCCGCATAGTGGATGAGTGGAGGAGTGGCCTCACAGCACTCCTCACGCTCACACTTCGATCATGTCTGTTTGTGCACCTTCTAGGACTCCAACCTCTTCTAATTGCTCACCTGGCAGTAGAGAGGGATTCCCTTACTTGTTCTCCATGGAGGTGCATGTTAGAGCAGGGGCTCAGGAAGCTGGTGGTGGGATGGAGTCCCAGCTCCAGGGTCATCTGATGGGATGTGCAGCAGCCACCCAGGTGCTACAGGGACAGTGGTGTGGTTAGTGGAGACCACACAACTGGAAATGTGGGTTCTACTGCCAGCCCAGCGTGGTGTTCAAAGGGTGGAATTCCTGGAAAATTGTATGCAGAAATGGGAGATTAAGGCATTCTTGTAAGGAAGTAGGCCAGGCCACCAGCCTGGGTAACAGAGAGACCCTGCCTCCAAAAACAAAACAAAACAAAACAAAAACGTTGTTTGAAGTTCATAAACTAGAGACTATTTTTTTGGCATCTTATTCCTAATAATTTCAATGGAAACACTAGGTAATAATTTATATTTCAATAATTCTCATTTCCTGTTGATTTTCCTTATGATACCAGAAATGGAATCTTAGGGGAATCACCTTGTATTAGTCCATTTACACACTGCTGTAAAGAACTACCTGAGACTGGGTAATTTATAAAGAAAAGAGGTTTAATTGACTCACAGTTCCATGTGGCTGGGGAGGCCTCAGGAAACTTACGTAAGGAGGTGAAGGGAAAACAAGGCACATCTTACTTGGTGGCAGGAGAGAGAGAGAGAGAGAGAACAGGGAGGTGCCACACACTTTTAAATGATCAGATCTTGTGAGAACTCACTATCACAAGAACAGCAAGGGGGAAATCCGCTTCCATGATCCAGTCACGTCCCACCAGGTCCCTTCCCTGACATGTGGGGATTATAGTTTGACACAAAATTTGGGTGGGGACACAGAGACAAACCACATCATTCTGCTCCTGGCCCCTCCCAAATGTAATGTTCTTCTTACATTTCAAAACCAGTCATGCCTTCCCAACAATCCCCCAAAATCTTAACTCATTCCAGCATTAACTCAAAAGTCAAATCCAAAGTCTCATCTGAGACAAGGTAAGTAGTCTCATCTAAGACAAGGTAAGTCCCTTCTGCCTATAAGCCTGTAAAATCAAAAACAAGTTAGTTACTTTAAAGACACAATGGAGGTGCAGGCGTTGGGTAAATGCACCCACAACAAAAGGGAAAAATTGGCCAAAACCAAGGGGCTACAGTCTGAAACCCAGCAGGGCAGTCATTAAATCCTAAAGTTCCAAAATAATCCCTTTACATGCCATGTCTCATATCCAGGGCATGCTGATGCAAGGGGTGGGCTTCCAACGCATTGGGCATCTCCACAGACCCTGTGGCTCTGCAGGGTACAGCCCCATTTGATTTCTTTCATGGGCTGGCATTGAGTGCCTGTGGCTTTTTCAGGTGCATGGTTCGAGTTGTTGGTGGATCTACCATTCTGAGAAGACGGTGGCCCTCTTCTCACAGCTCTACTAGGCAGTACTCCAGTGGGGACTTGGTGTGGGGGTTGCAACCCCACATTTCCCTTGCATGCTGCCCTAGTGGAGGTTCTTCTTGAGGGCTCTACCCTTGCAGCAGATTTCTGCTTGGATGTCCAGCCATTTCCATACCTCCTCTGAAATCGAGGCAGAGGCTCCCAAACTCCTGCCTTCTGTGTACTTTCAGGCCCAATACCATGTAGAAACCACCAAGGCTTGGGCTTTGCACCCTCTGAAGTCATGGCTGGAGCTATACCTTGGCCCCATTTAGCCACTGCGGGAGGTGGAGCGGCTGGGACACAGGACACCATGTCCAGAGGTGCACAGTGAAGCAGGACCCTGGGCCTGGCCCAGAAAACCATTTTTCCCTCCTAGGCCTCTGGACCTGTGATGGGAGGGGCTGCCATGAAGGTCTCTGAAATGCCCTGGAGACATTTTCCCCATTGTCTTGACAATTAACATTGGCTCTTCTTTACTTATGCAAATTTTTGCAGCTGGCAGCTTGAATTTCTTCCCAGAAAGGGTTTTCTTTTCTACCATTTGCAGGGTCAGGCTGCAAATTTTCCAAACTTGTATGCTCTGCTTGCCTTTTAAACATAAGTTCCAATTTCAGACCATCTCTTTGTGAACACATATGACTGTATGCTGTTAGGAGCACCCAGGCCACATGTTGAACCCTTTGCTGCTTAGAAATTTCTTCTGCCAGATATCCTAAATCATCTCCCTCTAGTTCAAGGTTCCACATATCTCTTGGGCAGGGGCAAAATGCCACCAGTCTCTTTGCTAAGGCAAAGCAAGAGGGACCTTTACTCCAGTTTCCGATAAGTTCCTCATCTCCATTTGAGACTACCTAATCCTGGACTTCATTGTCTGTATCACTGTCAGCATTTTGGTCAGAACCATTCAACAAGTCTCTAGGAAGTTCCAAACATTCCCACATCTTCCAGTCTTCTTCTGGACCCTCCAGACTATTCCAGCCTCTGCCCCATTACCCAGTTCCAAAGACACTTCCACGTTTTCAGGTATCTTTATAGCAGTACCGCACTCCTCTCGTACCAATTCTCTGTGTTAGTCTGTTTTCACACTGCTATAAAGAACTACCTGAGACTGCATAATTTATAAAGAAAAGAGGTTGACTTACAGTTCTGTATGGCTGGGGAGGCCTAGGAAACTTACAGTCATGGCAGAAATGGAAGCAAGGCACATCTTATGTGGCAGCAAAGCTAGGCATGTCTTACATGGCGGCAGGATAGAGAGAGAGAAAAGACAGGTGCCACACACTTTTAAATGATCAGATCTCATGAGAACACCAAGAGGAAAATCTGCCCCCATGATCCAGTCATCTCCCACCAGGTCCCTCCCCTGACACATGGGGATTATGGTTTGACTTGAGACTTGTGTGGGGACACAGAGCCACACCGTATCACACCTTTAGGACATGCAGGTGGTGTGTGGAGCAAATAGCATCTGAAGGTGGTGACGACAGCTTAAAGGAAGGGGTGGGCAGTCCATGGAGGGGTGAGGCACAGGCTTGTGGTGTTGGGACACAGCAGGCCTGGGAATGGGGAACATAACAACTTGGCAGTGAGACATTAGCTCAAGCCTTGGCTTTGCTTCCTGGCCATTTGTGTGAGCTAAGTTCCCCAAGGTCACGAAGCTTCACTGTGTCTGTCTCATGGGGCATTGCTCAGAGTGAGGGACGTGGTAGGTGGAGATTGCATTGCACAGTGCTGGGCACATAGTGACTGCACATGGTCCTTCCTCCAGAGTCCAGATGGGTTAGCCTCTAGAATTATGTTCTTAATTGAGACTTCTTGATAGGATCCTGCCACATGCTCTGTCATGCCATGGGCCCTGCGCATCAGACGTAATCCTTTACCTGATGTGCATACAAGTGTGCCAAAGCTGTCAGCATGACATGGGTTGTGTGATCGGTTTTTGTGCAGTGTGTGATGTGGAAAGCTGATACCTGATGCTCAGTGTTTTTTGCTGTGATGGTTTCTTTGGTAGGTTTTTGTGCAGTGTGTGATGTGGAAAGCTGATACCTGATGCCCAGGGTTTTTGTTGTGATGGTTTCTTTGGCGTGGGTACTGCCATCATACTCCTATCCCAGTATCTGATTCATAAACGCCTCTCCAGTCACAACTGTTGGAGGGCCTGTCCCCCGTCTACAGATGCAGACCTCTGCCCAGACAGGGAGTTGAGAGTCTGGCCTATGGGAAGTAAAAGTGGGACCCCTTAGTCCCTGGTTAGTTTTCAGGGTCATCTCTGCCCTTTGCCCCTTCCTGAGGCTGTGTTACACCCTGGAGACCCCCAGACATTGCACCTGGCAATCACTGGGTCACCTCAAAGGGTTGATTGAATTGTATTCATTATCCTTGTCTCGGATCAGTGTCATGCTGCAGCCTCAGGTCAGCTTTCAGGATTGCTTTATTTTTGTATTATATTTTTAACAACGCAAAGTATTCTAAAGCTGGCTCTACCCCGTGAGAGACCCTTCCCAGCCCTAGCAATGTGATGATGAACCCTGGGAAATGTTAATCAGTGAATATGAAGGGCCTTCGACACACGCCGGATTTTCAGATGGTTTTCTCCATTCTTCTTAGTAATGGATTTCGTTGTATCCAAGATGGTATTAATTATATCTTGATGTCAGAAATGAAAAAATTGTACAAAATCATTTGTTTACAGTCAACAAAATTATTTCTTCTCAGAAATCTACACTTGTAGAAGTTAGGGCAAGGGTCACTGTCTCCATGGAGATGCTGACGCTTAAAGGTAGTGGCACAGTTGTTCCAGGGGACCTTGGAGAAGACCCCCTTCTAGGGGACCTCTTGTAACAACCTTCTCAAAGGTCAGTCTCCTATGTGTTTTGTTGTTGTTGCTGTTGTTTGTTTTTTGAGATGGGGTCTTGCTCTGTTGCCCAGCCTGGAGTGCAGTGGTGAGATCACAGTTCTCTGCAGCCTTGACCTCCTGGGTCTCAAGTGATCCTCCCACCTCAGCTTCCTGAGTATCTGAAACTACAGGTTTGCACCACCATACCTGGCTAAGTTTTTGTATTTTTTGTAGCAACGGGGTCTCACTTTGTTCCCCAGGCTGGTGTTGAACTCCTGGGCTCAAGTAATCCTCCTGCCTTGGCTTCCTAAAGTGCTGGGATTTCAGGTATGCGCCACCATGCCCAGCCCAATCTCCCAAGTTTTAAGGAGACCTAATTCTTATTTGTGAGGGAAGCTTCGTCTGATTTTAAGCATCACTTTCATAAGCTTTTTGAGGCAAAATATTGACTTGTCTAATACTAAATTTAGATTACTCAGCATCACTGATAAGCTGTTAAGCTGTTAGGACCACAATACCAAAACAGCTGAGATGACTAGTAGCTAATGGGAGTAAACTATGTGCGCACAGGTATGGAAAGCTAAGATGTAAGCTCTGCCAATTCTTTTTTCTAAATTTCAACTCCATGGTTATTGGAGTAGAAAGCGGAATTCTGTTGATTCATGACATCAGATTTGACATTTTTCTTAACCTTTTATTAGGTTCAGGGAGCAAGTTTCCGAGGTTGGAAAGAAGTGACTTCACTGTTTAACAAAGATGATGAGCAGCATCTCCTGGAAAGATGTAAATCTCCCAAGTCCAAAGGGTAAGTCATAACTGTGTAAGAAAATGATCATTTCAGGAGAGGGAGGAAGTCACTGAGGAGGTGGAAATGAAGATTTGATGGCATAAATGCAGTGTAACTGGAGGCATTGTGGGGCGCGGCGAGTCCATGTTTCCCTCCCCACTCCGTCTGTCCCTGTTGAGTGGCAGACGGTCATGGACTTCATGATGTGTGCTTCGGAGTTAACATCCATCCCTTGTGAATAAACAGAAATGGGCTGGGCATGGTGGCTCATGCCTGTAATCCCAGCACTTTGGGAGGCCAAGGCAGGCAGATCACAAGGTCAGGAGTTCAAGACCAGCCTGGCCAACATGGTGAAACCCCGTCTATACTAAAAAAAAAAAATCAGAAATTAGCTGGACATGGTGGCATGTGCCTATAATCCCAGCTACTCGGGAGGCTGAGGCAGGAGAATTGCTTGAACCTGTGGGAGACGGAGGCAACAGAGCAAGACTCTGTCTCAAAAAAAAAAAAAAAAAAAACAACAGAAATGAGTTGTGGTGTTCGATGAAAAAAAAAGAAACTGTACTTTGGATAAAAGGTCCTGAGGGTCTCTGTTGGCATTTTGAAAGGTTATGGAAAAGTGGAAAATAACTTAGAATTATAAATTGAACTTATTAGCCTTAAAGCAGCCTGTAGCCTCACTTAAGATTTTTAGTAGTTTCAGAAAAAAACCAAACCAAAACAAAACAAAAACAACCACCACCAAAAAAAACACTGTTAAAAATACAAAGGATTGACTGGTAAACTGTAAAAGATTTTAGAGAATTGAATACATTTAAACTGACCTTGCTACTTTATCATCAGTGTTTCAGAATTTTTAAAAAGTGTAAAGTTGAAAATGTAAGTTCAGTGACTACCCAATGATATTACCAATGGCATATTTGCTCCGTGTTATGGAAGCTGTTTGATTAGAAGATGAGTCCTGGTGAGTCTACAAGTACAGAGTTGGCTTTTGTTTGAGGACTGTGGGCCCCCGGTCTGCTTCTCTGCACTTCTGTGCACTGAGGACAGACACATGGCCCTTCGTGCTCTGGCGGAGCTGTGACTTCACCTTCATCCTTCATCTGTAGAGGATGGGTAAACCGGTTCCCTGGTTGTCAGGCGACCTGCTAATACATCAGCATCTGGAAGGAGAGGGCCTGGGCACTGGTGTTCTTAACAATGTTCCCAGGTGATGCTCGCGGACAGTCAGGGTGAAGAGTAGTTTAGGATCTTTCTTCCCTAGCTGTCGCTTGCTACCATTTCCTTTTTATAGTAGATGGTGTTCTGAATTCTTATTTTTGTTGAGTAAATTACCTACTAAATGCTTGACCTTACCTTGCTGTGTTAATCCAATTGAAAACCTATTTGATAAATTGAATAGATTTCCCTTGTTTCTTAATCTAGACCCTGGATTCTCATAGATCTGATTTGCTCAAAATCTTGAGTACCACCTTCCTATTGCCTTGAGGTTCTCTCTTGTGTGATAATACTTCTTTCTTGTCAGAACTAGTTCTTTGCTTATGTATTGCCAAGTGGTGTCCTAAAATGTGGCTTTTACACACTTCATTAACAACATATAGTGACTAATTTTTCCTTAATTTTAATATTTGAAACTTTTCATATAGACTTGTGTTAGTTTTCTAAACAATTTTTTAAAATTTTAAAGAATTTTATGTTTGTAAAATGGATAAAGCTTGAGGCCCTAAGACCTGGGTCACCAACACCTAACTCTTTCATCTCCTATAGAACTAACTTACGATTAAAAGAAGAGTTGAAGGCAGAGAAGAAATCTGGATTTTGGGACAATTTGGTTTTAAAACAGAATATACAGTCTAAAAAACCAGATGAAATTGAAGGTTGGGAGCCTCCAAAACTTGCTCTTGAAGACATATCGGCTGACCCTGAGGACACCGTGGGTGGCCACCCATCCTGGTCAGGCTGGGAGGATGACGCCAAGGGCTCGACCAAGTACACCAGCCTGGCCAGCTCTGCCAACAGCTCCAGGTGGAGCCTGCGCGCGGCAGGGAGGCTGGTGAGCATCCGACGGCAGAGTAAAGGCCACCTGACAGATAGCCCGGAGGAGGCGGAGTGAGGGGGGCTGCGTGGCAAGTGTGCCCCGACATGGTGGCCTTTTATGAGTATACCATGTAGTTGTTGAGTCTTTTCCGCGTTAGAAAGAATAGAGAGTCTACTTTTTGCCTATATTTGATATTTGGACCTCTGTTTCTTTATTTAATGAACTCTCACACACACTGTGACTCCTTGGTGAACACGTGCAGGGATTGTACATTTGATTGCCTTATTGCAGAAATATTCACCTATCAGTCCATGTTTTGCAGAAACTGGAGATGTGAATTTATGATGCTCTCCCATAATACAGCAGTAATGATTTGCAGTTTCTCACAAAATGATTTTCATGCTGCTCTGTGTTGTAGTTCTGTTTCAGAACTTCCGTACCTTTTTCTTGTATGTAGCACGTATAAATGCAGCTGTCATGCAGTTCTTTTCTTTTGCTAGAAAATTAGTCAGGAGGTAAGATGAATCTTCCAAAGTTATGTTAAATTTTGTTTAACTTGACAAATTAAACTTTGTTCTTATTAAACAAATACGTAAACAAATACTGGAAAAGCAAAGCTTATATTTGGGAGTAAAATGTATCTTAAAATGCATGTTCATCTTTTGCTGAGGGAGGAATAGCTTCTTGTATGTCCACTGGATAGTAACAGTGGTTCTTTTTTGGAATTTTATTTTTACCTCTTTTGAACTTCTAAATCGGTCCCTTTATTTTCTTAAAACATTTGCTCTCTTTTTTGTTTACAGATTAAAGAAGTATGGATCAATTTTAGTCAGTTGATAATTTCATTTAGGAAACATTGTCTTGCTCATTATAGAGAGTTAAGACTGTGCATAAAATACTGAAGTGCCTCTTTTTTATTAGGCTCATATGTTTGTTCTTGCAAAGCGAGATGCCTATTGTGATTGGTGTTAGATCTGTAAGAAGCTGTGTTTTTTCCACAAGAATAATCGACGACCGGTTTGAGAGCATCTCTCGCGTTCTTTTTCTGTCTGCTTACTGTCCTTGACAATGTGATCCTGCACAGTATCAGGTGCCAGTTATGCGTCCCTGGAAGGTTGGCTCTTATCAGCAAGTCCTGCAGATATCTCTTAGATAAAAGTGGTTTGAAAGAAAAGGTATATTTTTCTTTTTTGTTTAAAAGTAAAATAAAACCTCCAGTTACACTGTGCATTCCCCTCACGTAAAAACAAGACAAAAACCCTTTCCTGAGTTGCTCGGCATGCACTCCTGTGCTGTTTCATGCATGTGGATGTTCCTTCCGTTTGTTCCTGTGGAATAACTGAGTGTGCCTGATGGCAGAACACACTGCAGTGTTATCAGTGTCTGCATGTTTTTTAATAGAACAGGTTTACTTGATCTGTCATCTGTTATGCAAAAAACAGCAATTACTTTTGCATCCATCTAGCTAAATCTATAATCTGTGTCAATCACTTATACCTATCAATCATCCGTATCTATTCACCTGTCCTCTATGTCTGTCTTCTCTCAGTCTACATCCATCTAGCCTTCTGTCAATCATCTACTTTTTTTTTTAATAGAACAAGAAGTTTACTTATCAAGTCTTGAAAGGGGGACATGTTTCAATTGGTGTTCAAACAAAAATTCCAGCTTGTATTAGAACCTTGAAATGGTGAAGTTGTGGAGGTTTTCTTTGTTCCATAATACAGAGACAAGTTCATAATTTTTAGTATAACAGCTAAGTTGACAAATTCTAAGTTTCCTCAGGTAAATAGTCATAACTGTCCTTTTCCCTAGAGAAGTGCTTGCTGGGATAGTAAAAACATACACCATTTCATGACTTCTGCAAATACTTTCCAGCGGAAGTCAGTGTAGGTTTGTTTTTGGCTAACATGGTCTTGCTGCGCAGGAATGTAAACACTGTGTTTGAAACTCTGGAAATCACGTGTGTGGGGAGATGGGGACGCTTCCCATGTTGTGGGGAGCTCTGTGGCTGTGATGGCTGCAGTTGCCGTGCCTCTGTTGGAACGCTAAGTGCCTGCAACTCACGTCAATCATAGAATTGTGACGCACAGTTGGCAAAATAGTTCTTTATGCTATTTCTCAAAATTTGAGGACAAACCCAGATTGGGATTGGAATATGCACTGTAAATCAAATTTTTCTTATCTACAAAGACTAATGTAAAAATGATTTTTTCTTCTGTGCCTGATTAAATTAACTGTGGTTTTTAATATAAATATTTATTGGTGTGCTTTGGGAGAAAAATTATCTTTTCTTGAAAGAAGTTATCAAAGCAAATTTATTATCTTCACAAGTTAATGGGAGAATGTGGTTTTGATTCTGGGTGTTTGAATTGTGTAAACACACAGCTTCCTTGTGTGAAGAGAGTTGTCCTGTGCTCCTTCTACTGTACTTTTTTTATTTTTTAATAGGAAAGTGATGTGCTTCAGAGAAGGGTTCCTCCTTAATGTTGAGGTTTTTTAAAAATAAAAATACTGTTTTTAAGCTCTTTCCTTATTGGTTTGCATGATTATTGGCATCTGCTTACGATGGCTTTAATCACTCAGAGCTAATGGCACCTTTCCTATTTAGCCTCATTTTAGAATGCAGTCAACACATGTAGACTTTTCACAAATAAATGAACAACTTCAACCTTGGTTTTCAAGATGTGTCTTCTGCGTATTTGAATGGCCTGTGTGTGACTGAGTCCTTGGTGCAGGGCCCCCCACTCTGGAGGGCAACAGTGTGGCGGGGCACCCCGGCTGCTGTTTTTGGTTCTTTATTTCATGAGTTCTGTCTTTAAGCTTTTACTTCTTCATTTTCAAGTGGAGAAACATGAACATAGTAGCAACAATTCATTTTTATGTATCTTTAAAAAAGATGACCATCTCTTAGAAACAAGTTCTTTTAGAAAGCAGTGGCCTGTTCTAGAGAGTGCTGTTCACTCCCATGGGAACAGGACCCTGGAGCCTGCAGTGCCTTTGAGGCTGCGTTTTTGGGGTGCAGATGCTTTGCGGGGAGCCCAGGGCCATGTGGGATCTCTCTTCTCAGGCCTGCGTCCTGGGCAGCTGGATTCCCTGGCCTTTCTCGCCGACCTCATGGGTGAGTGTGGACTGCAGTGTCGCCTACTCCACCCTTGCTGGGGAGCATGGATGTTACTGGTGCCCACTTTGCCCCCGCCTTCCCCCCTGCCCCCGGTCTTGCCTGGTGCCCTCAGAGCCTGAGCCTCTCACCCACACCTGCCATGTAATTCCGGTCCTCCTCTGGCTGTCTCACAGGTGAGGGAAACATTCTGCCCTCTGTCACTCCACCAATTTAGTTTTAGCCATTAATTTGCTTTAGGTTTTTTTAGTCATTCTTCAGTTTATATTTGCTTGATCAACCAAAAGACCAGCCAGCAGGGCACTCTTGAGTCAGCTCTGAAGAGATCAGCTGGCTAAGATGATTTTTCCAGTGCTCAACATTAACTTGATCATTTCCCCCCACCCAAAAAAAAAATGCTTAACTGCAGAGAGCACTCTACTCTGGGTGACAGAGTGACGCCCTGTAAAAAAAAAAAAAAAAAAAAATTGCTCAGAGTAGTCCAAAGGTTGTTTAAACAGCGCTGAATGACTGAGAGAGCTTGCTGCTTATTTTTTTCCTTCCAGTAGAAAAACAGTTATAGCCCAGCTGATGAGGTAGAAATGCACTGAGCAGGTCTCAGCCCCAGCGGAAACAGAGTAGCCCTCGTCATCCAGGTGCTGTGTTGCTTGGTAAAAGTGTGTCTGCCTCGGGCTGCGACCTGCCACGTGAACTCTCTGACCCAGCACCAGCCAGAATCAACATTTGGGGATTCAGACTGCAGCAACAAGTGATTCCCCTCTTGGCCTGCAGTTCTGTAATCCCAAAATTGTTTCTAATTGTGGATATGAGACATCAAAATGAGGGCTGAATCAGATGAAATTATGCTCAGTTCAGCCTCAGATTTAAGTGATTTATTGTTTTCTAGTTCTTCAGACCTAATAGAGCTGCTGTGGTGGCTCTGTCAGTGGTTGGCAGTGGCCATCAGCCCTCACCCTGCCATTGGGGGCCTTGTGCGTTGGCATCTGGTTGTTGCTAGCAGCCCTGAGGGGGATGGGGCAGGCCACCGCCACCTCTCACTGGCTGCTGGGCTCAGGACTGGTCTGCTGTTAGGGAAGCTGCAAGTCCAGCCAGTTGACTGCACCTATTTAAGAAAAAGCACTACTCTGTTACCTGAGAACCTTTGAGATTCCTGTTGTGAAGGAACAATCATATGGAAATGAAAACTTAAGCTTTTAGCTAATAACAGAAAAGTGAACTAGCTTTTGTCAGTTGTTCAAAAGTGTAAAATTCTACTGAAAGAAGACAGCTCAATATTTCAAACGCTGGAGCTGTGTTATTTGGTAACCAAGTAGAGACGGCGCCCGGCAGTAATCTGCGGCTGCTCAGTGTGGCCCTTTCACTGAGGCCTTGGTCCACAGCACCAGCCCCGAGAGGGGTCCCAGCTGCCGACCTTCAGGCTTTCTTTTCTGTTTATAAAGTGAGGGTATTCTCAGAGAGCTTTGAGGAGAAAATAGTGAAGCTTGAAGGTTGTTGGTGAAGCTGTGAAATATTGAACACTTCCTAATCTTAGATTAGGTTTTCTGCATCTTAGATGAGTCTTGAATAGCTATAACCAAAGGCTCTTGTTTATTTAAACACTTTAATTATAGAGAGCTAAAGGCAGGAGGCACAGGGTTTGGGTGGGTGAGGGGCTTTGCAGAATACAGCTGGTGCTCATCAGCCCCTGCTAGGAATTTAGGACTCACTGGTGTAGTTGCTATAAAAGCTGCCACCTCCAGGAAGACAACTATGGGTGTTTAAAGTGGTGGTGGTGTAGACAGCGACATTTCCAGTGAGCTTTAGGCAGGAATGCAGGGAGGGCCTTGGGAGCGAGGCAGCAGGCGGGCAGGTGTGGATGGGTCCATGCTCAGAGCCATATCATCACCCCCAGGCAGCATCCTGAAGCCCACTGAGAATTTGGGCTGAGTGATGTGCCCCGGAGTGGGAGGCAGCTGGCACCACACGTTTCTCTGGTAGCTTCTTCGGCTGTGGAAGTCTCCAGGTTAGGGGCTGATCACCACCACTTCGTCCATGACCCTCTGTCTCCTGTCTTTAGAGGTCAGCGGAACGGTTCCGTGGAGCCGCCCTCCCTTAAGCCCAGATGCTCACACCGAGCTTCCTGATTGTCCTTCTTGTCATGGCTGTGTTCAAGATGTTCTTTCTGTGGGGCGTCTCTTCCTTGCTGGGCTGACAGCCCTGGGACAGCGGGGACGCCACACCCTGGGGCACACCGCCTAGGGTCCCTTGTGTGGTGGGGGGCCAAGAGAGACTGCTATGGAAGGTGATGTTGACTGGGATTACCAGTACAGGTCCTGACAACTGTAAGGTCACAATTAGTATCCAGCATGCCTGTCTGCCATGCATCCCTTTGCCCATCCTGAGCTGGCGATGATGCCACATGTGAGGCCCTGTCCTGGACTCACCATGTGGGTGTTTGCAGCTCTGCCTGAGAGACCTTGTTCCTCATGCACAATAGGAAGCAGCAGGCCTGTCTGTTAGGACTGCTGTGAGTCACTGCGATGGCCCAGGAGCCTGCCACGTTCTGAGGTCATCAGCACAGCACCCGTTGTTGTTACTGGGAGTTAACATGCAGGGGGGACTCCCTCTAACGGCAGCATGCTGAGTACTGGCAGCCTCACTGATCCGGTCATGTGGCCTCGGGAGCCGCACAGGCTTCATGGGGGTTTTGTGGTTTTAAGGACTGTGAGGGTTGACTGAATTATATGCACTCACTTGTCATGTTTCTGGGCTTTTTGTGCCCTTTTCCCTGGTACTGCAGGAAAGGAAAAGACAAAGTACTGTCAAGAGCAATTGCTGAGCAGATTTGATGTGATGCAGTAGGATGAGACATGATACTGGGATCACCTCTTCCAGGTCACCGCAAGGGTTTATACTGCTCCATGCCTGCAGTGCTTCTGGCTCTGTTGCGGGAGCACCTGACCCCAGTAGCCACAGCCAAGAAGGTTTTACTTTTAAATGGCATCGGCAGGTGGGTAAGAGTTGATGATGCTGCTGGCAGGTGAGGGACCGGCTGTGGACTTCCATCGCCGGTTCCACCTGCCCTCCTGGGCCAGGGTCTCTGAGATCTTGGATGTGGATTTCATCTCCTTGTTGTCAATACCTGGTGCTTTTATCTATCATCAGTACACTGTACTTTTACTTCTCTGCTATGTTGACTCCTGAGAACATGAGATTTAACAATGCATTTATTTTATTAAAAGCCAGTTTTTCTTGGCAATCTGTATTTTTTAACACAAGACAGTCTGACATTAGCGCACTGGTGTTGGCGGCCTCTGATAAGGCAAAGCCACCTTTTGCTGCTGTGTTGCCGCAAGAACACGGGTCATCTGGTGATGCGGACACGTTCCCGTTGGAGCTGGAGCGTGTCCCCCTCGCTGCTGTGAAGAAGCACAGTAAGATATGTGATAAATGATAAATTTTAATAGTTATGTTTAAATGAAAGAATGGGGTGAATTTTACCTCTGTTTTTAATGTTTCTGGAGTATGTCAAAAAATACTAGAAAGGAGTACTGACTATTCACAAACACAGTGCTTGTATACCTGTGGTGCTTCCTAGACATGCCATTGCTGTCTCAGCAGCTCCACCTCGGATCGCGGGGAAGCGAGGCAGCAACTGGAAGCCTGGGGTCCTGCTGGTGCCATCTCTGAAGCGCCTCTGCCTCTCACGCGGGTGTCCTGCTCTCTGGCTGCGTGCGTGTATCCTGTTCCTCCTCAAGGTGCAGCCTCCATGTGGGCATCGTGGGAAGTCAATGTTTACCAAACTGTGAAGCGGGCACAGCCTGGGGTGGAGTCAGTTCAGTGCAGTTCAGGCACAGAGGGGACCTCTTGCCAGGCAGGAATGTTGCAGTGTCTGGGGCTTTCTACTCCACTGGGTTGAAAGCCTTAGGAGGTGTCAAGTCCGTCTCTTTCCTTCTCAACTTGAGCACGGTGAGCTGAAAATGCACCCCTTGCTGACCGCCCCACTCCCTCCGCAGGTGAAAGCCATTGGCCTCCCAGAATGTCAAGCTATTAAATTTAGGCAATGACTTGGCACAGTGAAAGGCTGGGGTGGGAGGGAGGTAAACAAAACAAAATCAGTTCACTTCCCCTGAGGAAGTAAACTATTTTTGATTGAATTAATATATTTCAGTTCCCTGAGGTGGAAAACTCCAGCTCATACAGCCAGCTGTGTTTGAGGATTCAACTAAACTTTCTGCCAAAAAACCTCAGCTCAGAAATAAAACTAGAAGTGAGCACAATGAAACTTTAAGTACTTCTTATTTAGGTTATGTACTTGTTATTAGATTATTAAAAAATGACCTAATTTTTAAACAGTGACAAGTGGCAGGGCTGCCTGACCACGTTGCCTCCCTGTTCCTGTGGGCTTTGGAGGAGGCTCGGCTGCCTCTGCTGCTGCAGTCGGCTGGGAGGGGCTCAGGCGACATCTGTCTGAGCTCCTGTTGCTGTTTAGGGAGGGGGCAGGTGGCAGGGCTTAGAGCAGCCACACCAGCCTGCGGCCTGGCCTTACTGGGCCCCAGCAGGCGTTGACGCCTACCTGCGCCACACCCGTCAGACACCTGTGCTTTGCCCTTGCCTCCCTCTGGGGCCTTAGCACAGTCCTGCAATGCCGGCATTGCTGTGCCCATTTTATAGATGCTGAGTGAGGTCCAAGAGTCCCGCTCTTAAACGCCTGGAATGAGTTTGTTCTGTGGCAGGTGGAATGACACCAGATGATGGGAGACTGCAGACTGAGGTGCGGAGGAAGGGCAACCTTCATTCAGTTGTGGGTATTTATGCAGCATTTCCCAGGAATGAGGCAAAGTATCACAGGTGCAGGGAAGCTCACACAGACCACCAGGGACAGCCTGCTGAGGACAGACAGGCTCGAGGCCAAGGCCACGTCCCCAGAGTCTCGGCAGGAAAGGGGCATGCCTGCACCAGGTCTGAGCCACTGTGACAGCGTTGGGGCTCCCTTGTGGAAGGCGCCACCTGCCACCATGACCTCTGGCATTTCCCTAGGGAGGTCCCCCTCTGGTGTGGGGTGTGGGGTCAGATGCTGAAGTTGGGATCTTTGCACCAAGGCAGACAGCCGTTTGGCCTTGAGCTTGTTTTGAAGTTGCTGGGCCCTGATGGGGTTTGGTGCTGTGTGGTTCTGGGGAGTCTTTGTCAAGTCTGGGCGTCCCTTGGCTGGATGGGTGGCATCCCTCATAAGGTGTGTGGTGGCCCGAGTTCCGTCTCAGGAGGCCGTGGCCTGTGCCAGCAACACGAGTGCAGCCTGGGCGACTCCCTACTCTGGGCCTCTGGTGATCTGAGCTGTGCTCTGCGGGATCCACTTGTGGGCCCGGCCTCAGCCTGGCCTGACTGCAGCATGTTCTATTAAGTATTCAAAACACGATCAGCTTGAAGGCACATCCTCCCCAACCCTTGCCTGCTGCTGAGGTCGGGGTCTGGGGTGCTCTTGGTGGAGGAGATGCAGCTTTCAGGCCTGCATCCCAGCTCTGCATGCAGCCCCTGCCACCTCCCACCCAAGTGCCAGGAAGCCACTTTGTCTCCCTCCATTCTACATGAAAGCACCTTCCCAAAGCTTCTCTAGTGTTTCAGGGTCTTGGCCCAGGGTGGTGCTTCCACTGGGACATGGTCCCCAGGGTTTGTAGGGCCCAGGTTTGGGTCCCGTGCCGGCTGCCACCCAGCCCCAGATACCACGGCTGCTTCCTGTGCAGCCACCGCATGACAGCCCCCCTCACAAGATGCCCACAGGAGATGCCCGTGTGACAGCTGCACTGGCTCCTTCCATGGCTGAGCACTGGGCCCAGGGAGCAGAAGGCACTGGAAGCAGAAGGGAGGAGCCCTGCCCTGGCAGCATGTGCCAGTGGGGTTCTGAAATGCCCTCCCGTTTACATGAGAAAAGTCGGGGGGTGTGGTTGGTGTGGGCCTTCTGAACTTCAGTTCTTGGATTTCTCATTTTTGTAACGCGAGTGCTATCTATGCTATAACATTCTTAATACTCTTTAAAATTGATTCACTTTAAAGAATTGCTTGCTGAGGAAGCTGGTGGGTGAGGACAGGGTTGCGGATGGTGGGAGGCCCTGTGAGGAGGGGCGAGGGGCTTCAGGGCTGGAACTGCCGAACAGCCAGTGGAGGGGCCAAACCTGGGGAGCGTGGGGCAACTCGTGTGGGAGGTGTTCTCGGGCAGGCTCACCTGCAGCGTCTTTAAGCATGCGCTTTCATAGAATCCTCTTGCAGATCCTGGGGCACCTGTGCCGCCAAGAGTCCTGCTCACCTGGCTGGCTCCTTGGTGCCCTGACCCATGGCTCTTCTCACCTGTGTGCCACCCCCAAGAGGCTTCTTCTTTCTTCTGAAACAGGCCCTCATCTGTGAACCACTGTCCATTGTGGTCCCCTCCTGTTCATTTTGTTCATTTTCTGCTCTTCTCTTGCTTGTTTCTCCCTTGACGCCATAAAGTCAATTTCTCGGTCTAAATCCTGGTTCTCAACCCTAGAGAGGATCAATGTCCCCATATCAACAGGAAGTAGAGCCAGTGACATTTCTACCTCACCCAGAGTGAGGACCAGGTTGGTTGTGTGAGGTGAAGCAGAGCTCTTGCGGGGGGCTAGTGTCATACCCCTAACCCCGCCTTCCATTAAGGCCAAAGCTGGGCCCTGCGGGGCTTTGTCCCATGGCCAGACGTTTTCATCAGAATTAGGTGCTGTTTTCTTCATTGTGTGGAGAGTGGATTTGATGGAAGAAGGTCATGTAATTGGGGGAGGGGGGAGCCAAGTCTCTAGACAGAGTAGGAAAACTAGTGGGGTATTGAGTTTTGGAGACATTTCTAGGGCAACAAGGTATCTTTAGGAATTTGGTCCATGGCAGCCTTGGGCAGATGTTTAAAAAAACAGACTTGTACCTGGAATTCGCTTTTAAAGTCTGCCAGCTGCCCAGGGTCATAGGTTCATTTGCCCAGGCTCCTGCATATTCTAATTTTATCCACTGAGGCCCAGGACACATGGAGTCTCTGCTCAGTCTCTATCCTTAGAAGGAAGCTTCAAGCCGGGCTGTCAGAGCCGACGGTAAACACATGATGAATGTCCCCGCCGCCCTGAACCGTCTTCCTGAGATTCTGTGTGCCTGCCCACTCTTCCTTGCAGAGTCTGAAAGTGCATTGCAGCGTGTTCCTCCGGCTCCCAGAATCGGACATCCGTTTCATCTTGGAGGAGCACATCCTGAATAAAGGTTATTCTAATTTTAACAGCAGCAAATGCTAAGCTCAATGGTGAACTAGAAGGGCCATCTCCCAGCAAAGCCTAATGCATCTTAGGAATGTGTGACCATTTATTTTTTGTTTTTATTAAAAAACCTTTTTAGAGACAGGGTCCTGCTCTGTCACCCAGACTGGAATGCAGTGGCATGATCAGGGCTCAGTACAACCTCCAACTCCTGGGCTCAAGTGATCCTCCTGCCTCAGTCTCCCGAAGTGCTGGGTTGTAGGCCACTGCACCCAGCCATTGTGACAACTTAGTGATTTTTCCCTTAGTGGCTCTGACACAAGAAGCAGACAGGACAGGATGGGGTGGAGGCTCATGGTCACAGTTTGAGTTTTTTCTCCCTTTAAAGTATTTTCCATTCCTGAGGCCAGTGGGATGAAGGAAGGGAAACAAATCACACTTAATCCTCAGATAGTGGTTAATTCTCATAATTAACCAGGTGTATTTCAATTTGGCTTTTTCGAGATGGGGGGGTTGACAAGCATTTCAGTTTTTAAATTTTTTTATGATGAAAAATAAAATCTATGCAAAAGTATGTAGTACAATGGACATCCATAAACTCAGCTACTGCGATTCAATAATGGTTGTATTTGTCATATTTGCTTTGTGTGTCCATACATATATTTAACCATTTAAAAGTAAATTACGGACACCGTATCACCCCCAAGTACTTCAACATATATTTCTAAAAAAAAAAAATGATGCTGCCTGCATAAGTAAATATGATTGGCACACCTAACAAAATTAATTTCCTGTATCATCTAATACATATATATATGTTCCCAATTGTCTGGAATGTACCTTTTAGCTGTTTTTTCCCAAAACCATGATCGTGCATCATATATGGCTGTTCTATCTCTGAAATCTTTTGATGTTGGAAACAGGAGCCCCCTGTCTCCCTTCCCTCGCAGCTTTTCCTGAACACACTGCTGTTTGAGGTGTTCAACTCACTCCTCCATCCTTAGCACTGCCTACAAACAAGAAATTGGATCTAAAGGCTCGGTTAATCCAAGCTGCTGCTTCCTTTCGGGGCAGCTCCTGGGCCCCTGTGCACAGCAGGGCCACATAGTGTCTGACATCCACCATTAGTGGTAACATTAGGCTCAGGTGGTAACAACTGGATCTTTAACCTGGCTCCCCTTATTCCTTAAGCATCTCTCAGTTGTGCCCTCTCTACGCTTCTCGAGGGCTGTGTCCTGGCACCTCTTCTGCAAGCAGAGAGCCAGGGATGTGGCCCGCCACCTGGGACAGGTACCTGCTGTACTCCCTCTCAGATCCAGAAAAGAGGTCATAGCAGTGAAAATGCAGGTGAGACCATTTGATTCCACCCCCCAACCCGCCTGCAAATGTAAGCAGCTTTGTGGGAGGAACTAGTAAAAAAATTTGCATGGGAATTGGAAACATCCTAACCACCTTGAGATCAGACGACACTGCTCTGTTTCCATGCTACAGGGATCCTGTTAAGTGTGACCTGTGTCACAGACCATCGCCTTCCCCTCGGTAGATGCTGAATTGAGGAGGAAGGAGAGGAGAGCTTGAATGAAGGCTGCATTAGTGCACGTGGCTCACATAACAGCCAAGATGCTACAGAGCCCCTTGCTTTCCTCACTAAGGGGTAGCATGATTGTGTGACCTTTGGTTATAAAGCTGTGTGAAACTCAGTAAGTCAAACTTAATTCAAACTTCAAGCCATTGGAACTTTACTCTGGCCTCCAAAAGGGAGGAGGGAAGGAGAAAGGGGACAAGGGTTGAAAAGCTACCTATTGAGCACTACATTCGCTGTTTGGGTGATGAGTTCAAAAGTAACCCAGACCCCACACCATGCAACATACCCATGTAGCAAAGGGGCACATGTGCCCCCTGAAACTAAAATTTAAAAAAGCACTCAAAAAATATTGAGTCTTGGAAGGAATGCAGCTATGCAGCTGGAGCCACGGAGCATACAGCTGCAACCTCTGCCTTTCTTTCCCTATAAACGACCAAATGCATCAGAGATGAGGCCCCTGAGATCACTGCTCCTCACTTTGTGGAGTGCAGCCATCTGTAATGGGTCATATTGCCATAGCGCACACACTGGTCTGTGGAAAACGGCAAGACTCTGCGATATCTCGGCTCCTGCCTATATGAGTGAAGCCTTAACTTTCCACTGTGGAACGCTGACCCTGTTTGTGTAGAGCCCATCCCCCAGGTGGCCATCCTCAAAATGTGTGCTTGAATGTGCTAGACACTTCCCCGTATTTTCTGAGCCTCTTCATTTAAGGCTGACAGCTGATAAAGTTGCACCAGCTGTCCATCAGGTAGATGAGAGTCCAGGGCAGTGCCCAACTCTGTGTAGACATGGGGGCCCCAGAGAGGTGCCTGTCTGGGTTATGTACAGAAAAACCGGTTTGCTAAAGAAGCTGGTGTTTTGAAATGTGACACTTAAGTTTTTAGAGGGAAAATGTAGTAATTGGGGAGCGACCGCACCTCCGGCTATCCCCACGCATGGCTATCCTTTCAGCCACACGTGTGGCACAGTGTGTGCGCCGTCTGCTGGAAGAGCAGGGTTTGGGGAAGAGGTTAACAGATAAGCAACATGAATGGCGCTGAGCCCGTTGGAGGGGCACGGGCAGTCCTGAGTGAATGTTACATAGGAGAGCCAGGGTTGATGTGGCTGCAGCCTCGTCTGCTCTCACACCAGCAGGTGAGTGTTAAAGGCAGGCCTCCTGCTGGTGGGCTTGTTTTCTCCTGGCATGTGTGCCTTGGGAACATGCTGCTTTCCTTTGTGCCTTTCTCTGATTCAAAGACTGGTTTCATCACCACTGAAGGGCATGTCACCTTTATGAGGTATTCCATTCTCTAAGTTTTGGTTACTGTATCTCCAAGACCTGCTGTTTCATGGCAAATCTCCATCCACTGGGTTTCTGATTATGTTTGAAGCTTATCATCATCATGCTGGCATCTTTGCCTTTTGGTGACCAACTGTTATCTTACCAGTGAGTGGTTTCATCTTTTTCAAGTGTGTCTGACAGTAACAGTGACCGCCCCCCACCCCGGTACTATAAGGCTGTCAGTTCGGGTGGATACTTAAATATTTATGTATTTTTTGAGACAGGGTCTCACACTGTTGCCCAGTCAGGAGTACAGTGGCACAAACACAGCTCACTGCAGCCTCCACCTCTGCCTGCTGAGTAACTGGGACTACACGTGTGCCACCATGCCTGGCTTTTTTCCTTTTTCTTTTTTTTTTTTTTTTTTTTTTTGTAGCGACGAGGTCTTGCTATATTGCCTAGGCTGGTCTTGAACTCCTGGGCTCGCTCAAGCAATCTCTGGCCTCGACCTCCCCAAGTGCTGGGATTACAGGTGTGAGGGACTGCACCTGGCCGCCATTTAAGTATTTAGAAATTAATGTCCCAGCATGGTTTTTCAGAGTTGCAAAGATATTTTCACTTACTTACTGATAAAGGGGTAGAGTTTTAGCTTTTGATAAAGGGGTAGAGTTTTAGCTTTCATAAGAAGTGAGGCTATTGATCCCTTTGACGTTACTTCTGTTTAGAGTTTTAGGAAAATATTTTTAAAAATTTAGATAATTTATTTTCAAGAAAGCTGAACAAATCTGGATGGTGTGGGGGTGATGGGAAATACCATTTGAGTTTTGAGAAGTGATTTTTTTTTTTATTCTTTGGAAACTAGTGTTTACAGAAATCTCTTCTCCCTAGAGACTTTAAAACGTGCTATTAAGACAGAAGGATATGGTAAGAATTTTTATTCTGTAAGAATCTTCAAAGCTCAGCATGAAGATACACATCTTTCCCATGGGAATCCAGGCTAGAGAAATGCAAGAAGGCGGTTCCCTCTAGAGTCTCCTTTCCTGGGAGATGCAGCTCCAGATGGGTGGGTTTCTGGGCAGGAGGGGAGAGGAGGGTGGTGTTTATTCAACTGTTTATTTGGGATCATGTTATGCGTCTTCAAAAAGCGATATAAGAGAAAATATTGGAAAGATATTTCAAAATAAGAATTACCTTGAAGTAATTCCCATAATTAATGGGTAACATTTTTGTGTATGTATTTTGGCTTTTTATTGTAAAAATAATGTATTTTCATTGTAGAAAGTTTTTTTTAAAAAGTAACGAGTACAAAAAAGTAGTGTTATATAACTTTTAATGGAAAATGTCAAATAGATACAAAAGTATAAATCAGGTTGGCAAGTGAAATACAGGCCAAAATTGGGCCCACCAGCTGTTTTTGCACAGCCCAAATGTTAAGAATGATTTTTACATTTTTAAATAGTGAAAAGATGTAAAAGGGTAATATCTAATGACATAAGAAAAGTATGTGAAATTCAGATTTTATTGTCCAAAAAGTTTGGAACACAGCCACATGCACTGGTGCGTGGCCCCCTGGTGGCGGCTTCATGCCACTACTGCCAAGTGGCAAGAGAGCCCCATGGCTGGAAAAGCCAACAATCTTTACCATCTGCTCCAAGCCCTGCTTCACTCCCCTGTGTGTACCTATCCTTGCAGCCTCAAATTCCCGGCCAATCTTGTTTCATTTATAGTTACTCCCAGCCCCACGGATTCAAAGGAAATCCCAGACATCCTATAATTTCATCTTCATGTTGAAATTTAAAAAGTTTGAAAATTCACCAAGATGTAATATATATGCACCAAACATCAGAGCCCAAAATATATGAAACAAACATTGACAGAATCAAAGGAAGAAATGGATAGTTCTACAGTAAGAGTAGGAGACTGCAGTAGCCCACTTTCAGTAACGGATAGGACAACCAGACAGAAGATCAGTCGCAAGACAGAACTTGAACAGCATCATACCAGCTGGACCTAACAGACACAACAGCAGTACACACGTTTTTCTCAAGTGCAAATGGACCTTTCTCTAGGATAGACAGTATGTTAGATGACTAAACAAGTCAACAAATTTCAAAAGACTGAGGAAATAAAATATCTTTTCTGGCCACAGTGGGATGAAACTAGAAATCAGTAACAGACAAAAAACTGAAAAGTACACAATTATGTGAAAATTAAACAACGCTCTCAACCAGCAGATTAATGGGGAACTCACAAGGGAAATTAGAAAATATCTTGTGGTAAATGAAAAATGTAATATACAAAAAAACAGGTACAGTCAAAGCAGTGGTAGGAGGGAAATTTGTAACTGTAAATACACCTATTAAACAAATTAAGATCTCAAGTCAACCCTAAATTTACATCTGAAAGAACTAGAAAAAGAAGAGCAATCAACCCAAAGCCAGCAGAATGGAGATGATTATAATAATAATAAAGATTAGAGCAGAGACAAAATAGAGAACAGAAAAGCAATAGAGAAAAATAAATGAAACCAAGAGTTTGTTGATAGCTAAGAGTGACTAAGAAAAACAACTAAAAACCAGGAGGAGACATTACAACTGATTTTACAGAAATAAAAAGGATTAAGAGTACTATGAGCAATTACATATCAAAGAATTGGATAACCTAGATGAACTGGACAAATTCTTAGAAACACACAGCCTATCAAGATTGAATCATGAAGAAATGGAAAATCTGAACAGACCTATGCTAGTCAAGAGCATGAAGTAGTAAAGAAAAGCCTCCCAAGAAAGAAAAGCCCAGGGTCATATGGGAATTCTGGCAAACATCTGAAGAATTAAATCAATTCTCCTCAAACTCTTCCAAAAAACTGAAGAGGAAAGGACACTTCCAAATGCATTCTATGAGGCCATCATTATTCTGATACCAAAACCAGACAAAGACACTATAAGAAAAAAACACCACACATCAGTATTCCTGATCAAGATTTTTTTAAATCAATATTCAACAAAATACTGGCCAACAGGATTCAGTGGGACATTGAAAGGATTACACATCATGGCCAAGTAAGATTTACAGCTGGTATGCAAAGATGTTTCAACATGCTCAAGTCAATAAATGTAATGTCTATTACATTAATAGAATGAAGGAAAAAAATGTGATCTCCATTGATGGAGAAAAAGCATTTGAGACAATGTCATGCCCTTTCATGATAAAAACTCAACAATTGGGAATAGAAGGAAACAACCTAAAATAGAGGCCATATGAACATCCCACTGTAAACATCATATTCAATAAGACTGAAAGGACTTTAAGATCAAGAACAACACAGAAATACCCTGTCTCACCACTTCTGTTTAACACAGTACTGGAGTCTTAGAGCAGTTAGGCAAGAAAAAGAAATAAAAGGCATCCAGACTGGAAAGGAAGAAGCAAAATTATCTGTTTGCAGATGACATGATCTTATATGTAGAAAATCCTAGTGTCCATACATATACAAAAAAAAATTTCAGTAACACTGCAGTTTACAAAATCAACACAACAAATCCATGATATTTCTATACAATAACAAGCAATCTCAAAAGGAAATTTAAGAAAATTCCATTATAATAGTAACAAAAAAACTGAAATATTTAGGAATAAACTTAAGGAAGCAAAAGACTTGTACTTGAAAACCATAAAACACTGCTTAAAGAAAGTAAGGTCAACACAAATAAATAGAAAGCAATCCCGTGTTTATGGATTGGATACCTTAAGATGTCCATAGTCCAAAGCAATCTATAGATTTCATGCAATCTCTATCAGAATATCCCAGTGGCTTTTTTTTTTCCATCCTGAAACTCATATGGAATCTCAAGAGACCTCACACAGCCAAAATCATCTTGAAAGGGAACCAAGTAGGAGGTCTCTCACTTCCTTATTTCATAACTTACGACAAAGCTACAATAATCAAAATGGTGTTGTATTGAAACAAAGACAGTCATGTAGACCAATGGAACAGAATAGCAAATCCCCAAATAAACCCTTGCACATATGGGTCAAATGATTTTTGATGGTGCCAAGACCATTCAAGGGAGAAAGGACAGTCTTTTCAACAAATGGTGCTAGACAAGTGGACATCCACATGAAGCTAGATCTACCTCACACCATATATAAAAATTAAAATAGATCAAAGGCCTAAACTAAGAGCTAAAACTAAAACATTTAGGAGAAACATAAGGGAAACTTTTAACAACATTGGATTTGGCAGTGATTTCTTAGATATGACACCAGAGGCACACACAGGTAACTAAAAGAAAGAAACAACTTCTGTACATCAAAGAACAAAACAGAGTGAAAGGCAATCCACGGAATGGGACAAAGTATTTTAAAATGATATATCTGAAAAGGGTGAGGCAGTGATTTCTTAGATATGACACCAGAGGCACACACAGGTAACTAAAAGAAAGAAACAACTTCTGTACATCAAAGAACAAAACAGAGTGAAAGGCAATCCACGGAATGGGACAAAGTATTTTAAAATGATATATCTGAAAAGGGTGAATACCCAGAACATATAAAAACACACACCTGATTGAAAAATGGACAAAGAGCCCAAATAGACATTTCTCCAAAGACGACATATAAACGGCCAACAAACAGATACTCAGCATCACCAGTCATTACGGAAATGCAAATCAAAATCTCAGCAGGATACCACTTCACACTCATTAGGATGGCAATTATTAAAAACAGGTGTTGGCAAGGATGTGGCAAAACTGGAACCTTCAGTGGGAATGTAAAATGGTGCAGCCACCGTGTAAAACACTTATGGCAGTGCCCTAAGAAATTAAACATAGGATTGCCATATGATTGAAAGCAGAGACTCAGATATTTGCACACCCATGTTTACGGCAGCAATATTCACAATAGCTAAAAGGTGGAAGCAACTCAAGTGTCCTCAACAGATGAGTACACAAACAAAATGTGGTCCATCCATAGAATCAGCCTTAAAAAGAAATCTTGACATATCCTACAACTTGAATAAACCTTGAGGACATTACGCTAAGTGAAATAAGCCAGTCACAAAAGGACAAATCCCTTCTGGTTCCACTCATACGAGGTCCCTACAGAAGTCAAATTAAAAGAGACAAAGGAGAACAGAGGCTGCCAGGGGCTGGTGGATGGGGAATAGGGAGTTGGTGCTTAATGGGTACAGAGCTTCAGTTTTACAAGATGACAAAAGTTCATCTTGTAAAGTTGAACTTGTGGATACGTGGTAGAGAAGGTTGCACAGTATGAATGTATTTAATGCCACTAAATTGCACACTTAAAATAGGTAAGATGGTAAATTTCACGTGTATTTTAACATGTCAAATTCTTTTAAATGACATTAGAATTGACTACATAGGTTAGATAATAAAAACCAACTTGCCTTCATCTGTGCAAGTTTCTCAAATGATTATCAAATAAAAATGAAATTTCCATGCAAAAACGAGACAGTTGAGGTGTCTCTTCTATTTGACACAGATGTCCTCATTTTTTTTGCTCTCCCTTACTTAGGAAGAACAAGAGCATTTCAAAGAAACCGCATCCTCAGTGAACGCTGGTTATGGTCCAAGAGCCAGCCCAGGACCCCTGTGGCACCAGCAGTGCCTTCTCCTGCTTGCCCCTCCAGCTGGTGCTCTGGGCATCTCTGTTCTTTGTCACTCTGTGGATTTGAGCCAGTGAGGATTGGAAGGAAGAGGACCAAGTACAAAAAGGACAACTAGGAGGGTTAACAGCCTCTCCTAGGCATTCACGTGAAAAGCAATGGCAGATCCACGTGGCCTGTATTGGGGCAGGTGCCCTGGGGAGCAACTCCTTCATCTCACAGATGCTGAGGGCGAGAATGGCAGCAGCCATACACTGCCTGAGTTTAGAGAGGACTGCTGGGGGTGCATGTGCAGGTGCCACGTTACCACCTAGAACACACTGTCTCATGCTGTGAGCCAGGGCTTTTTAGGCACACAATGATGCAGTTCCTGCTGAAATTCTGAAGGCAGAGGCTACACCTGAGCAGCTCCTACCGGCTCAGTGGCATTTAGCCCATGGGACGCGGGGGGACACTGCTTTCCAAAGTTGAGGGTCTGCCTCCTCTATGCAGAAACAACAGGAAGGGATAAGGAGTGGGGCTTGAGTGAAGACAGAAGCAGCAATTCTGTTGAGATACATATGAGTGCAGGGTGGATGCTGGTGTCAGCCATAGAGGGCCCCAATGGCTGGTGCTGGTTAGTCATGTATGCAGGTCCTTCTTTTTCCTCCTACCTGTTGCTAATCCCTTGGCTTTGCCATTGGGTAGCATTTGATAGGGACTAAAGGGAGGTGAGTGGTGTCCATCACGTGCACACATCATAATGAAGAGAGGGAGATTAAAAAGTCGAGTTTCATAAGGCAGGCTTGCTTCTGACTTTTCTCAGAGGGCAGCACCCCTTCCTTTTGATAATTCTGAAGATAAGCAGAACAGACTAGGTTTCACAGTCCACTTATCTACTAAGTTAGGCCTTCGCAATGAAAAGAAAAACCATTAAAAGGCATCTCTGGAGAAAATGGTCTTATCCTCTTAAAGGATAATTGAAGCTTCTCAGTGACTTCAAATCTTATATGGAGTTCTCTCAAACATTTAAAGAAGAATTAACAAGAAACCACCACAAACACTTCCAAAACACAGAAGAGGGAACACTTTCTAAGCTTATCCTATGAGATGGACACCAAAACCCAAGAGATCACAAGGTGGTGGGTGGCAGGTGGGGTGGGGGTGGGGGTCTTGGAACCAATCCCCCGTGGATACAGAGGGCTGGCTGTTCCAGCACACCAAATCTAACAGCTATGTATAAAAGGTATCATAAACCATGACTTAGTGGGCTTTGACCCAAGAATGCAAGGTTGGTTCAAGATATAGAAATCAGTCAATGTAATAACAGCACATGATCTTATGAAGGCCAAAAACTACATTATCTTAAGAGATGCAGAAAAAGCATTTGACAAAATCCACACCCTTTCACGATAAAAACAAACTAGGAATAGAAGGGAACCTCCCCAACCTAATAGAGGGTATGTATGGAAAACCCAGGGTTAACATCATAGTTAATGGTGAGACTGAAAGCTTTCCCCTAAGATGAGGAACAAGACAAGGATGTTCACTCTCGCACTGCTATTCAACATTGTACTAGAGATTCTAGCCAGCGAAACGGGGTAAGAAAGAATAAAGGACATCTAGACTGAGAGGAAGAAGTGAAACTGTCTATTCATAGATGACATGATTTTGTACACAGCATCAGGAATCTACAAAGGTGTTAAAAGAGCTGATAAATCTTATATGACAGTTTGGTTCTAAAAGCAGCACTTAAGGCAAAAAACTGTTCACAGATGGTTAAATTTTTTCCATAAAGTAGACACAGTTTGCTGTGTACAGCCCTGTACAGTACGCACACACAGTGCATACAGAGAGCCTGTACGTCATGCAGTAAACCACGACAGCTACAAATCGGTCTGCTCCTGAGAGGCTACTGCATGGCTTTCCAATTTGTGTGTATTCATAAATTAGGTGAGGAATGTGACTTTTTGACTCAAAATAGGCAAAAGGAAGTTGTAACTGGGTGTCAAGAGACACCAGCCCTGAGTGAGCAGCGCAGACTGAGAACAGGTCCGAGAATGACTGGAGATTCTATCTTGAGAGTGTCTGGCATTGCCTTTCACAGGAGCGATGGGCAAGTGAAACTTACTACCTGGCTTTAGGCTCCTGGGGTCCTGAATTATCTACTTCATTGTAATGAAGGCATCAGAATGTAACTTAATCTCACAGGAGTGGCATCCCTACTTTTGGAAGGCCCCCTGATAGAAACTGTATTCAAAAATACCATTCCAAAGTGGAGATCTATGATTTCTCTTCTCATCTCTGTTTGGTGTTGTCCGATCTTCTGTAAATAACTGATCAGTGCCTCAAAATTGTCTTTATTCTGTCCTTATACCCTCCATTAACCTTTCAATCTCTCCCCAGCAATGTAAGCCATCCCTGCTTACCTGCCCAGCTCCCACAGCTTGTCCCTCGAACGCACCTGCAGGAGGCTGTGACCCATGCAGTGGCAATGCGGCTAGCTGTGTCCATGGCCTGTGGAAATATGCCAGCCCAGCAGAACAGCTGGAATCCTACACTATTAATATGGTTATGTTTTCCAAGCAAGTACTGCTCAATTTATACAAGTTAAATGCACATCTGTGATTTGATAGCACAGCTGAGAACTGTTATAACATCTAACAATTAAATGACAGTAACAGTATATGACAAATTAGGGGAAAGAACCACAACTTCAAAAGGATAGTTTCCTTTTAAGAAGAAACTAACATGAAAAAAGACTGACAT
Source organism: Homo sapiens (assembly GCF_000001405.40). Lineage (NCBI taxonomy): Eukaryota > Metazoa > Chordata > Mammalia > Primates > Hominidae > Homo > Homo sapiens. The sequence goes on along the minus strand of NC_000008.11, from coordinate 470,903 downwards.
CCACCCCAAAAAACAGGCAAATACCACATTAAGTAATTTACCAAAAACAAGAAAAGCAAATGGATAATAAATATATGGAAATATTCAAGCTCACAATTTATCATACATCAAATTCTTCACTTATTAAAACAGCACCAACAGAAAAAGAAATACCTGTGCTTCAGGGATAATGGAAACTCAATGTACTTACTCCCTTTCCTAGATTAGAACAATTTCTTTTCTCAGCTGGACGTGGTGGCTCATGCCTGTAATCCCAGCACTTTGGGAAGCTGAGGCAGGTGGATTGCTTGAGCTCAAACTCCTGAGACCAGCCTGGGCAACATGGTGAAACCCCATCTCTACTAAAAATACAAAAAAACAGCTGAGCATGGTGGTATATGCCTGTGGTCCTGACTGCTTGGGAGGCTGAGGTGGGAGGATCACTGGAGGGTGAGGTGGGAGGATCACTTGAGCCTGGGGGACAGAGGTTGCAGTAAGCCGACATCATACCCCTGCACTCCAGCCTGGGTGACAGAGCAAGACCCTGTCTCAAAAACAAACTCCAAAAAAATTTTTTTTCATGAACAATCTAGAAATATATTTAAAAGCCTTAAAATATGTTTGACTCATGATGTTGGCTGTACTACCAGTGGTTGTAAGGAGACGGCCACATTGTTGTGTGACGATGCTTATCATAGTTATTGATGCTAACGGCGAGACACTCAGGAACCCCAATATGTTGTGATGAAAAAGCCTGTTCCATCTGGGTGATTCTGTGGAGCTAATAAAAGCCAAGTTTCCAAATAACATTTAGGATATGGTTCTACGTTTCTAAAAAAAGGCAGGGTCGGGACGGGGGGCGTTGTGAAGTAACAGTGGTATACGGGACATTTATGGTCTTATGAAAAACTAACATATATTCGCAGAGGCCCCAGGTATTTGCATCGCCTCAGGAGAAACTATAATTTGACAAATAAATGCATTCTTGGCCATTTGTGTCAGTTCACAGAAGTGGGGCTGAAAAATCCAGAATCTTTTTTTAGTCCTATTTATAACGCCATAAAAGTATACTTTTATTATTATGCTTAAAGGAAAAAGTAGAAATGATTTGCTTGGGCTCCTTGACCCTATTCAAAAATGGAAATATACAACAATACGTTTCTATCCTATGCCTGCTGAGGGGATTTTTCATACTCTTTTCAGCATGCACAATAATCTTTGGGTGGTGGGACTGATTTTCTAATTTTCTAAAATGGACATGCGTTATTTTAAAAACGAAGCAATCTTTTAAGGATTTAAGTATCAAAATCACTAACATTTCTCAGTAGGATGCAAAACTGATGAAGTTTAAATCAATAGATAAACATGATTTATTACTTTGTCTATTAAAGTAGTTTCAACACAATTGAAGTTTAGACTGCACTGGGCTGTTCCCATCACAGTCCAGGATTATGCACAGACCAGCCCCCAACCCCAGCAGGGGTGCCCTGCCAGAACCTGTGCTGGATGCCTAGGAGCACAGAGACCACTGCCCGTTGTTGGGCTGCGTGTGCACACTTCATACCCCGATCCATAATCCCTAAGACAAGAATGGCTGTCATTGCCCTGGGTTCACTTTCTATTCAAAGAGGACTCATTTGGGCACAGCCAATGTAGTAGTTAAAATGCATTTTGAGAAAAAATAAATATTCTGTACAATGTATTTACAAGGATCAAATGTTTTGTAACCCACCCCCAATTAGTTTCCCAATTGGGAAACTATAATTTGATAATTAAGAAGCATATTATTGGCCGTTAGTGTCACGTCAACAAAGAATGTGGAGCTGACCACCTAAAGTATTTTTGAACTATATATATAGAGAGAGAGAGTACGCAAAATTTCACATTTTAATATGCTTAGAAGGAGTTTTTAAAGAAGTAGAAATGATTTCCTTGGCCTCTGACTTTCAGTGATGAAAATGCAACCATGCAGTCCCCCCTTTGCAGAAGGGCAGTTCTTCCCAGGCTTTCTGGAAGCAGGGGCTTCCGAGGAGTCTCCACCCACCTCACAGAACACTCACTATGAGCCCTGCACAGACAGCAGGATTCACAATCTCCAATAGGGATGGCAGGGGCAGCCCTTAAAACTTGAAGAGGTCGATGAAGTGCTGCGGAGACACAGGCGTGAAGCAGCTGTCAGGGTCGGCCGCCGTGCAGGGGTGTCCTGAGTCCTGTGGGGAGGTGGGAGATGGTTAGGAGGGGGCCCCACCACCAGCCACACTCTAGTGATGGTGCTTGAGGGGTCGTCAGCTGCTTGTTGATGTGGACCCTGGGCCCCACCTCAGAGGTACATGGGAGATAACTTGGATGAGAATGACCAACACAAGGGCAGCCGCAGCCGATTCTACATAGAGGTTTCCCATGGAACTCCTGCTCAGGTAGGGCAGGAGACGGTGGCCCCAGGTCTGCCCTCCAGTGCCGAATCTGGTACTGAGTCAGAGGAGCCAGCTGCTGACACCACCCTGCACTGCCCCGGAATCTACAAGGCCACAGAAGAAACCACTGGGGACTTTCTGTCCTCTGGTCCCAGCCATTCCTTTGTCCTGTCCTCCTGTTCCTGGCTCACTTTGTTACACAGGGTTCCCTCCACCCGCCATTCATCCCTGAATCAGCTTGGGCTCCCTGCATAGGACAGGAGAGGGGGACACACGGCCTCAGCCCCCAAGGCTCCTGCTTGCTCCAAGGGAGCTGGCCATGCTCACATACCTAAGGATCCAGAATTATATTTAATATGAGAAGTGACGACAGAAAAATTAATTTTGTGGATGAAGACTGGCAGACTCTTAGGAGGAACGCAGGTAAACGGGACCAGAGGCTCTGGGGTCAGTGCTGGATCTCTCCATGGCATGCCCTGGCAGTGCTGCCAAACCAGGTGCTGTGTGGTGAAGTGTTTATGCGCACATCTAGCAGCCTCCCTCAGCACTCAGGTGTTGTTCTGCAAAATATTTCATCAACACTCTCGTCCTTGCTGAGGTGTTTGATCAAAGTGGCCACTCAGCCCTGCTCAGGGTCCTGAGAAAGCTCAAGTCAGCGAGAGCTGGAATCGAGCCGGGCAGTGGCCAAGATGACGTGCATGAGATGCAGCACGATGCAACGTTTTCATCCCGAACACAGGATGTGTGGCAAGACAGGGAAGTACCTTGAATAGTAAAGCAAGATGGTAGTCCTTCGAGATCATGAAGAAAGAATCAGGAAGGAATGCAGTGAAGGGAGGGAAAAAAAGGAAAAGTTAAGATTAGAAAGAGCCAGAGTGTATCTAAGCATTCAGGTTTGATTCATATTATTTACGAAAATAACTAAAAACATCAGGTAACTAAATTTGGACAGTACAAGGTTATTAAAAGCAAACAAGTTCTCATCAGATAACCCAAAAATTCCCAAACTACTTGAAGACAGTCTTAAGACAACATATCTCTACCTTTAAGTCTTTCAAATTTGGCAACTAATGAGGCTGCAGTGCTAAATAACCTTTAAAATTATTCACTGAAGAAGAGATGCTATTTCCATGTGCAGTTTATATTAAAACTTTATAACAGATTTTTTTGGGGAAAGTTCTTTGTTCTTCATTTAACATCCGAAGGCTCTGCTCTGTGCTCAGTAATGCACATTAAGTCAATTCCACACATGCCCTTAAGCCAGCCTCCACCTCTGACACTTGTTCCTCCAGGCCAGTGAATGCCACTTTCCAACACAGACCCAAGCCTCAGCAGCTGCCCTCCTGTGCTGTTCTCCCCCGCTGGTTCAGGATGCTACTAGCAAAGCGGTTCCCCTGCAAGACCAGGACCACCAGACCATGGACACCTCATCTTGGATTCTGGCTCCAACTTTGCTCCTGATGTCCACACAGGCCTGTGGGGTGAACGTCAGATGGCCAGCCCTCTATTCTGGCAACTGATACACCAAGAAAAAACAGGACATAAAAAGGCCAAATGCTCATCATGGCTTCCCTGACCCAGCCAACAAGTCTACAGTTTTTAACTGAGGTTTTGTACAGCCGGGAGGTAACGCCACCCCTCTCAGTGGACCCTCGCAGGGCCATCGAAGTCAGTCTTTGGCTCCAGAGCTTAACTCAGCCCAGTTACTTACAGACTGTGTGGAAGGCTGACTAAGGCAGGTAGAAAAGTTAAAAAAGAACTCCAATATAGTAGAGCCACAACAGATGGGAAACCAGCTTGGGAGCAGATGAAGTGGCTCCACAGCACTGCTGACTGGAGAGCTCCAAGCTTATGTACTGTGGGAAGTGATAAATACCAGATGCAGACCTGAGACAGATGCACCATGGTGTCGGCTCATGACCAAGTCCCAGGGCCAGAATTTAGAGTCAACAACACCCAGTCTCATTTTCTTAACAGCTTTGATATTACTTTAGTTTCTCAGTCAACACAAACTACTGGGATGCTAAACAAACAAAGAACAAGCAGTGACCCTAACCCTAAGTGCCATTTTCTGAGCACCAGCTATGTGCCAGTTTCCAGGTGCAGGACTGCTGAACATCCACAGCTCCTCTGTGTGGTGGGTCATGGCGTCAAACCAAGACCCTAGGAGGGGCAGCAAGCTCAGGAGACCCCGGAGGCAGGTCCAGGTCTGCCTGACTCCAATCTGGGTTTGGCCCACCAGGCCACTCGCCTCTGGTTAGCCACACTGGGCAAACCCACGGCGGAGGAGATGGAAGACAGGGCAAGAAGTACCTGACATCTTGAGGGGTTAAATTAGGAGAGATGGCTCTTTTTGAATACTTCCAATGCATGGATTCAGAACTAAAAACGTGGACTGCCTTCTAGAATGATATTCAGTGGGAGAAGCTGTGATGGGACCACTCACTGTAGCTACAGTGAAGTGGACATCACAGCCTCCAAGGGCAAGACATGAACCTCCCAGAACTAAGAGATGGGCAGCTGTCCTTCCTAGGAGAGACTTGTTCTCAATTTCCATGATATGATCAAGTATGATAACAAAGTTCACTAAATACAAGAATGGCAAAGCAAATTCTTTTGGAAGGCTACATCATCTCTCAATTTAAAAAAATCAGAAATTACATATTTCAGGAAACTAAGGCAGCATATTCTTATATACATGGAGCACCTGTAATCCAAAAATCTGAGATGCTCCAAAATCCCAAACTTTTGAGCAGTGACATGATGCCACAGTGGAAAACTACACATGTTAAGTAACACAAACTTTGTTTTATGTATAAAATTACTAAACCATTGTATGAAATTATCTTCAAGCTCTGTGTAAATGAAACAGATGAAAAAAATCTGAAATCTGAAACACTTCAAGTCCCAGGCATTTCAGATAAGGGAGACTTGATCTGTACTGCCTAACAATGTGGAAGCGAAGGACTGTGTATTTCTTTGTTAGTTGCTCAGCAGACAGGGAGAGCTCCAATATTGATAAATATTGTTCTAAGAAAAATACTACCACATACAAAACTGAAAGCCTTCTATCCCTTCTATGAATGGTATTTTCCCTATAAAAGTATCATTGCTTGTAATAGTTCTATAGTACAAAACAATCTGCTCAGGAGAAAAAAAGACAAGTAACTCTTAGGAGAAGCACTAACTCAAATTAGAAACTACAGTATTGTGTCCACTCTTACTCTGTGACTGAAGACACAGTCACATGTTTTCAGTGTTAATATTTCAGAGAAGAACAGGTGTCAGTCCTAGAAGGAATTACACAGAAGGGGGGCCCTGTTCCCTCCAGGGTCAGGTGTCAAAGCTGGCTGGGAACCTGGACTTCACTCAATCGGCCCCTTTCCTTCTGTCCACAAGCATCTGCCTGTGGCTTCTACTGCAGACAACTCACCCCCATACTGTGCCTTCTGTGCCCTATAACTGGGGAGAAAAGAATAGAATGAGGGTTCTCTCCTGTATATCCATAATCTTACTGATGAACTGATTTGCTGACTTCACCAAATCGAGAATAAACTGGAATCAAGATGTTCCCTGCTCTTGAGGGATAATAGTCTACAAGACAGTTGTACTACTGCAAAAACACATAACACAACTTGCATCTTTTTAATTTCAGGAAAGAGAGAAGTCATACCAAAATATAAAACAATAAATCAGAAATAAAATCTCATATTCATGTATGATGCTGTTTACCTTTGATATACCAAATAAAACTATTAAAATAATACAAGAAAAACACATCTTTACATTCTCTGCTCAACCACGGATTAATTTTTAAAGCCACACTTAGAATAAATGTAATTTGAAATGAAAAAATGAAAAGCAGTTGTCTCTTTCCGACAACCTAGAGTTTGCCGTATGACCTATCTGATAACAAATATAGATAATGTAAAGCAAAAAAAGTAATCACAAAAGGTTATGGTGTCTATCAGGCAAAAGCCTCATCTCCCTAGACCTAGAGAAGGCAAGAGGCAGAGACAGCCCACTCTTGCAAGAGGCAGGGCCTCATCTAGACCAGGGACAGTCAGAGGACTCCCTCCGCAGAGCAGCCAGCAGCTCAGCAGGGTCACTCCAGGACCAGCTTATGCCTAGTTTCAACATTTTTTTTCCCCCACGGTGAAATCTCACAACATAAACATGTTCAAACGCAAGGCAAACCATGGAAACACACTCCAGGGTGAAATAATATTAACATGTTAAGAAAAAAGTGGATAATTGCCGGGTGCCATGGCTCACGCCTGTAATCCCAGCACTTTGGAAAGCTGGGGCACATAGATATTGCTTGAGCTTGGGAGTTTTGAGACCAGCCATGGGTAACACGGTGAAACCCTGTCTCTACCAAAAACAAACAAACAAAATCAGCTGGTCCCAGCTACTCAGGAGGCTGAGGTGGGAGAATCACTTGAGCCCAGAAGTCGGGGCTGAAGTGAGCCATAATTGCGCCACTGCACCCATAACTGCCTGGGTGACAGAGCAAGATGCTGTTTCAAAAAAACAAACAAAAAAAAGAAGTGAATTAGCTGGGTGTGGTAGCACCTGCCTGTAGTCCCAGCTACTTGAGAGGCAGGAGGTAGAGGCTGCAGTGAGCCGTGATGACGCCACTGCACTCCAGCCTGGGTGACAGAGCGAGACCCTATTTCAAAAAAGAAAAAAGACAACAAAGAAATAAGCAGTTACCTCTCTGACTGTGAAAAACATTCTATTTAGACACACAGTCTGGATGGTGAGAACAGGAAGTAACTGGATGAAGGGATGAGACTTGCAGATAAGTAACGATAGTCTTGTTAAGTTCTGATCATATGAATGAGAAAAATGCAGATTTTAAAATCTAGGACTTCTCTATGGACACTTTTTTTCTAAGAATGTGGCTTTGAGAAATGAAGCCTAAGCTGGTCCTGGCCCTGCAGAGTCGGTGGGGACATAAAGGGCCGAGGGCTAAGTCTGGGGAAACGAGGAAGGTGCACTTGTCCTCAGATGGGCAGAGGGGTCACACTCCAGCCTTCAACCTCAGGCTGGGGGCCAGCAGGGAATCTGGAGCTGCTGCCAGGAAAGGTCACTGGCTGCAATCCGCCTGCAACGCCCTCCTGCATGCTAACTTCTGCAAAAAGGAGAAGCATTTTGGTTTTCAGCGTTTCTGGTTTAAGCTACACATTGAATGAACATCTGTTCCCCTACCCCAATATTTGGTAAAATATATCTCCTTAACTTACTTATAACAAACAGTATTTTCCGCTTTTTAGTCTTATACTTAAAATATAGGTGATTAGTTTGTTTCACCAAAATTTAATCCTGAAATTCCAAGAGTGCATTTAAATCAGTACCTTCCAAAAGAGAATGCTGCAGTGCCGACAGAAATGCAGTGTGTCTCCGTACTGCTCCTTCGCTGGGTAATGTTTCTGAAGTGCAAAGTACATCAACTTCCATTCAATATGACCTTTTTCTGAAAGGATCAAATGTCTACAAAACTAAACAAACAAAACTCCATTCAGAATCCGCATAAGATGACTTTCAAAACATAATATTAGGTGTAAAACTTTTTCATTTTATTTTAGTTTTTAATTTCTTTTTTTAAACTTCAATAGCTTTAGGGTTACAAGTGGGTTTTGGTTACATGGATGAATTGTACAGTGCTGAAGTCTGGGATTTTTGTGCTCCCATCACTGGAGAAGTATGCAGTGACCCAACATGTAGTGTTTCATCCCTCACCCTCCTCCTACCCTTCCCTCTTCTGAGTCTCCAATGTGTATTATACCTCTCTGAATGCCTTTGTGTACCCGTGGCTTACCTCCCACTTATAACTGAGAACATATGATATTTGGTTTTCCATTCCTAAGTTATTTTACTTAGAATAATGGCCTCCAGGTCTATCTGAAATTATTTTTCAAAGGCAGTGTAGTACATAAAACAATTATTTGAAATTAAACTCACTTGGGTTAAATCAATAAGTGACAAATCAAATAAATTGTGTTATGCCTGTATAATGGAATACCAAGCAGCTGTTAAACAGACTTAAATACTCCAATCCAGAATAATGTCCATAATGTATTATTAAATTAAAATAAGCTACACACATCATATGTGATAACAGACTTATATCTAGAATAGATAAAGAACACTTACAACTCAATAATAAAAAGACAAATAACCCAGTTTAAAAAATGGTCAAAGGACATGCAAAGACATTTATCTAAATAAGTCTCAGAAATGGACGATAACCTCATGAAAAGATGCTCTAGAATCCAGTCATCAGGGAAATGGAATGAGACCCACTTCCTGCCCACTAGAATGGCTTTAATCAAAAAGTGAAATAATGAGAAGCACTGGGGAGGGGTGGAGAATCAAGAGACCTCACACACTGCTGGGGGAATGTGAAATGGTGCAGCCACTTTGCAAACAGTCTGGCAATTCCTCAAAAAGTTAAACAGAATCCACCATATGACTCAGCCATTCTACTCCTAGGTTTATAACCAAGAGAAATGAAAACATGCATCTACACACAAACTCGAACATGTTCATGGCAGCATTATTTGTAAAAGCCACAAACTTTTATCAAACAAACTAAATGTCAATCAACTGATGAATGGATAAACAAAAAGTGGATATACATAGAGGGGGATATTATTCAGTCTTGAATGAAGCTCTGATTTATTCTACAACATGGAGCCGTAAGGACATCATGCAAAGGGTAAGAAGCCAGTCACAAGATGAGAAATGCCATAGATTCCTCTTACATTACACATCCAGAACAGGGAAACACAGAGACAGAAAGTCGATTAGGGGTTGCTTGGGGCTAGGAATGGCAGCTGAAGGGCATGTTTTGTTTTGTTTTGTTTTTCCTGAGGTGATGCTGATGTTTTAGCTGTGTCCCCCGCCAAATCTTGAATTGTAGTTCCCATAATTCCCATGTGCCGTGGGAGGGACCCGGTGGGAGGTAACTGAATCATGGGGGCAAGTCTTTCCCATGCTGTTTTTGTGATAGTGAATAAGTCTCACAAGATCTGATGATTTTATAAAGGGCAGTTCCCCTGCACATGCTCTCTTGCCTGCTGCCATGTAGGATGTGACTTTGCTCCTCCTTTGCCTTCCACCAGGATTGTGAGGCCTCCCCAGCCACATCAAACTGTGAGTCCATTAAATCTCTTTTTCTTTAAAAATTACCCAGTCTCGGGTATGTCTTTTATTGGCAGCGGAGAATGGACTAATACAGATGCCAATATCCTAACATCGACTGTAGTGATGGCTGCATAAAGTGGAGGGTATCTTAATAAAGGTGTTACCAAAAACATCAGTATTACAGAGTGACTTTCAATTACAGTTTTGAAAATGACCAGTGCAGAGCTAGCGAAATTAATGTGTATGTTTGAGTGCATACAAAAGCCTGAAACAAAAAACAAAATGCACGGGCTAAAGGAGTAACAGGGCTGCCTTGGGGTGGGGGCCTTTTAACTTGTTTGTACAACACTGTACTAGTCTTTATGGCTGTTGCTGCAATGAGCATGTTTTACTTTTCAAAGCTAAAAACAATCACTTGTATAACATACTCATACTTCAGTCACGGCTTTTGAGGACTCTGGAAATTATCGTGGAGTCAATGAGGAAATCTTGTTTCTAATAAAATTTGAAAAGAAGACTACTTGCAAAATAAAAAGTCGTTATCAGCCTGTTCATATTTAATATTAATTTCTCTGTCCTCCAGGCAGGTACTGTTAAAACAATAGTTCCTAGAGACTAAAAACAACCGTTTGTTGTCTCATTCCTACTTCTCACTGACTGTGTGTGACACCAGTGTTCACGGGAGAATCCCCTCCCATGGTTTTCCTCCTGAATAACCATCTGTGATTTTTCTGAACTCAAATGCAACATCCCACCAGATGCTCCAGTCAAGAGCATTTAGCTGACTTTTCCTTCCATATTATCTTGAACCAGTCCAGTTTTCTCAGGTATCTAGTTTTTACTTTGAGGATGCTTCCTTATCTAAGCTTTCTCATAAAAGCTATTTCTAATATGCTTTTTTTTTCAGGGCCTTAATGTTAGTTACTGAGGCCTGAAGAACAGATCATTATTTTCTGATGCTGTGTTTTTATGATTCAGTTAAGAAAATGTGTACAAATGAGATGCACCTGCAGGTGCTAATTGCAACTTAACTATTCTAGGATGTGGGTGCAGAACAGACATTTAACTTATTTAAAGCAACTCTTTTAAGAATGGCAATGACCACAGAAATGGCCAAAAGACATCCTTAAGTATGTTTAGGGTCTAGATGTATAAACACCTGCCAGGCACTCTCATTAACGCCTTTTGGGAACAGCTCGGGCCTGCACGTGATAGGGAGTGTCCCAGGGCAAACTGGGAGGCAGAGGGCTCATCCCAGGCAACCTTCATTTACCTCTTTTCCTAGGATCTAAATCCTCCACACAAAATTCTATCCACCCCCTCCCCCATGCCCAATGCTGACTTAAAATTCAATCTACTGTTCTCCTACTCAAATTAATACTGGAATTCTTTTGCTTCTCCCGAACAAGTCCACTTGAGAGAGTTTTCCCCAAGGCATCCATAACCTCTGCTCGGCTAAATCTCACAGGCTTTTCTTTGTCCTATTAATCTCTCTGTCCATGGCCTTGAGAGTCCAGCTCCCCCCAGGTTCTGGGGCACCTCATTCTATCCCTCAACATTGGGGTTGGTGCCCTGAGGCCCTGCCCAGGCTGATCCCGTTGCCTCCTGTCCTCTCCATATGCATCTGTCTAGGCCCTAGCTCCACATACCTCTCAGACACACTCCGTGAGGCCCATGTTCAGGCCAGCCCCTTCCTGTGGCAGCCCCCATCCCATCGGGGTCATCTTCTGATGTCTTCCCTGTTGCCCTTGTGCACTTCCTTGCCCATAACTCTTATTTTCCTGAGGCAGGATCCTCATGGATCCTCTTGTATCCACTCCAGCCTAGTCCTCAAACAAGAACAGAGGCTCTTCTGAAAGCTGCAATTCCATGTGCTTTGCTGGCTCCCCTGAGCTCACAGGACACAGACAAGGATTCTTAGTGTAGCTCGGCCTCTGCCGTGCTTCCTCACTATCCACCAAACACACAGCACCCTCCCCATGCTAGGGTCCGGCTCTCTGCCTAGGCCCTGTCGACTGCCCTGCATTCCAAGGGTAGGCTATGCTCCTCATGAAAGGCACCCAGTCCCATCCTAGGTCTTCAAGGTGCTGACCACAGTTCAAATCACACCCCACGAGGAGCACAACATGCCTCCCTCCAGCCACCTGCCTTCTCTGGCTGCGACCAGCCCTGTGCAGAGCAGGTGCCTTGGACATCTGTGGGGTGACGAGGGGAACCCCCAGTTTCTGCAGAGGCCCAGGAACAGGGACCACAGGGTCTCATCGTGGATGAGGAATAAGCAGACCACCCTGCAAAGGCCTCAAGGAGTGACAGCAGAACACACCTTCTGCTGCCCCACGTGCACTCCCAAGTGCAGCACACAAGGCAGGGGGGAGGGGCTGTGGACACTCAGGAGCGGCATCTACCGAGTGCTGAGAGACTGAGGCACACAGAGGGCACCTGACTTTTCAAGGATGTGCAGCTTGGTCAAAAGAACTGGAATCTGATTCATCAAATCAGGAGAAAAGGCAGTGAGCCAGGGACTCTATGCACCTCGTTATCAACAGGAGAGAAAAGAACTCAGTTCTTGCTTTGCTGTTCAGTTTTGGGTTATTTTTAGAGTCATGGTTCTATTCAATATGAAAAATAAACCTTACATTCTATAGGAGAGAACCCACAGCAATCTCAATAAACTCTGATTGTTCCTGGTTCTTTAAAAGTAGAAAATACTCAGCCATTCTTTCTCTCCAGGTGAGTTTATAGGGTATGGCCCCCAGGCAGAGTCTATAAACTCCCAGCCTGAGGGGAGACTGCTGCATCCCACTCACCTGCTTTTCAGCAAAATGGTACTGACAAAGCTTCTTCCACAGCTGTCTGTCTTCACTAAGCATATACAACGTGGGGGTCACCTGGCCTAAGGTGATGATGTCCCATCCGTCTGAGAACCGGTATAGGATGTTGTTCAGCATGTGCAGAGGAAGGTCACTGAGGGTGAGGCCATTGTTCACTTGCTGAAAGGAAAACACAACAGCAACTCACTGAGAAGATGGCCAATGTTTGTTCACACAGTAACTGAAGAGTCAAGCTGGAATGAATGCTTCAAAACATGGTAACACAAAAAGAGCTCTCCATGTCATGCGTCGCAAGGTGTCAAGGGGCCTGCATCCACCACCGTGGGGAAGGCTGGAGGAGGAGAGCAAGAGAGGGCTGCACAGCGTGACAGAACCAGGCTGTTCCTGGGTGAGGCCCTACTGCTGCACCTCCCCATGCGACAGGTGTGCGTCAGCATCAGGAGGTCAGTACTCCTCTACTGCATCAAGACGCACCTGGAGAAGGGCAGCGTCTGTGGATGTGGCGCTGCTGCCTAGATGAATCCAATGCACCATGAGGGCAACATGACACCCATCACCAGCAGGGGGCAGGGCCTGTGCCACACCACTGGGTGGCCTGGACAGCCCCTAGGCCTTTATGGGTCACAGCTGGTCACCCCAGTGATGAGGGAGGTTGACCACATCGTCTGCAAAGCTCCTTCTAGCTTTGTGGGGTTTTTTTCTTTATTGAGGTGTAACTGATAAATGCAATCTGTCTACATTGGCAGCATGTGGTGTTCTGTGCTTGTATGCGTTATGAACCGATGGCCACAGCCCAGCTCACTGTCCATCACCTCAAGTCATAATCCTTTTATTTTTGTGGTGAGAACATGTAAGATCTACTCTTAGCAAATTTGAAGTAAAGGATGTATAATTATTAACTGCAGTCATCATGCTGTGTAGACAACCTCCACAATGGACTCCTCCTGCACTACAGAAACCTTTCACCCTCCATCCAACATCCCCCCACCTTCCAGCTTTACATTTCTATGACTTCAAGTTTACAAACCATTTCTCCCTCACACACGCCAGAGAGTAAATGCAATGCATCTGCCCTCAGAAGATACATGTGTGTGCACGTGCCAGGCTGAGGAAGGGTGGCTGTCCTTGGCCCCAAGAAGTGGGCTGAATCAGTTCAAAAACTAAACTCTGCTCTGAGGTTGACCTGAGACAGCCCTGGATTGGGTTTGAGCTCAAACTGTTTCAGACTTTTCAGGGCTCAGTTGTATCTAAATAAATCCCTTCATTCTCACTAGAAACACGTCTTCCTGACAGTGGGGTTCTGGCTGTTTGGGCGGGACAGAGGCTACCTGGTCCCGCCTCAGCTCCTGACCCCAGTCTGGGGTGGCGCTTCTGTCGTGTGCTCACCTGCGAGCTTCTGATTTGTGTTTTCCTTTTGTTCCCAATAGGTCGATGTATGTACTTGGCCACAAGGAGAGCTAGCTTCCTTCTGATGTGTCGTGGCTTTCTATAATCCTACTGCACACAAAGCACAGTGACCATCTATTTTTGGCTAGACTGAGCTAATTCCATGAGTTTGGTTCTCAAAATCACCTGACCTCTGTGGAGAGTGGAGCGTAGGGAGAGGTGACTGGGGCACCCGTGCCTTGACACCCCACTTTCTTCTCCTGCTCCCCTATAATGTCCTCGCTATGGAAGCACCTTCCTGGGACTTCAGAATGGAAACTGCTGCAGGGCCCTTCTCATGCATCCCAGTGGGCAGCACGAGCATGGACCGCCAGTGATGCACTCCAAGCCACTTCACCTCAAGCATCCTATGCATCTGCCAGACACGAGTGGGGCCTCAACACTGCTTGACAGTTTGTGAAGTGCTCTAACATTCTGGACATGAAGCTTTCATGGACTGCACTAGTGTGCTGTCCTGCCCTGTCTGTACACACGTTTTTTGCTCCTACAGCTGATGGGACCCACGCATAGGGCAGATGTCAGCCCTGTTGTAGGCTATGGAGCTGCACAGTCCAAGAGACATCACTTCCCCAGCAGCCAGCATGGTCCCCGCAGGCTCTCAGTAAACGTCTTTGCTCATTACTGACGAATGTTTGATTCAAGTCTTAGCCCATCCTTCCATCTTTATCGTCTAGCATATGGCAGAGAGCACATAGAAAAGAGAATATGGCCAGGCCGGGTGGCTCACGCCTATAATCCCAGCCACCCAGGAGGCTGAGGTGGGAGGATCACCTGAGCCCAGGAGTTAAAGGCTGCAGTGAGCTATGACTGAACCACTGCACTCCAGCCTGGGCAACAGAGCAAGACCCTATCTCAAAGACAAAAACAAAACAAAACAAAAAGATAACGTGCAAGTAAATTAACCCCTAACTAAAAGTCTAACACTCTCACAAGAATTATGTCTTCCAGGTGCTTCATTCTAATTCCTACTGAGAAAAATTTCTGTAGCAGACAGTAGTTTACAAATATTCTGCTGCTAAAATTACAAACTTTAAAGGTAGCATGAAGTGGTGGTATGAAGGTAGTACGAAGAAAAAAAATCCCGGATTAGTAGAGTTATAGAGTCTGGTGTGACAACTCAGCATTTGGGATTTCTGGCAGAGTCCAGTTTTACATCCCTGTTAATGGCTATAACAAGAGGGTGTCGCAGAAATGCCAGCACTTCTCATCCAAACGAAATCTCGAAATGTGACAAGGCACAAAAGTCTTGCTGAACATGTCAGAAATCCTGCTGCGTTTTTTGCTGCACTTCCTCCACTGATTAGCTACATGCTCTCTGCCATCATGAAATCTCTCACACCTACACTGCACTGGAAGGAAGAAACGATGCTGCTGCTTCTCTTGCTTTAGGATAGTCTCAGCTATTGCATGCAACTGTCAATGATTCCCACTTCTCTGTGGAAGCACTTCTGCTAACAGAAACTTGTGTTGCTATTATCATTCTATTTTACACAGAAAAAAAACAGAGATACAGATGAGTTGACTGGCTTGCCCAAGATCGAGGTCCAGCCTCGAGCCCAGTCTGCCTGGCCCCAAGTCCGTGTTCCCAACTGCTCTGCCCTTCTCCATGGGAGGCCCATCCCCTCAATATGTGGTGAGTCACTGAAGTCTCCCTCAATTCTTCCTTCCCTCGCACCCACTTCAAAGTCACCAGTCTACTCTTTTGCTCAAGTATCCCCAAGTTCATTCTTCCCATTTCACTGTCACTGCTCATGAATGCAATGAGGGTTTACTTCCCTCCAACCTGGCTGGTCCCTGCCTGGCACTGAAGGGGACCTCTAAACAAGGACCTTTCAATGACCCTTGGCAGAGAGCAGCAAAGGCTCTGCAATGCCCACAAAGCCCTGAGTCTGGTCCTAATCCCCTGCACCTTCCTCCAAGCAGTCCACACATTTGGCATAACACACTTTATTAGCCCCTGGATGCGGAAGTTCCCATACCTTCTCACAGGAGTCAATTCTGCAACTTCTGGGAATTTCGTTAGCCAGTTTACTTTTTGTTGGTGGCTTGAAGTCAGTCATAGTGGGAAGCTGACAAAGGCTACAAATCAAACCTCTTGCCCCTGGAGAGCCAGTTGTTAAGCACTGACCAGGAGGCCATCACCTGGATACTCTCCCCTCATTCTTTGTTTTCTTTTTCTTTTTCTTTTTTTGAGATGGAGTCTCCCTCTGTCACCCAGGCTGGAGTGCAGTGGTGTGATCTCAGTTCACTGCAACCTCTGCTTCCTGGGTTCAAGCAATTCTCCTGCCTCAGCCTCCCAAGTAGCTGGGACCACAGGCACGTCCCACCACGCCCGGCTAATTTTTTGTATTTTTAGTAGAGATGGGATTTCACCGTGTTAGCCAGCATGGTCTCTATCTCTTGACCTTGTGATCTGCCCACCTCGGCCTCCCAAAGTGCTGGGACTACTGGCGTGAGCCATCGCGCCCGGCCCATTCTTTAAGCTCCACCTAAAACATCACATCACTTGTGAACCAATGTAATGTCAACAGCCCTGTGTGCATATCTGTTATAACACCCCACTGAGTTCTGTGACACATCATGTGCTCATCTCCCTGGGTCCCTCGGAGGCCCCATGCTAAAGGCTACGCCTGCTGATCCATGTGTCCCACCTCATGATGGGCCCAGCGAGCACATGGGGGCATCTAGGAAGTGCTGACGGGGTGAGGAAGCATGTGAACACATACCTGTGTGCCTGCTCTCACTGAGTCACAGAGATGTGCACATGAAAGCACTTCCAATTCATTAGCACTGCCATATCTTCAAATGCAGCTTAAACAGCAAAGTATATTTGTTTCACAAGAAAAAAAATTTCTGATGTTCTTAGGAACTTTACAACACAAATATATACTAAATTTCTGCTTACTTTTGGGACTATGAGTATTTAGATTTAAGGGGTGTCGAGGTATTTCTTTTTTGAGACGGAGTTTCACTCTTGTCGCCCACGCTGGAGTGCAATGGCACGATCTCGGCTCACTGCAACCTCCACCTCCCGGGTTCAAGCAAATCCCCTGCCTTAGCCTCCCGAGTAGCTGTGACTACAGGTACCTGCCACCACACCTGGCCAATTTTTGTATTTTTAGTAAAGACAGCGTTTCACCATGCTGGCCAGGCTGGTCTCGAACTCCTGACCTCAGGTGATCCACCTGACTTGGCCTCCCAAAGTGGCTGGGATTACAGGTGTGGGCCACCGCGCCCGGCCAGGGGTGTCAAGGTATTTCTTGTTGGGATAATCTAGAAGACAAAGACAACTGTCAGCTCACTGGAGAAAGCTGGCCCTATATCCTGAGGCTGACATGGCGGAACTTCAGGCGGTGTGCTTGGACTTCCACTCTCAGGGATCCGGGAAGGCTCTCAGCTGCTCTGTTCTAACCCCATCTGCTTGAGTCACCTCAAAATTCACGTGAATAAGCGGGAGGCAGCAATCCAGCATCAGCCAGCAGGTCAGGAGACCAGGTCTTTACCTTAAGCAGCCTTAGACCAATTTGGCTGACTGAGTCCGGCATCTACAAATGCAGCTCAGTTAACTGAGCTGGTAAAGTGCTCTTTCTACTGGTTTCAAGTAACATTCCCAGAAAGGTAAAACTCCTCTGGCCAACTCCTACAAGGGAACCTGACCCTCCTCGAGGCTAGAAGCAGGGCACAGGGTCCAGAAGCCAAGATCCTCACAGAGGCACATGCCAAGCTGCGTGCTCCAGAGAGCACCCAGGGACTCAGGTGAAGAGATGCCAGGCAGCATGCAACCACTAATGAAAGAGAAGAAACAAGTTCAAGGTCTCTGATGGTAAGATTTGAGTGGACATGACGAAAACTGGCACCTTTGTGTTATCATCAGCGCTTTCTTATTCCCCAAAGATTAAACATTAATTTCATTTTTGTACCTTATTTTTCCCACTTGATCAAAATGGCACTACAGTAACACCTATCCTTCTGTGCTGAGGCAGAGAGGTATTGCCACGTAAGTGTGCTCTGCCTACCAGGGCTGTAAGAACCATCCCGGGCCAAAAGCAGAGTGTCTTCCTTCACTGGCTATGGTCAGCACTGAGTGGGGCAAGCTGGGGCCACATGCACTATTATCCCTCAGCCCGTGCCTCTCCCAGGTAGTATGAATGGAAAGAAGATCCAGAAGGAAGCTCAGCATACAGCCATGCCTTCCTGCTCTGTCTCGGCCCACCCAGTCAAAGATGCAAGCTTGTCCCTTGCTTTCTCCTTTCTCTCCTCTTGGTGAGGTGTGGCCCAATCCTTGGAGCTTCGCTGTTGTCTCCACCGGTGCACATCTCTCCACTGGCTCCACATCTCTCTCCAAAGAATGCAGAGCCACTAATCCTACCTGGAACTTCCCAGCCAGACAAGAAAGGCTGCTTCCTGGTCTGGTGTTTGGCCTTTCCCAAACACCCCCTTCCTTGGGATCCTGACCATGAAAACCCACCATGGACAAGGACACACCCTATTCTCTCCCCAGAAGGTCACCTGCTGAACATCACTACCACGGATCTGCCTCATCAGGAGAAAGGGGACTTTGGCCATGTGGCCTCGCCACTCATGTTAGGACTTCTACAGCAAGCCCCATGCCATGCATAAGTGTCTTACAGATGGACTTTTAGCACAACCCACCTATGCATGGGGAACGCAGTAAAAGAGGCAGCGAAGAGCCAGCCTGTGCAAAGCTTTGAATGACTGTAGGGTCACACCAAGACAACAACAGAACAAAGAATCCAACGTTTATAACAAACTTGCTTAACTCTTACTGACGCTGAATGTTACATTATTAAGGATAATTTCAGACTCATAACTAGGCAATCATCACTCTTTTTGTAAATCCCATATTTAGATGGCAAATAAACAGCCAAAAGTTAAGGCATTCAAAGGGCACTTGAAAACCATTCCTTTATGTGAAAACTGGGGTGCTGTGATAAAAGGTAACTAGGATCTTAGCAGTGCAATCTGCAGAATCATTTATACCACCAAGGCTACGTAAGGCACACCGCTAAGATATATCTTCGGTTTATTCTTTTTCTTATGAGTACTAGAGTTAAATAAAACACTATCTAAATACTCGGGGCAATGGTGTTAACATTATTCTTGTTGAAACTAGTTACCAGAATAAAGAAAAAATATCAAAAAAACTGACATGATTTGCACCTTCTTTTGGCCTTGTTCACTGTTGCTAAGAACTATAAACACATCCCCAAAAAAGACAGCAAGGAAGAAGACAAAAAGTTACTAACTTGGGAGAAGCAACAACTAAATAAATAGAGAATTACTGGCAACACAATTTAGCCTTAATTTACTGAATGTTATTCTAATAACTGAAATATTCAGTTTCCCATGAAGGTAAATTTATTTACATCTAATCACCCATAGGATCAGCCTGGTTTGATGATTGCTATTCCCACTGTCTTTCCAATAGCAACTATAAGCCATTGGGGTCTTTGGTCCTTTTCTATTTTAAAACAATTTAATGAATACTTATGAAAGCATTAGAAAATCTTTCAAAAAGCTATAGCAGTCTTTCATGTATGCTTAGAAAAGATAACTTCTGTAATATAAAAACAGAGTGTAATAACTCTTATGCCGAGATATTTATACCTTAGTCATCTGAAGATCCTGTAGCTGTTGTTGCCAGGCGAGAATAGTTTCTAATCGGCAAATCCAAATATTGATGTTTCCCACTAATACAGACTTCCCTACTCCTCTAATAAGAATGCAGAGGGTAGAGCTTAGGTCTTGCAGAAGATCTTTGATTAAGCGAGGATTGTGGTGGTCATCAAGAACTGGAATAAATAAAAATAAAACTATGGATTGATACAGTTAAGCAACACTTTAAAAAAAGATCTAGTTTCATAACCCAAATGTCCACTGATAGACGAACAGACAAACAACGTGTGATCTATACATGCAATAGAATATTATTCAGCCCTAAAAAGGAGGGAAATTCTCACACATATTCAGCATGGATGAACCCTGAAGACATTATGCAAAGTGAAATAAGCTAGCTACAAAAGGACAAATATATATCTCCACTTACATGAGGCACCCACTTACATAAGGCACTTACATGAGTAGTCAAACTCGTAGAGACAGAAAGTAGAATGATAATTACCAGGGGCTGGTGGGGAGGAGGAATGGGGACTCAGTGTTTAAGGTGGTATGAGTTTCAGTTTGGGACAATGAAGAGGTTCTGGAGATGACTGGTGGTGATGGGTGCACAGTAATATACACACACTTAATGCCGCTGAACTGTATGCTTAAAAACTGCTAAAATGGTAAATTTTATGTAATGTGTATTTTACCACAATAAAAAGATGTAATTTCACTGCAACCCAAAAGTGACATCATTTTTGAGATATCACAAATATGAGATTTCTTAAAACTTTAAAATTTTATCTGATAAATTTTCAGTTGGGTCTACAATTTTGCCTTAAAAATGGTCAGTTTACACGTTCTTTTGTACTTATCATAAAGAGGCTACTTTAAAATGGCTTAAATATAGAGTCATATATTCCTATGCATGTATAAAGTCATGGTGTGAAATTTAAAGTTCCATTTACTAACAGCCAGTAACTTATCAAGGCAAGCTCATTAAATTAGAAAGAAAATTATTGGCTTATCTGATGCCTAAGTGAGTAAGTCACAATCCTGCTAATTTTGGAAGCATACATCTAAAATGAACTGTGATTAGCTAACCATGAAAAAGTAAAATAGCTTTTTTAAGTTGTGTGATTAGTTATTTTTCCTAATATATCCATTTGTATGCAAAAGCAACTTTAAAAAAGTAAACGGCAGTAACAGAACACTGGGAACTGGAAGGATGACCTGTATTTCTGATGTTATCACATTATTTACACAATTGTTTTTGACAGTATGTGTACTGGGTAAAGATAAAAGAAAAATCCCATCTCCTTGCACCAAATTTCTAATTAAGATTTAGAGTATTAAAAATACAGTGATCATCTTACCCTTTTGAACGATTTTATCCAAAATGTTGAAGTAATTCTTCTGTGCCACGCCACTCAATGAAGTTAACTGGGATTTTGCAATTAGCTGCAACAGCTTAAAGGAAAGACGGAAAAAAGCTGAGCGATATATATATTTAATATGGAATTACAAACCACAGTGATATAACACACATGCATGAAGATTTCTAACATGCCATCCTAAATTAAGTCACTGTATCAGTCCGAGTCCAAGTATAGGAAACAGTCACTACCCATGCAAACCTGAAGAGACCTTCATACAAGGGAGCTGAGGCAGCCGCAGCCTACAGCTCTGTCTTCTAGTCTTGCAGGCTATTCATTTAGTTAGTGGAAGCATATCTCCTCCCGGAGCCCAGGCTGCAAGAGTCTGAAATGGAGCTTTTAGCTTTCCAGCCTCTGTAGCAAAAGGGCACACCAGAAAGAGGCTAGAATGAATGGTTGGGCACTAACAAGTATTTTCACAACCTAAGCCCATACTCGCAGTTGTTTGCTGAACAGACAATCAGAAAATCAAACAGCCCTTCCATGTAGAAATTAAAAAGGAAACACAACACCAAAACTCATTGTTAAATACCATTTTGTATTTAAAAACTCATTATTAAATAGCAAATAAATTGCACTAAAATACAAAATTGTAGAATTTGTATTCTGGGAAGCCACAGTAACAAATCCCTGTGACAGAACCCACGAAGTAGAGGTCTCCTGTGGGAATGATGACCGAGGCCCTCGCCGCTGCTCCACCTGCCCCTCCAGGGATGCCCTGCTTTTCCAGTTACCCCTACTCTGATGTGCATCATGGCAGGAAAAAGTGGGCTGCTGCTTTCCTTTAATGCTTTTTGTCCCACTTTATTTTTTACTTTTCCCTAGTGTATCTTTTCATTCTTTTATTTTCAACTTTTGTAAATCTCTGTTTTAGGTGTGCTTCTTACGTACAACTTGGAGTTGGGTTTCACTTTTTGATTCAATCTGAAATCTTTTACTTTTACCAGCCTTCAGGTTATGTGTATAAAGTTATGTGTTTACATGTATAGACACAGCATGTTTGGTCTTAATTTTATGACATGTTTTTGTAGCTTTTTGAAAAACTTTGCGTTCTCTCTGTAGTTCTTCTGAAATTTAGAAATGTTTGCACTATTTTGTACTAGGGGTTACTTTTGGAATTTTAACTCTATGTAATTCCCTCTCCTTCGGAATCCTCATACAACACATCTTAGCCTGTTAGTTTACTGTTCCACATTGTGATAAAACTGCCATTCATCTTGCTCCTTCTTCCTTCCATCCCTCTCCTCTACAACTTGATTTTAGTGAATAACATCTTAGTGCCTCCCTGTGATTACAGGTGAGACAGTCAACAAACCTCTAACCACCGACCTTTTCTCCTCTGCCCTCCACTCACACTCTGCTCCGTCACCCTCAGCCACACAGCTGATGCTGCAGAGATTCACTGACATCCAGTCCGATGGACACTGTTTCTCCAGCCGAAACTGCTCATGAGAACAGTAAGTATTCCCTGAGTTCTCACATGATCAATACTGTTTGTTTGCAGACTGGATACAAAAGATGGTTTGACTGGACATAAAATTCATGGGCCATCCTTTCTTCCTGGAGGATCCCATAAGTAAGGATTACTCCACTATCTGAAGAATTTGGAGAAATTTGAAGCCACCCTGATCTTTTCCCTCAGTAAGAGACGACATGTTTGTTCAGCCATTGGGAGGTTCTTGCTTCATCTTCAGAGTTTAATAATTCCTGTAGGATATGGCACACTCATAACCTGTTCTCAGTCAACCTTCCCCAGCATAAAATTTGCCCTCTCACAATGTACACTTCCATCTATTTTTACCTGAGCAGAATTTTCCTGAACATTATCTTTAAATATTTGTTCTGTCCTTTTGTTTTGTTTTCCTGTTTGAAGATTCCAGTGATAAATATGCTGGAACCCCTCTCCCTGTTCTCTTCAGCTGTAATTTTCTTTCTAGTTCCTTTTAAACTCATGATTACGGTTTCATTCTTATTAATTTTCTCATTCGTATTATTTCCATCACCTTTTTTGTGTTTCCCAAAACATCTCTGTCTTCTCCTGGGCCCTTCCAATCCCACCTTCGCCTCTGTGGTGGTTCTCCCGGCTGCTGCCATCCTTTCTTCTGCCAACTTGACTTTGTCTCCTGCTGTCTCACTTGGTTGTACAGGTTGAGCATCCCTAATTCCAAAATCCAGAATCCTCCAAACTCTGGAACTTTTTGAGCATGGACATGATGCCACAAGTGGAAAATTCCATACTTGACCTCATGTGATGGGTTGCACAAAATTATTAAAAATACTGTATAAAATTACCTTCAGGTAATATGTATAAGGTGTATGTGAAACATACATGAATTTCATGTTTAGGCTTGTATCCCAGCCCCAAGTTATCTCATTATGTATATGTAAATATTACAAAATCTGAAAAAATCCAAAATCTAAAACACTTCCAGTTCTAAGCATTTGGGATTAAGGGATACTCAACCTCATTAAAATCTCTTTTCTGTTTTGTCGCATTCCTGCACTGGGATCTCCTGCCACAGAACTCCTTCATGAGTTTCCTGTTTTTTTCATTTATGATGAACTGTCTGCTCATGATTCCATCCTGCTTCACAGACAATTTCCTTAGAGAATATCCATGCGGTGACGGTCACCTTCTCTAACAGGCATTTCAGAGTGAGGTGGGACTTCCTAGGGCACCTGTTTTGCAGATGCCCTCAGGGTTGGGGGAAGGGCAGCTTCCAGCCTTCCCAGTTCCACCACTCTCTCCCCCAGCCGCTACCTGCATGTATGTGAATCCCTGGGAGACCCCACAGCCCATGTCCCTGAGTAAAACTGGATCCAGGAAGCCCTTTGCTGTCAGTGGTCCTCCCTGGAACTTCTGCACTCTGCAAGCTGGAGTTGAACATCTGCGACTCAGCCTCTCAGTGCACAGGGTATGTGGGGCTCGACTTCTAGACCTGGCCCTGACGAGTGCTTTTGTTAGCCTAAGCCCTTCTGCTCAGTTCCGCCTATAGTATCACTGCCCAGGCTTAGCTGCTTTTGGTAAGCCTCATGCACATTTTAGAGTCTGTGAATTGCATCTGCCTCTTATTTCTCTGAAAATGGAGTTTTTTCATCCCTTCCTTCCAATTCTCCTTCCAGCCTTTCTTGATTTCCAGAATGAGAAATCACTAAGTCACATACTGAGCCACAAATAACATTATAAATGTGACAATTACATGATAATCTTTGGGGGAAAAAACATTCTGTGATTTCTAACATATTTACATAAAAATATCTTACACTAAAACACACCAGTTGAGGGCACTGGCCAGAGATAAGATCAGGTTAGGCCAAGCAAAGCTGAGAAGACCAATGTTAAAATTTCAATCCTGTTCCTTTATCTTTTCAAATTAACTGAATATTGTTATTAAATTCCTTGTTTTAGTGTTGAATAGCACCCCTTTTCCCTGCCTCACTTTAGAATCAATTTAGAGACAAAGGATTCAGGCCAACTGAGGTTATCAGCATTATCGCTAATAATAGCTGGACTGGCGGATGCGATTCAGATTCACACAACAATGGATTTCCTAATCTGAATCCTAGACTGAGATGAAGCCAGCCAGCCGTAAGCACTGCTTAATAACCAAAGCCTCCCCAGATAGGCTTCTTGCCCTACAGCACTAAGACATGAAAGAAACAGACCAAAATGTACAAATATCTTTTATTCCTCAAAGGAAAAAGAAGAGTTACACATGCCTGTTTCTCACCAATAAGAGGGGTCAGGGCAGAGTGAGTCTGGGAGAGAGAGTTCTACCACCACGGTTCCCAAAGCATCGTCTAGGGGCCTGTTAGGGGAGCCCGAGGTCTAAACTATTTCCACAGTTTCACTAAGATATGATTTTCCTTTTCCATCCTCACATTCGTTAGTGTGCAGTGAAGTGCTCCAGAGGCCCCAGCATGCTACATTACAGAAGACTGAACTCAGGAGAGATGAGGAATAATCCCCTCCATCCCACCAGACACCAGGAGGGTGTGCCAAGGTGTGAGACATACAGTCCGACATGCTACATTATGGAAGACTGAACTCAGGAGCAGAGATGAGGAATAATCCCCTCCATCACACCAGACACCAGGAGGGTGCCAAGGTGTGAGACATACAGTCCTTACTGTTTTTTTGTTTTGTTTTGTGAGACGGAGTTTCACTCTTGTCCCCCAGGCTGGAGTGCAATGGCGCGATCTCGGCTCACTGCAACCTCTGCTTCCTGGGTTCAAGCGATTCTCTAGCCTCAGCTTCCCCAGTAGCTGGCATTATAGGTGCATGCCACCATGCCCGGTAGTTTTCTGTATGCCTGGCTAAGTTCTGTATTTTTAGTAGAGACAGGTTTCACCATGTTGGCCAGGCTGGTCTCAAACTCCTGATCTCAGGTGATCCGCCCACCTCGGCCTCCCAAAGTGCTGGGATTATAGGCGTGAGCCACTGCACCCAGCCCAGTCCTTACTTTTAAATAAATGGAGAAATATTTTTAAAAGTGTTTTAATTTCTAATGTGGCAAACATTAATAGATATAACTCACATGACCAAAATCTCTTTGGGGTCCTCAGTAATTTTAAAAAGTGAAAAGGACCCCTGAGACAACATTTGGGTTTGGAACTGCTGCTCCACTAGGGGAAGAAATACCAGAACAGAGAATATGTGTTCCCTGGGAGATAAGGTCTTCCCGACTACCTCCCCTCCTATCATCGAAATAAGTTTTCTACATTTCTTTAATATCATGTTTTAAAATTCCTTTTAAAAAGACTGAAATCAGCAGCAGAAGGCAAGGGATTAGCTTAGCACGGTCAGTTTAGACTAGTTACCCACAGAGGACTACAGAATGGACATCACGAGGCATAGGTAAGCATAGAGGTGAGAAGGGCCGTGTTCACAGTTGACAAGATTACATTTCAGGTTAAACTGGTAATTAAGATAACAGGGCGAAAGACAATTAACAAAGAAACTGTAATCATTCATAAGCCTCTAATTAGCCATAAAGCAAAGTCTGTTGGGAATTTAATGAACATTTGTTAAAAACACAAATATTGTAGGAAGTTTTTTATACAGTCATGGGTCGCTTAACAAGGGGGATACAATCTGATCCGAGAAACGCATTGCTAGGTAATTTCCTCACTGTGTGAACATCACAGAGTGTATTACACAACACCTACACAGCTAGGCTACAGACCTATACAACATATTAATGCACTGAACAGCAACTGTAACATAATGGCAAGTATCTGTATATCTAAATATATCTAAACATAGGAAAGGTACAGTAAAAAAAGGAAATAATCTTATGTGGCCACGACACTACACGCGGTCGGTCATTGACCAAAACATCGTTATGTAGTGCATGACTGCGTATCTCCTCAAATCTGACAATTCTAAACAAGTAAAGATGTGGAAGAATTAGATAAAGAGAAAGAAAGTACATCCTTCAAATAGAGAATCTGTATTTTTTTTCACACATCAATAGAATATTTATAAAAATCAATTATAAAGAAGGCCACAAAGGAAAACTTAATCATTTCAAAGAATTAGAGATCTTAAAGGCCAAACTCTCTGGTGGTAATATAATAAAACTAGAATCCAATAAAGTTAAATAAAATCACAGCTATTTGAAATTCGAGGTCCACTCCTGAACACCCTTGGATCTGGGAGTAAATTGGCACTGCATGTGTGCCTGTGCTCCTGAAGGGCCTCACATACATGGGGAAGGGCAGAGAAAGAGAAACAACAACATCCACTACCTCTATTTTTAAAGTCAGCCTTACTACAAAATACAGAAAGTATTCTTCACTGGGCAGACCAAATCAACTTTGCTCAATCTTCGCCTTTGGGTTCCTTCAGATTTATAATGAACTGTAAGCATTTACTGAGTGATTATTAGAAAGGCACCATCTGAAGTACCTGATGCCCTTTCAATGCTGTAATGCCCCTGTGAGGTAGGTCTTACTATTATCCCTGCTCTAGAGATGAGAAAACTGAGGCAGGGAGAGATGAAGAAGCTGGCCCCAAGGCCACAGCACTGAGGAGGGAGGGGCCAGACCTGAAGAGCAGGGGGATCCCACAATCTGTGCTTGTGCCTTCCTGCTCTGCTGCTTCCCAGCTAGCCTGTGTGCTGGACACAGCCCTCAGTGATCTCAACTTTGATTATCTAATTTTAAAAAGACTTCTCAAGTTTATTGTCTTTTACAAAAAAGGGATGTAATCTAGCAAGCCAAAGCAGAACCAAGCAGACTTTGTAGTTTTCATCAATTTTCTGGACGCTCCAGCCACTTTCCTCAGGTCCTTTAGCAATGTGTGGACTGCCCGCCCACCGCTGCCCCGAGGTAGGGAAGCACCACACTACAACCTCATGCAGGCTGGATTAAAACATGCCCTCCACTTCAGGCTTAGGAACCAGCGCCCCTCCTACAGCTCACAAGTTGCTCAAGCAGTGGTCTGTGAGAAGTCATTCTATTTTTGGGGTTGTCCCTTTTCTCTGCTTTTCTTGGGAACCATTTTGACTCTGTCAAATGTTCACTGACTTCTAGCACTGGCAGAAAGAACGTCTGCTTTTTTATCTGAAACTAAACTGTTACACAACTTATAATTTTATTTTGGTAAAAGCATTCTTAGTTGCTGTGTTTAGTCATACTCTACAAATTATCTTGTTGGTAGGATAAATATGGTGAGAATTAAAGAAAAATGAAGATGGTAGTGGATATTTGCAGACTATTATCAATACCGGCATTTCAAACTTCCAATATAATTCGGATACTTGCCTGGAGGACAAACTTTTTTTGGCATGCCGTATAATGAGGAGCCTTATATTCCCAGTGTGCTCAAACTGCCCTGACACCACCTATCCACCGTCGTCAGCAATCTATGTTCAATTTTTCTTAAAAACATCAGTTACAAGGTCAAATTTAATTCAACTGAGGTCAGACTCTCAGCGGAGCTGAGGAGCACTTCCTTCAATGGAAATGGCCATTTCTGAGTGGTGACAACACTGTCATTTCTTGGACCTTCTTTAACAAATCTGTTCTCAGGAGCGTTAACATACTTTGCTAATACACTTTAATCCGGCATTTTTATGGGGGTAATTATAGGAAATGCCTGGAATTAAATAGCCTACAACCAATTCTTGGATCGACAATTAGGAAAACTGAAAAATATACATGTAAATATATCTTTTTCTGTATAAGAAAAGTCTTGCTTAGGAAATTAGAAGATATCTTTGTGTAGAATCTTTTTATAAAGTGGAAATAGGCTGGGCAGGGTGGCTAACGCCTGAAATCCTAGCACTTTGGGAGGCCGAGGCAGCCAGATCACCTGAGGTCAGGAGTTCAAGACCAGCCTGACCCATACGGCAAAACCCCCTCTCTACTAAAATTACAAAAATTAGCCAGGCGTGGTGGCAGGTGCCTGAAATCCCAGCTACTCGGGAAGCTGAGGCAGGAGAATCGCTTGAACCCGGGGGGCGGAAGTTGCAGTGGGCCAAGATTATGCCACTGCACTCCAGCCTGGGCGACAAAGCGACTCTGTCTCAGAAAAATACAAAATAAAAAACTAAAGTGGAAATAACTTCCTCTGCTTCTTTCTAACTATGCAGTTTGCTTGAAGAAAAAAAAAAGTAACCTGTAGGTGCAGTACAACTATCAGCAAAAATGTAATTATCTTAGAGTATCTTAATAGTTCCTACTTCAAGTAGAACTTATGAAGGAGTTTAACTGTGGTAAAAAAAAAAAAATAATTGGAGTAACTTAAAAACATTTATGTATACAATAGTTGGTTTGTATGCTCAGTCACTCATTCATTTTAGGAATAACAAGTGCCTACTACTTGCCAGGTGCTTGGGATATAGCAGGGCCTACTGAATAAATTATTATACAACAGTAAATTAGCATTGGATTGTGTTGCTTAAAACAACACTCACCAGAGCAAACAAAAGCCTGATTAGCAATATGATCTGAAATTTTAAAAACAGCCCTTTTCAACAGTTCCATCTAATTTGCCAGGTCATTATTTTATAATGTCATGTGGGATTGCTGGGTCAAATAGTATCTCTGGTTCTAGATCCTTGAGGAATCACCACACTGTCTTCCACAGTGGTTGAACTTATACTCCCACCAACAGTGTAAAAGCATTCCTATTTCTCCACGTCCTCTCCAGCATCTGTTGTTTCCTGACTTTTTAATGATAGCCATCCTAACTGGTGTGAGATGGTATGTCATTGTGGTTTTGATTTGCATTTCTCTAATGACCAGAGATGAGCTTTTCTTCATGTTTGTTGGCTGCATAAATTTCTTGTTTTGAGAAGTGTCTGTTCATATCCTTTACCCACTTTTTGATGGGGTTGTTTTTTTCTTGTAAATTTGTTTAAGTTCTTTGTAGATTCTGGATGTTAGCCCTTTGTCAGATGGATAGATTGCAAAAATTTTCTCCCATTCTGTAGGTTGCCTCTTCGCTGTGATAACAGTTTCTTTTGCTATGCAGAAGCTTTTTAGTTTAATTAGATCCCATTTGTCAATTTTGGCTTTTGTTGCCATTGCTTTTGGTGTTTTAGACATCAAGTCTTTGCCCATGCCTATGTCCTGAATGGTACTGCCTAGCTTTTCTTGTAGGGTTTTTATGGTTTTAGGTCTTATGTTTAAGTCTTTAATCCATCTTGAGTTAATTTTTGTATAAAGGTGTAAGGAAGCGGTCCAGTTTCAGTTTTTTGCATATGGCTAGCCAGTTTTTCCAACACCATTTATTAAATAGGGAATCCTTTAGCCATTGCTTGTTTTTGTCAGGTTTGTGAAAGATCAGATGGTTGTAGACGTGTGGCGTTATTTCTGAGGCCTCTGTTCTGTTCCATTGGTCTATATATCTGTTTTGGTACCAGTATCATGCTGTTTTGGTTACTGTAGCCTTGTAATATAGTCTGAAGTCAGGTAGTATGATGAAAAGATTATAAATCATTCTACTATAAAGACACACGCACACGTATGTTTATTGCAGCACTGTTCACAATAGCAAAGACTTGGAACCAACCCAAATGCCCATCAGTGATAGACTGGATAAAGGAAATGTGGCACATATACACCATGGAATACTATGCAGTCATAAAAAAGGATGAGTTCATGTCCTTTGCAAGGACATGGATGAAACTGGAAACCATTATTCTCAGCAAACTAACACGAGAACAGAAAACCAAACACCACATGTTCTTATTCATAAGTGGGAGCTGAACAATGAGAACACATGGGCACAGGGAGGGGAACATCACACACCAGGGCCTGTCGGGGGGTGGGGGGCTAGGGGACAGATAGCATTAGGAGAAATACCTAATGTAGATGACGGGTTGATGGGTGCAGCAAACCACCATGGCATGTGTATACCTATGTAACAAACCTGCACATTGAGCACATGTATACCAGAACTTAAAGTATAATTTAAAAAATTTAAAAAAAAGTCATATGACGCATTTAAGAAAGTCACTTAATTTACATCAGAGGAAAATCAAAGTTTATAGACTTAGGAAATAAAGTCGTAATGAAAAAGCTCTTCACGGCTGTCAGGACAGCTACGTTTTTGGTCTCTGTCCTTGACTCCATTGTGACCTTCAGCCCATCTCTCTGGGCCCCATTTTCTTGTCTTTACCTCTTGGGTCATAAATGGATCTCCATGCAGCTGTCATCCCTCTGCCTAAATCCTCCTCAAAAGAAAATCAAAATAGTGGCTAACACAGAGTACAGACTGTTCCAAGAGCTTCCTATGATGGAACTAATCTAATCTTTCTAACAGTGCTCTGAGGTAGATGCTAAAATCTACCAGATACTATGGATGTGATGATGAAGTCATATGCTTGAGATCCCTGAGTAAATAAATAAGAAAGAGACAGAATTCCAACAACGGCTGTGTGGCTGCAGAGCCTCTCTCCCTCCCTGCCTCACCCTCGAGTCCCCGCCTGGGAGGGCTCAGGGTCACTCACTAAGCATCTTTCCCATGCGCTGCTGTGAGGCTGCTGCTATTAAGTTGCTACTATGGAGTAGTCATTAGTAGAAATTATGAAAAAATTTGAAAAAAAATCTTCATATAGCCAGAGATTCTAGCCTGAGATGTCTTTCCTTATTTGCTTATTATTATTTGTAAAAACAGGGTCTCCCTATGTTGCCCAGGCTGGCCTCAAACTCCTGGGCTCAAGTTATCCTCCTGCCTCAGCCTCCCAAAGTGCTGGGATTGCAGGCATGAGTCACCGCACCTGGCCACCTTTCCACATTTAAGAGATCCTTGGGATACTGAGAAGCAGGAGTCCATCTCCAGACATGAGGAGCAGGTGGGCTAAAGGAAACAGGACTGGGGAGTCTTGGAGGGGCAGAGCAATGCCCAGGGACACAGAAACTTTTGAATAAAGATAAGAGAGACCGACTCTTCGCCTACATCTAAAGCAAATGAAAACATAAAAATAAATGATGGCAAGAAACTAAACTAAAAATACAGTACCCCTGGAAGTATGTGACACTGGATGTGCTATCTAATTGGTCCACCACAGGCAGAGAATGAAGTACTTCAGATAATTTATCAAATAACCAAAATTAGATATATAAACTTTACGATTCTGAAAACTTTTTTCCTACAGATGTGTGTACTTTAGGAAACAGAGCATATTTAACATTTTTATAAATTTCAGTTGCACACCGTGCAGCTTTCAGGAAGCTTTCACGCCGTGCACTGCCCTGCATGGACCTCCCAAGCCTCGGGCTGTTCGTGCCTGGCTGTCAGAAGCCACCTCCTGGCTGCCAGAGGGGCGAGGGGGCAGGCTGTTCTTCTCAGTGCTATAAGCAAGCCCAGGACTCCAAGGGAATGATAACAAATGTGTAAAAACCACAGTCACATTAACCTATAGGATCAGGACCCAGTTCTACTTCCTCCAGACAGCTTTTGGGTACTGGTCTCCCTCTCTGTGTTTACAGCTGTCCTGGGTTTGCTGGGCACCTCTGAGTTCATGGAAGTGCAGCTCCTCACTGCAGTTGGGACACACTTACTCCACTTTGACAAAGGGGGTGTTGTTTTCAGCAGTGGGTGAACAGCAGTGAACAAACCAAGCCCCTGCTCCTGGGGCTCAACTGGGATGGGGACGCAGACAACTTAAACACGTGGCCACTGGCACACCTAAGGGCCAGGGAATGCTGCTGACATGATGGGGGCGGTGAGGCCAAGGTCCCAGCCAGGTAGGCTTGAGTTGGTATTGCCACAACCCTGTGATCACTGGCAAAGAAGATTTCATGGTGGGAGTGTGACTAGAACTGGATTTCAAAGTTTCTTGAAAGTTAGAAAAGCCAAGGTACGTTGATCTGCACACAGGAGGTGCTCAGCGATGCCAGCACTGATGGGCTCCTCCTGCCTTGAGTGAAGAGCATCTGCCCCTGGACAGTGAACAAAAGGTGGGGCCATTTTATGCCTCCAACAGGACATCTGGCTCAAACTCAACTTCAAAGATTAGAGTAAAAACGAAACTTCCATTCCAAACTACTTAACTTTATTTTGGCAACTGGAAGAATCTGTAATTGAACACTAAATTCTACTACTAACTTTTATCCTAAGACTGTGTAGTAATTATTGATTAGTCTCAGTTTAAAATTGCTGTTTAGATGGAAAAAATGATTTTACATAAAACATTAGTTGAAAGATACAGGCTGGGCATGGTGGCTCACACCTGTAATCCTAGCACTTTGGGAGGCCGAGGCAGGTGGATCACTTGAGGTCAGGAGTTCAAGACGAGCCTGGCCAAAATGGCGAAACCCCATCTCTACTAAAAATACAAAAAAGAATTAGCCAGGCATCGTGGTGCATGCCTGTAATCCCAGCTACTCAGGAGGCTGAGGCAGGAGAATCACTGGAACCCAGGAATCAGAGGTTGCAGTGAGCAGAGATCGTGCCACTGCACTCCACCCTGGGCAACAGAGTGAGACTCCATCTAAAAAAAAAAAAAAGATACACATTAAGTTTTTCACACAAATTCTTAAGGGCAGATATTACTAAATGCCATTAGAAAAAAAGGAAACCTTTTATCAAGCATTTTAAAAAAATGCTTCTACATTTCTTATTTATAGGTATTCTAATAATACTGAGTGACATTATGGACAACTTAGACTAAATTATGGAAAATCAAATTATTTAGTAGAACTACAAGACAATCCTCTCAGTTGTTGTAGTAAGTGTTGCCATAAACATTTAAAACAGCAAAAAAATACCAAATACCTGCACAGTATGTATGATAAATGCATACGATAAAGTAAAAAAAAAAAAAAAATAGCACACACTGAAAGAAAGCCAACAGAAGAGGGCACTGGGCATGGGCCAGGGAGGTTAAGAATTGGGATGGGGACATGGAGGAGCCCAATCCAAGGCAAGACACAGGCTCAGGCTTTACCACAGTCACAAAGGCTGCTTCTTGTTTTTGTTTTTAGCAGAAGGTAAGCATGAGCAAATCACTTTTTAGAGGTAACTTTGCTGGACTTGTGAAGAATGGTGTGCAAGGTCCAGAGCGACTTCAGGAGAGGGAAGGTGGGATTCCCACAGAGCAGGAGCACAGATGAGCCAAGCAAGGCCCTGCTTGGAAGGCAGCAATCAACAGAGATGCACAGACCTGTGAGGGTGCTGGGACAGCCATGCAACACTGCAGCCCTTTTGCTTCCTGAGCTCACCAGTTCCCTCGCTCCACATCTGAGAGGTGCTTTGGAGAAACACAGCCCTTCTCAAGAGGGTTGCAAAGTAAGCTTAGTTGGTACATGAGTGCACAGCACATTTTAATTTTTATAGTTATGCATTTATATGTATTAGACAAATGACCGACAGAAAATTTACCATTTCACAGGTATTAGTGTTTAGGATGAGGCTAAAGTAGGTATTTCTGTTTAGAAAAGTAAATTTGAAGAAAAGCTACCCAGCAAATTATAGTAGTATGTGGTACACAGACAAAAAAAAAATTATGCAGTCGTCCAAATGACTGAAACTGATAAAATGCTGGTCCTGGTCTATGGATGCCCCCTCTGACAAAGCACAGAATACTCGCACCTTCTCCAGAGTCAGTGACCAAAGATGAGACAGCAGGGCACCCAGCACAGAAACCACCAGGAGCCAACGACTTCCTCCTGTGCTCCATCCTACTCTCTCACTCACACCAAGAATTAAATCCTTTTATGTAGACAGATGGTCAAGAATTGCTACTATAAAGCAACTCAGTATGGTCTGAACTATCAGAGAGCTACATGGAGAAACAGTTACTGCTAAACAGACCTCTCTGCTGATGTTTTTCCCGGCTACTTAAGTACTGAAAATTTCCACAAGGCTGAGTCAAATCTGCATTTCATCATCTATAAGAAAGGTACCTATCGAGGACACCCTGCTGGCCAGTGTGTAAATATCTAAAGGAGGACTCAGAAAACACCAGGGAAGTCCAGCCTGCATGTGGTGGCTGGGCTTCAGTGAAGCATGCAGCACAACAGGAGTTGTAAGTAGTAGTTACATAAGCAGCCCTGGAAATTCTGCTCAGAAGCAAACTGAACAAATAATATTATCTAAGGCTTACAATTATTTAACTCCCTAAATTTTTGGTCCTCCCAGTAGCACTTTTAAATGCCTAAAAGCAATTAAAAGCAACATTTTTCCAATGTCTCACAGAACCATTAGAAACACAAAATTAATAGCTTCATAAACTATAGCTTCTATTTTATCCATAATAGAATGAAGGTGCATAAACCACATAGTAATTAATCTTTGGACAAAAGCAAACAATAAATGGAATATATGGCTAAGATCCTTTCTTTTTGAGTGTGGCCCAAGATAAAAATTTCTTCCAAAAGGGTATCATTAATGCAATAAGGCTTTTGTGGAATTCTATTTTGTATGAAATTCCTGTTTTCTATTAGCTACTTCTTCCTCTGCGACACAAGCCTCATTCCTTGTGAAAAACACGAAGCAGAAAACATTTGTGAAATCATCAGGTAAAGATCCCACGACCGTTCTATCACTGACACAGTATGTAGGTACGTGGTACAACCCCCAAGGGACCACCTTGTGGCATCCTCAGCAACCACAGAGCCACAGGGCAGATGAGTGTTTGCTCCCACTGAGGCTCTGCAACCTCTGCCACCAATACTGGAGAAATCCTCCAACCTCACTGTTTTCTCCTGAACTTGTTCCCTTCTGTTTTTTGATTAATACGCAGCAAACAGGCACACCTTCAAGCTGCCAAAAGCATCTTCAACGTTGTACACTTACAATCTTCAAAATATAGTTGTTCAAAAGAGTCATCAAAGTAGTTTTTGAAATAGAACACTTACTTTGACCACATAATTGAACCTTCGGATATCTTGAATTGCACTTGAGAAGTCTAACCGATTAAAGGCTTCTCCCAAGGTGCAATAGCCATGCCTCTGGAAAAGCAACACAGAAGTTAAAATTAGTCAATTAGCCAAAAAGAATTGGCAGTTAATGTCAATTAATTGTGCGATTAAAAAAATTTTTGGCAAAGGACAATTTGTTTTTATTTTGAAGACTGATTTTAGATTTAGATGAGAGTATAGTAAAATTATAGCAATGCTAATAATTTAAGCTGTTTATGTATACCTGAGACACCGTTAACTGACATTTTTTACAACCTGCTGAAGTAATGACAAAGACAAATATTTATTAAATATCTTGCCGGTTTGTTTTGTTGGGGACAAACTGGGGTGTGGACGACGTTAAAGCTAAGATCATAAAAAAACTGGATTCATTCTAGGCTACGCAACTAAAAATACATAAATCACCTGATTAACTGCATTGTAAGGATGTAGGTGTTACAAATATCTAGTTGAAACACAGGATTTCTCTGCAGGGGAGGCATGCACTGCCCGAGTTTGAAGTATAACATGGGATTTCTCTCCAGAGCAGCCATGCACTGCCCAGGCTGGAAGTATGCTCAACCACAAGGATCAGGGCTGGGAGAGGTGCTTCGGTAGCAAGAAGGTGCTTCTGAAAACCAGCATTGGGATGGAGAGGGCTGAAGGCAAGTGCTGGATGTGACCACGGGCAGCTTTCAGGCTGGGAGCACGGATGCCAAGAACCCAAAACACCAAAAAAAACTGGTGTTTAGACCCACAGGTCCAAGAACTGAAGGAAGAAAATGAAACAATTTATTTTCAGTACTGTAAACACTGCTGCTATTCTCTTAGATGTTTTTCTTCCATGATATACCCTTATCCTATATTGGTTTGTATAGATTAGCACACTAGGTTTCAGAAGTCATTTTAAACTCCATCTTCATCCTCCATATTTGAAATATTTAAAATCTACAGATTTTCATGTCAAAGTTGTAGAGATAAGCTAGAAAAAAATAATAGAAAACATGAGATGATTGGTCTCAAATTCCAAACAGGTGACTTGAGATGTCCTAGAGAAAGCAGCTGGAGTCATAGCACCTTTGTCTCTGACAGCCGATACACTCAGAGGCTCATGTGCTTCTGTGCGCCAACCCCAATCGCCCTGACGGGTGCACAACTCAACAAAATATACTCATTTAAAACATCCAAATATGTTGACTGACTGCCTGCTATGTGGAAAACATTTTCCTGGGAACTCTGGGGAAAGGAAACACTCATTTTGATATAGATTATAATCTGAAATCCATCACAGCTGATATTCCACACGATGGTGCAGCAGGCACTTTCCAAGGTCACCACCCATCTTACAACAGGAAATTAAATCTGATTCACAGAGCAGACCACAAAGAGCATGTGCGGACCTAGAACCACAGCATGTAACCTCGGAAGCGGTGAGACACCAGCCAGCATGGACAAGCAGCAGGCACTTGCTCTGTACCAGGTGAGGGTATGGAGACATGACGTGGTGCAGGGACACCAGCACCCAGTCCTAGTTCTGGTCCCTCTCAGCCTTGTTAGGTCCTGGTTCCTAGCATTCCAGGGAGCATCCCCACAGCCTCACAAGAAGATCCTCCTTTCCTGCATATGCTAGCTTGGATGGGATCCTCTGTTCTGTAATCAGTATGGCAACAGAGCAGATGAAATATTTAATGGTCTTTCACGAGCACTAAATTTTGTTTTTCACAAACTAGGTTAGATTCTGTCAAATAATCGTCTAATGGTGTATTCGAGTGTATATTAAGGATCTGATTCATTCTATACCCACTAACCATAACCAAACAGATTAAGTTTTCTTTCTCAGAATCTAATCCTTCAGTTTCTTGGAAGCTGGACTAGTTTCAGAGCATCTACAAACATTTCTGGAATATTTAACTTACCCTGAAATAACATACGATAGACAGTAATTCCCTAAATTATTTTCCCCAATTGTTGCAAAATAAAGCAAATGCAGAGTTTCTAGGCCTATAAAAGGAACTCAACTTCCCGGATCCTAGTAAAGAAACAGGAAACAGCTTGAAGCTCTCTCGTTTGTTTTATGGCTCATGAAAAAGCTTTAGCCCAACTTGGCAAAAGAAAGGCAGGGAAAGAGTTCACACAGCTCTGCACAAACCCAACCCAATTACTAATTTCATGTTAGCCACTCTTTATGTGGAATGAGAGGGCTCACAGATGCCCTGCCCTCCAAAACACGCCACAGGGAGGACACATTCCCATCAGCATCAGGGGTTCATGCTAACACAGAGAAAATGCGTATGACTGCAGGAGTCCATGCTTGGTTTAAATAACCCTGCTGTAGACTCAGATATGTACAGGTAGGCAGGAACCACACACTGCACACATATACCACATGCCACCACACACCATACATCCCACACACCAGTATCTGCACAAATACATGCACAATCATACATACACACCATATATACCACACACATACACCATACACACAACACACACAAATGTGTGCACAAATACACAGCCACATACCACATGCACATGCAAGCACACACAATGGAAAATCACTGCCTCAAAAGCTCCTCATATGCTATTATCTGTCAGAATGTGAACCATAGATCTGATATTGCAAAAGAAATGTGTTTTATGCAACTTTATTAATACATTTATTTAATGTGACTCCATATTCAACAGAAACAATACAAGATACTCTCATATTTATAATAGAATACTTACTTCCTTTGTGCTTTCTTTATGGACATAGATCCATTTTTCACGATAAAAACCTAGAATAAAAATTACCTTTGTTTTTAAAATCTGGCAAATCATTTCAAAATGAAGATTTTAAAGGAATTTAAATAATTGGACATGTTAACAAAATTATCTGACTTACTATATTGACAAGAAATGCTTTTACGTGGGTGAATGCAAACAGAATTGCTTTGTTTCTTAAATCAGTTTAAGATATGAACAATGATTTCAGACAGTACCAAGTCCTAGTAACTTAGAAGAAAATTAGTATTATTAATGACTGAAGCCATATGAAGACATAAATGATTATAAAATGCAATTACATTACTACATTCCTATGTACCCTAATAAAAAGTTCTATTCTTCTGTTGCTGTGTATGGTACTCCATAGAAACAAATTTTTCAGATAAATCTTAAAAGTTTCAAGAATCACACTAACTGTATTCTCCATGTGACCCTATCTTCTTCATAAAGTAGTCCCCCCGTATTCACAGTTTCACCTTCTACAGTTTCAATTACCCACAGTCAGGTTTGGTTTGAAAACATTAAGTGGAAAATTCCAGAAATAAACCATTCATAAGTTTTAAATTGTGTGCCATTCTGGGTGGTGTCATGAAATCTCACACCGTCCTGCTCTGTCCTGCCTGGGATGCAAATCCTCCCTTTGTCAAGCGAGTCCTACACTACCCGCCCCTTGGTCACTCAGTAGCCGTCTTGGTTATCGGATCACCTGTTGAGATATCACAGTGCTTGTATTTAAAGAACCCTTACTGTACTTCATAATGGCCCCAAAGTGCAAGAGCAGTGATGGTGGCCATCTTGCTATAACTGTTTCATTTTATTATTCTCGTTAATCTCTTACTGCACCTAATTTATAAATTAAACTTTATTATAAGTGTGTATATACATAAAAAAAACCATAGTATCCATAAGGTTTGGTAGTATCCACAGTTTCAGGCATCCACTGGAGGTCTATCCCCTGAGGTAAGGGAGCCTACTATACATTAACATGTGTCTTGGTAACTCACAGATATGCTGCATGATAGAGCTCTATGCCCTCACATAGATAGGTCCCACCTCCAGCCTTCCCCTGCTGCCATCTAACATCCTAAACTCCAGCTCTGAATGTCTGTCTCCTGCTCTGAATCTTCAGTGACTTCAAAACTCAAGTCAGGACACCTCTCAGTTTGGCCTCACTGCTCAAGACTGAGCTGAATTCATGACCATAATTCAAGCATTCAGATTCATGGGCTGTTTTGTGGGTTTGGCTATCTCTTATTTTGTTTTTGCACATCTTACCCACTGAAACGGTTGAGCTGCAAAAAGTTTGATCACTAAATCTGTAGGCAATGCTGGATACTGGGCTGTTATTTACATATTTGTATCACCTTTTATTTCATAAGATAGCATTGTCAGAGTAATTTAGTATTTCAACGTAATCAACAAGTAAAATAAAATTAATGAGAATGATCTTACTTTGAGTATTTGTGTCATTTCTAAAATGGTCCTTTTTCCTTTTTTTCGATGCATATTCATGCTCTTCATTATTGAATATTTCTCCATCTTCACTATTTAAGATACTGAAATAAAGACACATTCTATTAAAATATTTTTTCAGGGAGATCTTCATTTGGCTTTTCTTTTGTAAAAGGATATAAATACTTCAAAGTGACAGACTGTGGGCTTGAAATCACAAGGGTAATGTCTAATACATTTTTGTTTCATTTTGAGAAATAAGATGTATCCTGGTTCTTTGAGAATATTGTACCAGAAAGTGCTGAACATGTTTTAGAATCTCTGAAGGGTCTTGATATACTTATCCAAGGTAGTTTCAAACATCAAAATGCCTTATTAAAACAGAGATTTTTTTAAAAAACAACTATTAAAACTCCAGAAAAAAGATGGTAAGAATATGATGATACCCAATACTGACCAATGACTTGCTGTATACCTTCCCCATGCTGAGTAACCACTCAACATTTCTGTTTACTCCCTATATAAGGGTTTACCTGAAGTTAATTATTACTGCACTGAACATGTTTTTATTAAGCACCAACCAAATACACTGTTAACACATTTAACTGGAACCAGGTGAAGTGACATGTATATTTTTACTATTTAAATACATTTAATTAAAAGCTTTTCTTCTTCGTGAAACAAGAAAATCAAATCATAAGGCAATAACTAAACAATGGGAACACCTTTTACTTTTTAAAAAAACACCTGTAAATAGTAATCCACATCCTCAAAACTAACGCTGTGTAAAATTTTTATTTTCCACACACTGATAACAGATTTTCAGTGTAAAGTGAGGAAGGAAGCTCTGTGGAGACAAGCTGGTTGGTGGAGGCATGTGAGAGTGGTGCTCAAATCCAAGGAACTAAAATTGCTTATTTGCCGGTCATCGTTCTTTGACAAGAAAATTGTACACAAGCCCCTTTCCACTCACCAGTATTCACTTTTATTAAAAAAAAAAAGCTGACTTTGCCAAATGAGTCACTTTCTCACTGTCAGAACAGACTTAAACAGCGGTGCCAACAGTTGTAAATCATCAAGACAAGCAAAGCACATTTGAAAAACATACAAACAACTGAACTTTTTGTGGCAGACATTATAACAGCAATTTATGGAAATGTGTTGATGTTTGTATTTTGTATTTAGTCTTACACCAGTTTGTTATCATTGATTGAAATACTGAATGTAGAAGCTTTAGAATCTATAACGGTTTTTCTAACGAAAATTACAAACATATCAAAGGAAAAGCACAAATACAATGTTCTCCAGAAATACTGTCGCAGAAATAAAGACAGAATATGGAAGGAGACAGGACTGCTGACTAATCTCATACGTACAGGGAGAAGGACACTCCATGCAGCTTAGCTCCAACATGTGAGCATGGGACAGAAAAGCAAGGTGAACCTAAAGATATCCCATGGACACACTGAGCTGGAACCAACTCTGCCCATAGGTGGTGGGGCCAGGTTCAGATGCTTGCAGTAACCGCATCCTCCTGTGAATCTGGGCCTAGATGGCTGTGGCTCCCTGGGGGCTACCCACACTGTGGATTCCACAGGTGGAGGTGACCTTCTTGGGCACTGCTGGGACACTTCCTGGGCCTGCCTGGGCAGTGGTAGGGCTCAGAGAACTTCAGCATTAGGGCCTTGGGGAGTCTATGTCAGACTTGAGGACCAAGCCTGGGCTCACAAATGACAACTAGGCTACTATTTTTACAAAGTATTTTAAACGGGGAAAAAGCCATTACTTTTTGGTTGTGGGTTTTACACTGTCAGGTAAACAAAAATGTACAAGTAGAGAAGAAAGATGAATGCTTCTGAAATTTAAATTCGACACATTAAAATGTTAATAAAGGAGTATTTAATTTATAAATCTTTCCATTCTGCATGTATCAACTACATTTCATAGCAATCAACTACACGTCACAGCAAACATGTTCTCTTTTTATAACCTTTGTTTCACCAGCAAGACAAACATCACCTACTCTGACTTAAAAACAAGGGAACCTGCCCAACAACTTGATTAAAAAATGTCAAACAACTTCAACAGACACTTCTCCAAAGAAGAGACACAGCAGCCAAGAAGCCCATGAAAAGATGCTCCATATCACCAATTGTTAGGTAAATGCAAATTAACACTACGATGAGATACTACCTCACGCTCATTATGAGGCTACTGGCAAATTAAAAAAAAAGAAACTAACAAGTGTTGACATGCATGTGGGGAAACTGGATCCCTCGTGCAATGTTGGTGGGAATGGAGGATGGTATAGCTACTATAGGAAACAGTATGGAGGTTCTTCAAAAAATTAAACATAGAATTACCATATGATCCAACAATTCCACTTCTGGGTATATATTCAAAAGAACTGAAAGCAGAGAATGAAAGAGATACTTGTATGCCCACGTTCATAGCAGTATTACTTGCAACAGATAAACATGGAAGCAACCCACATGTCCATCAGTGGATGAATAGATAAGCAAAATGTGGTGTACACTATACACAATATGGAATATTATTCAGTCTGAAAAAGGAAATGCTGACACATGCTACAACAGGGCTGAAACTTGAGGACGTTACGCTGAGATAAGACAGTCACAAAAGGACACATACTGTCTGATTTGACTTATATGAGGTACTCAGAAAAGTCAAATCATACAAACAGAAAATAGAAAGCCAGTTACCAGGTCTGGGGGTGCTGGAGAATGAAAAGTTAGCGTTTAATGGGGACAGAGTTTCAGTTTGGGAAGATGTAAAAGTTCTAGAGATGGATGGTGGTAATGGTTGCACAATAGTGTGAATGTACTTAACACCACTGAACTGTACATTTAAAAATGGTTAGGATGGCAATTTTATGTTATGTGTATTTTGTTTTAATTAAAGATAAAGAGACAGTGTGCAAGAGAGGAGAGGAAGTAGCAGCTTGTCTTGTTCATGCTGTCTGAGGTGCATGTCCGAGGGATGGGGTGGGGGCGGGAAGTGTTAAAAACAAAGAATAGAACGTTATACAACACAAGCGGAAAATACAGGGCACAAACACACTTGTATGAAACACAGAGTTTCCATAAACTTAAAACATGTCTGAATGATGGAGCTAACAGCCCTTAACTCTCCACACCCAGGCTGCACCACAGCATACGTCACCCCCTTGCTAGCAAATGTGCCCAAAAGGCAATGACATTCCAAGTTTCCTCTGACAATCCCAAGGACAGGGAATCACTTTTCCAAGTTCCTTTCCATTCAAGAAAAGGAAGAGAAGAGAATAGAGAAGAATCAACAAAACAACTCCAAGTAGAAGTAAACAAGAGCCAAGAACGGAACTATTTCTCATAATTAAACCCCAATTTCTATAAATTACAATCCTCATTTTAGTGATGACCTATAATAAGATTTGCATTTTCCTCTGATGGTATTTCCCTTAAGAGATGGATAACAAGGACTTAATCTTCATCTCCCAGACCACTCTAGGGTTTTAAGCACAGGCTTTACAGAAATGTGCTGTTATGGGCCATCATCTTCAAATCATTTCCACACAAGTCTAGGAAAATAAGACAGGCTACGGTAAGCCTCCGGTTTTTAAAATTGCTAATCAAGGGCATCAGTTCTTAACTATATTGCTGTAAAATATGTCACAAAACTTTTGTTACCAGTAAGAAAAATGACCAATATTTGTGAATGATTTGTTTTAATAATTATTAAAGTACTATACTACACATAATAAAAAATAATACATACTCATAAACTCAACTTCCCTGAGTGGCCAGTAGGAAGCAACCCTGCCAAGCCCTTGATTTTGGATTTCTGGCCTCCAGAATTGTGAGGACATACATTTCTGTGGTTTTAAGCCACTGAGTTTGTGGTTATGGAATCCCAGAAAATGAATAAAAGTATCTATCTTTTCAAGTTACTTCAGTTTGATATTGATTATGAAAGGTACATATATGCTACCAAACAGAAGAGACTTTAGGGAGAAAAAATCTCGCATAAATGCAACAAGTTGCCATGACTCTAAGTGCCAAGGTCATATAACATGCAGACTGTGATAATTTCACCAACACCAAAACAAAGTGGAACAAATCCTCAAACACAGTTGCTGATAATTCCCACCCTGGCCTCCTCTGACATTTCCTTTCGATCAATTTGGCTGCACCTCTTCTGTCAAGCAGGAGCTGGAGGACATTTTGGTCAGCTCCTCCCCGGAAGGGAGCTACAATCTCTGCTCTAACAATCCCCAGTTGTTGTCTTAAGTCACACTGTGTTCATCAATGGCTACCTACTAAACTTAGCTTTTTATCTGTACATTTTCCAATCAGGTCGTATTATTTTCTCCTGGTAGGCAAATGTTTACGTTTATCCATTTTCCTGATATAAAGCTACTTCGTATCAGTGTATTATTAGTCTCTAATTATAAAAAGAAAATTCAGAAGAGAAAGTCCAGTCAATTTTATATAAGTTAAAAAAAAGATGTGAAACCTATTTTTAGCATTAACATTTCCTTCCTAAATATCTAACACGACACACTTACGGACTCTTAACACACCCTTCTTACATGAAGGGAGCAGCAGAGCAGAGGGCGACAAGAGCACCAAGGCCAGGTGGAGCCACAGCCAATGTGGGCCCATCTCACTCCGCAGGGAGAAGCAACTGCACTGTGCACAGAGTGCAATCTGGCAGAAGGGAAACGCCGTCTTAAAGAGCTTCAGATGCAGCAACCTCGAGGAAGGGCTGTGCCAGAAAGTCCACCAGATGAGGCCGCAAACCTATCAAAGGGCATCAGACACTCTGTGCACAGGGTACACAAAACAATGCCTCCCACATTCTGTGACTTCCTGCGTGTGCCACTTGGACCACCACACTCCCTACCTGCACCATCTTACCTGGACAGACTAAATCTCAGCCACCTCATGACTAGGATATTAACATGGCTTTCAGTTCTATAAATTCCTCCCCCTTAAGAATGCATGTCTGTAAAATCAGAAATGATGAAAACTGGACTCGTGAGTGGCTTTGTAGTAGGGATTACAGGTCCAGAATAGAATAGGTTCAGTAACATATTTAAGATATTCAAGGGAAAAAATATAAGCCACAGATTTAACATCTAAATAGTGACTATCAAGGGTAAAAGTCACACATATTTTTTATGAGTATACACAAACACAGGAAGTACAGTGACCAGGAGCTGAGGGATGACCCACTAAAGAATAAGCTCCGGAAACCAAAATGACTAGAGGCAGATGCAAAGGTGAGCTGCAGGGTGGTCTTTATTTATCTGTGGAGCTGCTGGCACATGACAGTGATAAAAGTGCAGCATGCCATGGTTAACAGCGTGCACAATGCAGACAAAGAACAACCACCAGTGTTCTGGTAGAGGCGGGCAGAAGATGTGCAGGGGCCAACTGGGA
This sequence comes from Homo sapiens, assembly GCF_000001405.40. NCBI lineage: Eukaryota > Metazoa > Chordata > Mammalia > Primates > Hominidae > Homo > Homo sapiens. Next base: position 426,003 of record NC_000008.11, on the reverse strand, counting down.
CTGGGGTGTCCATCAGCTAACTGCAGTATCAGGTACTGTGGGGAGCCAACCAAAGAAACTAAGTGTTTGCTATAAAGGCATTAGGATAAAAGTGGAAAAAAAAAAAAAAAAGGAGGAAGAAAGCCCTCCTAAATACCAAAAGGATAAAAGCAAATAAAATAGAACAAGGTGGTTCCCTGTTATCTGTGATGTAAAAAATGGACTTGGCTCACCTATTAAATGGAAAACAGTCTTGGATTGGCTCACAAAGCAAAATCAAACACCATACTGCATATAAGATATACAGCTATAAAAGGCTGGGAAAATATATAGAGAATTTATAGGACTCAGAAAAAAAGTAACTGTCACAGGCAACTTTATAGCATTAAATACCTATATCAATACAAATTTAAATAATAAAAATAAATTATTTAAACATATAACTGAAAAAGCCAGAAAAAGAATAAGTGAACCAAAAGAAAGAGGGGAATTATTACAAATAAAAGCAGATATTATTAAGTAGAAAAAGAATAGAACTAAGAAGTAAATCCAAAAGCTGGCTCTCAAGATAAAATAATCAACCAAAACAAACCACTAGGTATCTGATTAGAAAAAAAAAAATAAGAAAGTTACAAGTGCTAACAGAAGAAAATTTAAACATTGTAAAAGATAAGGAAAAGAAAGGGATAGAGAGAAAAATGTGTAGATTAAAAGAGACTTTAAAAACATATCAAATTTTAAGAATAAAACAACACTAAACTATAGTGTCTAGGAATATACACTTGGTGATAAAACTATAAAGATTAGGGAAATGGTTACCATAAGAGTTTGGGAAGTGGTTATTTTTGGGGAGATGAAGTAGGTTATAATAGAAATGGGACATGTGGGGGGCGGGGGGCGCTTCTGGGATGATTGATAAAGTTCTATTCCTTGACCCGGGTGTGGTCACAAGGATGTTTCCTTTATAAAAATGAAGAAAAACATTAAAAAATCATTACAGGCAACTTTATAAAACTCTTTGCAGTAAGTTAGTAGATGAAACATTTTTAAAAAATATTAAATTTAATGCTATTCCAATACAAAATCAAGTTTTTTTCTTAGAGCTAAACAAGTTAATTATAAAATGCATTTAAGAACAACAAGAAACTATCCTAAAATTCATATGGAATGAAAAAAGAGCCCAAATAGCCAAAGCACTCCTAAGCAAAAAGAACAAAGCCAGAGGCATCACACTACTCAACTTCAAACTATACTATAAAGCCCCAGTAACCAAAACAGCTTCTGTACTGGTACAAAAACAGACTCACAGACCAATGAACAGAACAGAAAACTCAGAAATAAAGCCACACACCTACAACCATTCAATCTTTGACAAGGCCAGCAAAAACAGCAGTGGAAAAAGACCATCCTATTCAATATATGGTGTTGGAATAACTGGCTAGCCACATACAGAAGACTGAAGCCAGACCCCTACCTTTCAGCATATACAAAAATTAACTCAAAATATATTAAAGATTTCAAAGTAAGACCTCAAACTGTAAGATCCTGGAAGATAACCTAGGAAATACTCTTCTTGACGTTGGCCTTGGCAAAGAATTTTTGGCTAAGTTCCCAAAAACAAATGCAACAAAAACAAAAATTGGCAAGTAGAATTTAATTAAATGAAAGAGCTTCTGCACAGCAAGAGAAACTATTGACAGAGAATATAGACAACCTACGGAATGAGAGAAACTATTTGCAAACTATGCGTCTGACAAAGGCCTAATATCCAGAATCTACAGGGAACTTATGCAAAAAAACAAACAACCCCATTAAAAAATGGGCAAAGGAGTGAGCGGAAATTGCGCCACTGCACTCCAGCCTGGGTGTCAGAGTGAGACTCTGTCTCAAAAAAAAAAAAAAAAAATGGGCAAAGGACATGAACAGGCACTTCTCAAACAAGATATACAAGTGGCCAACAAACATGAAAACGGCTCAGTACCACATAGCATTAGAGAAATGCATCAAAACCACAATGAGATACCATCTGACACTAGTCAGAATGGCCATTACTAAAAAGTCAAAGACAACAGATGCTGGCAAGGCTGAGGAGAAAACAGAATGCTTATACACTGTTGACGGGAATGTAAATCAGTCCAGCCATTGTGGGAAGTGGTCTAGAGATTTCTCAAAGAACTTAAAATAGAACTACCATTCTATCCAGCAACCCCATTACTGGGTATATATCCAAAAGAAAATAAATCATTCTACCAAAAAGACACAGGCACTCCTATGTTCATCGCTGCACTATTAACAATAGTAAAGACACAGAATCAACCCAGGTGCCCATCAATGGTAGACTGGATAAAGAAAATGTGGTACCTATACATCATGAAATACTACACAGCCATAAAAAAGGAATAAAATCACACCCTTTGCAGCAACATGGATGGAGCTTGACTTAATTCTAAGCAAATTAATGCAGGAACAGAAAACCAAATACCACATGTTCTCACTTATAAATGGGAGCTAAACACTGAGCACACATGGACACAAACATGGGAACAACAGACACTGGGGACTACTAGAAGGTAGAGGGAGTGGGGGTGGGTTAAAAAAAACTACCTATTGGGTACTATGCTAACGAGGTGACAGGATCTGTACTCCAAACCCCAGCCTCATGCAATATTTTCATGTAACAAATCTGTACATGGACCCCCTGTATCTAAAATAAAAGGAGAAGAAGAACCAGTAAGCACAAATAACCAGACAACTCTGAGTAAGAACCACAATGGTGAAGACTCTAGCCCCAGCTGACATGAAAACACAGTATTAAGCCTCTCTATTTACATCAGTGTGATGAGGGAAGTCCAGGAAGACAGAGAGAAAACCCTGTAGTCCCAATTGCCCATGGAAATTTAGTATGGGAAAAAGAGGTATCTCAACACAGCAGGGAAGGGGCTTTTCAGTTAGTAGTGCTGCTGCAGTAACTGGACAGCTACTGCACAAAGACACAAACAGATTTGTTCCTCACGTCATGCTCCAAGATAAATTCCAAATGGAGCATAAGTTCTCTTCTCTCTCCTGAGGCATAATTCATATACAGCAGAATAGACTTTTAAGTACAGTTCAGGGAGTCCTGACCTGTGTACCTCCCGTAACACATACCCAATAAAGACACCATAGAAAGCTCCATATAGCTATTAAGTCAATCACCAGGGAGGCTCTCCACTCTGCCTCTCCTTGGGAACTAAGAGGTAAGCCACCATTGCGAGCCCTGTGCTGACGCAGGCCCCAGACACGACTGACAGCACAGTCAGACTACGTGATGCCTCTGGCTTGCCTATTAATTTTCTTAATGATGACTTAAAAAGACTTTTAAAGGTGATTTTAGACTTGCACAAGAGTTTCAGAGGCAGAACACACAGTGTCCCCAAGTTTCCACCCACCTTCATGCAGCCATAGAACAAGGATCAACACCAGAAGAGGAACTCTGGCATGGTACTCCCAGCTCAACCACAGGCTTTGTTGTTTTGCCAGGCCACCCACCAGAGCCCGTCTGCTGCTGGGCCCAGTCCAGGATCCACACTGTACTTAGCTGACACACTACCATGGCCCCCCATGCCAGAAGAGTTTGTAGTCTCCTCTCATCACCTTGAAGAGTACCGGTCAATTATTTTGTAGAATGTCCGTCAAATTAGGTTTGTCTGCTGTTTTCTCCTGATTCAGCTTAGGGAAAACCACCACAGATGATGTGCCATTCACACAGCACCACACCACAGGTACCTGCTGCCAATATGATGCCACCTTTGAGTTCTTGGTTGGGGCAGTGTCTGCCAGGTTTCTCCACTGTAAAGTACTGTTCCCTTTGTAATGAATAGCTATTTGGGGGGAGACTTGGCAGATATTCTATTTCTCCTAATTCTTTTACCTGTTAGATTTCACCTTGCTGCATCTGTCAAGGGACTGTGCTTATAACAATTATCATGGTGATTTTCTATTTCCCTTATTCCTTCTATATTTATTAACTGGAATTCTACAAGGAAGAACTGTTCCTTATCCCTCACTTATACATTCATTTATGTATTCATATCAGCCTAAATGGATGGCTATTTCTTTTCTTTTTTAGGTTATAATCCATTACTACTGTTGTCTATCCTGTGGCTCAAACTGCTCCAGCTTTGGCCAATGCAGCACTTTTTGACGGACATCTACCCTTCTGATATCTGACAGGCTCCCATCACTCACCTTTCATTTGCTCTATCCCAGCCCTGGAACCAACCCCTTCCCTGAGGAGCCCTTAGGATCCACCATCTCAGGCTGGCTCTAGTCACTGATGCAGGTGTCACTGCTCTAAGGCCCTCTGTCAACAGACTTAGAAAACAGATGTGTTATACTAACTCACACATGCATAGACCCACATTTCTCTCTCTCTGAAAAAACCAACAGCCCTAGTTCATGCTGACACCTCCAACCCTGATCCAGAACCACAGGATAACTCTAGCACCATCCTTTCTTATTTGTAACTTCTTCCTAGAATATGTACAGTTTTGAGATTGCTAACCCATGCCCCTATGAGAAACAAGTGCACTAACCACAGGTTTTGTCTTTAGCCTTACAGCATCCTGTCAAAACACTGTTTTCCAAAGTTACTGATAAGTCAGCTAATTCCACATCCATTTCACAACGGTTATGGCAGCATTCCCTAACCGTTTTGGCACCAAGGACCAATTTCTTAGAAGACACTTTTTCCACAGACTGGGGCGAGGAGGGGGGATGGTTTCAGGATGAAACTGTGCCACCTCAGATCATCAGGCATTAGTTAGTTAGTCTCAAAAGGAGTGAGCAACCTAGATCATTCACATACACAGTTCACAACAGGGTTCACGCTCCTATGAGAATCTAATGCTGCTGCTGACCTGACAGGAGGCAGAGCTCAGGCAGTAATGCCTGCCTGCCCTCTGCTCACCTCCTGCTCTGTGGCCCAGGTCCTAACAGGCTACGGACTGGTACCGATCCATGGCCTAGGGGTTGGGGACCCCTGGATTATGGGATAAGTTTGTAATACCATTTGATTCATCTGTCACAGTTTGTATCATTTGGGCACTCCCCCCAATAACACATACACAAACATCTATGTTGATTTTAGTGAAATTCTGTGGTGCACAGTTCCATGGGTTTTGACAGGTGCACAGTCAAATCTAACACAGTCCCATCACTCCCCAAACTGCCTCTGACTCTCTTTGTCATCAACTCCTTTTCCCCAACTCTTAACCCCTGGCAACCACTGATTTGTTCGTCTTCCTTATGGTTGTGCTTTTTCTAGCGCATCCTTTAGATAGAATCATACAGTATGGACGCCTTTTAGGTTTGGTTTCTTTCACTAAGCAAAACGAATTTAAGATTCATCCATGTTGTGCGAATTAATAGTTTGTTCCTTTTGACTTTTGAGTGGTATTCTCCTGTAGAGATGTTACCACAATTTGTTTATTCATTCACCAGTTGAAGGATATCTGATTTTGAGTGTTGGCAATTACTGAATAAAACTCTATTAACAGTCACATGCAGGTTTTGTGTGAGCATGAATGTTCACTTACCTTGGGTAAACACCTAGGAGTGAGACTGCCAGCTCCTAAGGCAGTGTAACACAGTAAGAAGCTGCCACACTGTTTTCCAGAGTGGCTGTGCCATTCTGCATTCCCAGTAGCAGGGTTGGAGAGCATATTCCTGCCAGCACTTGGCACTGTCCTTGCCAGCACTGGGATGCTTCGTGATTGTTCTTTCATCTTAGCTACTGACGTAGGCCTCTGCTGGTACCTTATGAGGAAGGTGCACAGCCTTCCAAATCACCTAGGCCCACTGTGGCAGTCTCATTCCCCAGAACATACTGTTATATCTCTAGCTGGTCAGCTGCTTGCCCCAAATGGTACCGTGGCCTCAGGCTAGCTGCAGTGTTTACCTTCCGGATTGCTTGCATTTGTTTCCCTAACAATAAATTAAGTTGGGCATCACATGCTTATTTTTCTCTGCTTATTTGCATGGGCTTCTCTGCAATCCATGCAAGTTGTTTGGTGAAGTACAGGTTCACCGAAACTATTGCCCAATTTTTTACTGGGTTGTTTTCTTATTGTTGAGTTTTAAGTGTTCTTTATTATTCTGGATACTAACCCTTTGTCAGATATGTGACTTACAAATGTGTTCTCTGAGAGTAGAATTTTAAAATTTTGATAAAATGCAAATTATAGATTTTTTTTCTTTTATGGAAAGATGTGCTTTTGGTATCGTATCTAAAAACTCTGCCCAAGATCATGCAGACTTTCCTTTGGGTTTCTTCCATAAGTTCTACAGTTTTACATTCTACATTTAGGTATATGATCCATTTTGAGTTCATTTTTGTATAAAATGTGAGCTGTACAGGTTTTTATTTATTTTTGCATATACACATCTAGTTTTCTAGCCCATTTGCTGACAAGATTACACTTTCTCCATGGAATATATTAAGAGGTGCCTTTACACCACTGTCAAAAACAAACCGACCATATCTGTATGGACTTATCTGGGGTCCTCTGTTGTGTTCCACTGACCTGTGTATCTATCTTTTCGCCAGTACCACATACCACTCTCTTGATTGTGGTGATTTTACATTTTATAGTAAACCTTGTTCTTTTTTCTTTTTGAGATGGAGTTTTGCTCTTGTTGCCCAGGCTGGAGTGCAATGACAGGATCTCTGCTCACCACAACCTTCACCTCCCAGGTTCAAGTGATTCTCATGACTCAGCTTCCTGAGTAGCTGGGATTACAGGCACCTGTCACCACGCTCGGCTAATTTTTTTTTTTTTTGTATTTTTAGTAGAGACGGGGTTTCACCATGTTGGCCGGGCTGGTCTTGAACTCCTGACCTCAGGTGATCCGCCCGCCTTGGCCTCCCAAAGTGTTGGGATTACAGGCCTGCGCCACCACGCCCAGCCGTTGCTCTGACTTTCTAATGATGACTTTAGGTATAAGTTTTTAATATGAAGTTCATCTTTTTTTTCTTTCACAGCTTGTGGTTTTTGTGTGGTAAGCAATCTGCCTACTTTACATTGTGAAAATACTGTTTTCTTCTTAAAACTTTACAGTTTTAGCCTTTTACAGTTCATTCTAAAATCCATCTAACATTAATGCTATGTCCACAGTAAGAGTGAGTAGTAGAGGTTCACTTTTCCTTGCACGTTTATCCAGTTGAAAAAATCTTTCCCTTCCCAATTGAACTACCTTGGTTAAAAAAACTTTGATTTCTCCTGTTGTTGCACTGTGCATCCTAGTGTTTTGTAAATTAACTATTCTTATCTTCTTAGTTTTTTAGAAGTGTAAACAGGGGAAATATAATTTCTTTTGAAAGAGCTCTCTTACTTAATAAAGAAACAAGCCGGGAACGGTGGCTCACGCATGTAATCCCAGCACTTTGGGAGGCTGAGGCGGGTGCATCACCTGAGGTCAAGAGATCAAGACCATTCTGGTCAATATGGTGAAACCCTGTTTCTACTAAAAATACAAAAATTAGCCAGGTGTGGTGGTGGGCGCCTGTAGTCCCAGCTACTCAGGAGGCTGAGGCAGGAGAATTGCTTGAACCCAGGAGGCACAGGTTGCAGTGAGCCGAGATCATGCCACTGCACTCCAGCCTGGGTGACAGAGCAAGACTCCATCTCAAAAAAAAAAAAAAAAAAAAAAAAGAACAAACAAACGAACAAAAGAAAGGAAAGGAAAGGGAAAGGAAAAGAAATAAAATGTCTAATGTTTTTTGCCCACCAAACTAGTTAAAGTAATTACAAAGACAAGGCTGCTGTAAACACCTTGTGCACTGTCCCCAAAACGCAGATGGCATGGGAGCAGACAGCACCTTTACATGAAGACACACATGCAGCCTACACAAGGCACACAGATGCATTTCAGCCATTATTCCCTCATGATGAAACCCTCCCCTTGTGCAGTGTGTAACCTGCACTGACACACACACAACTTGGGTGAAGTGTGAATTAATGGGAATCTGTGTACACTACTATGCAGAGTATAAACTGGTACAAAATTACAGAAGGTAATGTGGCAATACTAGAATTTTAAATATACGATTCTATTAGGACCTTAGATTTCATAAATATTCACACAAGTATGCAAAGAGATATTCACAGATGACCCATGCTATACCACTAGAAATAATGAAAAGTGGGAAATAGCCAAAATGATGTCAGTGGAAGCCTGGACAAATAAGTTATGGTATACCTAAACAATGAAATGCCATCCTTATAATGAATGAGGAACTCAATGCACACTGACATGGAACAACTTCCAGGAAATACAAGTGGAGGAAAAGGATGAACATGCAATGCATTAGGAGAACATGGTGACACCACCTCACTGGAAAGGGAAAGAGGCGCATGACCTGTGACACTGTGCTTCTGTTCCTAGGCACAGACCCAAGGACCCTGTGCAAGACAAGGCGGATTTAGATGTTATATCAGTTAATGCAACTCTACCTTCTAGCTGCTCAGGCCAAAGTCTTAGTCTCACCCCTCGACCCTCTTACTGCACCATACACATTCCATGTGTCAGTTCCACCTGCAGAATACATCCAGGATTTGAGCCCTTCCTCATCCACCGCCTCCTTTCTCTCTAAGCCATGATCATTTCCCATGGGGGTTAACCCAACCCTCTTAAGAACTGGTCCACTTGCTTCTGTCCTGCGTCTTGGAAGTCTGTTTTTAACACGGTAGCCAGAATAATCCTGTTAAAGCATAGGCCTGAACAAATCACTCTTCTACTCAAACCCCTGACTCCCCACATCACTCAGAAAAGCCCAAGTCCTTACTATGACAACAGGTACTTCACAGCTGGGACCCAGTCAGGCTGGGATCTTGTCTCCTACTGGCCCCGCTTCCGGGCTCCCCTTACCCATGCTGGAACCCTGCTGTCCCTGAATATGCCAGATGATGTACTCCTGCCTTGAGGCCTTTGCACTTTTCTTTCCCTGCCGGGGAGGCCCTGCCCTCAGATATCCATTCATCCTGCTCTCATTGCCTAAGGTTTCCTTCCACAGATTGCTTCTTAGAGGCCACTCTCTATAGATCTTCCTCTACCACCACCCATCCTTAGCATTTCTTATCTCCCACATACTATCACACTTACTACACTGCGGAACTCATCTTGTCCACTGCCTATCTGTTTCACCAGAATGCAAGCTCCATCAGAAATGGGTTTTCATGTTTCATTTATTGCTGTATCCTGACACCACAGCACATAGTAAATCCTTAATATATTGTGGACTAAACAGGTGTAACAGTATGTGTAATAATAAGACCAGAGACATCTCTAAGTCTGGCTCCTGGGTAGATTTTATCTACCCAACAAAGGAGTAGAGGTAGGACTCCGGCCCATTCCATTTCCAAGGAAACCCTTTCTGGAGGGGTGGGGAAAGCTGTGTCCTTCCCATCAAGAGCAAAGAAAAGCCACTACCACTCATGTAACAAAAATCCCTATGACTCTACCCCTGGGGGTAATCAACAGGCAAAGGGCAACACACTTAACTGTTCCCTGTGAGATAATTAACAAAAATAAGCCTCTGTTCGGAATATCTCAGGTGTTCTGGACAAAAAATAAAGATTCAGGATAAAGTCAATGAAGATGAAAATTTTAAATCAACCTAAGGTTCTGAGAAAAAGTCTGATGGCTCTGGATTTCCTGGTGACACAAGAGATCCGGTTGTTTTGAAAAGATGGGGAAGGAGTATGTAGGGAGCCGAACATCAGAGTAGAGTGAAGGAGTTTGAAATATTGATAACACAAAGAGGAGTAGAGCAGGCCAACCAAGCAAACACAGTGGGGCTGTGGGCCGCATGGGGGCCCTACCGGCACATAGCAGATGACCAAGAAACATCAGTTTACAGAATGAGTGGAAGAATAAATGAGTGAGCAAGTGAAAAAAGCAAATAAATGAGTGGGTGAACAAGGAGGAGCAAGCAATGGGAGTCTCTGCCAAGACTGAGCTGAATGCGTTATGTTTGACTACACACTCCCTTGTCAAATGTCAACTTCATAAAAGACAAGGAACAACTTCTTATATATCCTCAACAGCGCCTATAGTTATACTGAAATAACTATAGGCAATTACAGTGCCCATAATAACACTGAAATCTGATGGAAAAGGTTAGAAATTCTTAAAGATATATAGTATTTAGACACTCTTCTTCAGTATCTTTCCTTTATAGGAATCATACAATTTCTGTCATCAAACATAAAACTGAGTGGCAGAAACACTACGCTGGAGAGAAGACCCAGCCAGATTATTTACTTACACCATTTCCCCAGCTGAACCCTCAGAGTCCTTCTCAGGGCCACCCTTTTGGCTAGTCCAATCAATATGTGACTCACTCTTTTACTGATCCTGACCCTCTGTCCAGCTGTGCAGACATCACCATAGGCAGCACTCAACATTTCTCACCTGTCTACTGAAACCCTTAACTGGCTGTCCTCTCTTCAATCTGGACCCCAGCCGACCTACCCTCTATTCTGAATCAACAGCCTAATAAAAGGCTTACTTAGGTCAGGGTTAAGATGAATCCTCTGTCTATCAAACTATGTTTAAACCTCAGTAATATCATGAATGTTGCTTGAAAGAGCAGCTTTCAGAGTATGAACTGGCTGGCTGCCCCCAGATCAACCATGTTGAATTGCTTAATTTCTTCCCTATGTTCTCTAAACTTTGAATACTAAAATGAGTTGAAAAGTAAGCAGAAGGATACTAAAGGCCTATTTTCACGCACGTTCACAAAAAAGAAAATTAACAAAGTTACGTAGAATCTTGATTACCTAAATTATTTTTACTATAGTTCTTTTTCTAAGTTTTGAAAGCCCACCTTAAATCAAAGAATTAGGAGTACTATGTTTCTCAAAGACATGTGGGGGAAAGAGAAGGCCATTTATATAGTGATTTTAAATGGTGATTACATATGGTCTTATCTTTTTAAAATCAATTTTAGGTTCAAAGTTAAATGGTTTTTCCTTCCAGAGAAAGGATACATTAAACATCTGCTGCAGTTTCAGGTCACCAACAGCCTCTACCCACAGGTTTGGATTTCCATTTTGGTAGGAACGGACAAAAGTCAGAGGAAGATGAACGAAATGGCAGAGTAGGAAGCAGGGCGGGGGATCCCAGTACTGCAAAGCAACTAGGTGGGGTAAAAGGTGGTGCTGACTAGTTCTCGCTCACTGTGCCCTACAGAGGGTACCCAGCGTTGCTGTCATAAAACCTTTTTGCGCAGGGATGCTTGTGTTAGCAGCCATTGGTTCAAAGGGGCGGATCTGTAGGTAAGTTTGGGCGAAGGGGAAAGGGAGACAGAGGGGTAGCCAGTTATGCAAAGAAAACATATCTCGACTGTATTCTCTAATTTTATGTGTGCAGCGGAAAAAAAAACAATTCTCAGACATTTAAAATGTGTTTGAGATGATGGGAAAAAGAATACATGAGGGAAAAAAACAAATTCCCACAAATTCCTCACCGCAGATGCAGCAGTAACACTGCACTTCAAGCATTACAGCTTTTTTTAAATTGACATTCTGTAATATATCTCCCCATCCTAAAATCCACATTTAATAGTGGCTACTGGGAGTAAATGTGAGACACCTGACATTTCTAGATATAGTCAACCATCTTTAAATTTTAAAAAAACTGCCATAAAAATTATAAGATAGTAAAAATGACCTAGAAAATTCATAACTGTATAACATTATGCAATACCAACAGCATAATTACAAGCTTTAAATAAGTTTTACAGCTATCAACATTAAATACATCTTAGCGTGGCAGAGAACTGCTACAATATAAGTTTAAAAATATTATGTGTTATCCTCACTGTAACTAAAATGGAAAATTAATTTCTGCTTCAAATACTGCAAAAACCAGTCTCTGGCCTAAAGTTACTGAACTTCTGTCAGAAAAACATATGGCCCATCAAGCACACAGTTGATAATTACACAAATGTAAAATAATATACAATAAATGACTAGACCCATGACATTCTAGAGGAGGCTATCTCAAGACCTTCCTAGCCCTCCAAATTCTCAAACACCACTGTGGTAGACACTGTAGTCATCATACAATAGCCACCTACCCTGGTACTGTGCTCATGCAGTCTCTGGTTTTTATCTGGACACATGGCTGGGCCACAACCCCCAGCATCCCTTGCGCTAGTGCTCTAGCCAACAAGGTGTGGGCAACGTGATGCATGTAACTTTTGGGCTGTGCCACTGAAACACAGGTCGTGTCTCACCAACCCCACCTACCCTTCGGCCTGAGCGCAAATGTAGCAGGTAATACACCGTTTTGGACCATGCAGGTAAGGCTGCACTCTTGGGATGGCAGAGCGACAAGACAGACTGTGCTTGGCCCCTTGACAATGTTACGAGCAAAGTCATCATGCCAACTCAGGCTTTCAAGGGAGAAAAACTGATTTGTCTTGTGTAAGCCACTATTACTACATTTCTGATATATGCCACCAAAACTGTGCATTTCAATTTCCTCAGGTTCCTCAGCTATAATGTGGGATTAAAAATAATACCTCTCTCCCAATTATTGTGAGGATTAAATGTTTTAAATTAAAAAAAAAAAGACGAAAGCATCTGTGTATGAATATTAGGCAATCTACTAGCCTCATTTTTTAGCTAAACAACTTGTCTCTTCACACCAGCCTTCTGGGTGGGCAAGTCTCAAAAGTTATGGAGCTTTGCAGGGACTTGAAAAATAGGTAAGGCCATACATGCTAAACTGGCAAATGGCATGGTTCTGCTCAGCTGTAACTTACATGCTGTGACTGATGTTACAACGGTTATTCTCTCTTTCAAGTTTCTGACTACAAGATTCACATCTCTTCCAGCCATCTTCTGTCTTAATCCAACTCCATCCAGGAGATCTCCAGTCCTGACCCAAAAATGGCATAGTTCTCCTATGAAAAAGTTAAATTATGTTAAAAAGTATATATAATTCATAAAAGTTTCTTTTCACTTAGAACATTTATTAATTTTAAAGATTAAAGTTCTTAACATTTAAATGTCTGCTCATTAATTAAACGTTGGCTCGACATTGGTGACAGTGACAATAACACAGTACTGTGTACTAAAGTGATCAAATGGGGTAAGTAAACGTGGTTTTACTGGCCTAATACTGCGTATCCCATGAAAGGTTTACCAGAGGTGACATTCTAGCTCATACCTGAAAAACAAGCAGGGGTCAGGGAGTGTGGAATAGGGAATATTATTCCAAACAAGTATTCTCTCTTTGCCAGAAGTTAGAAGCAACCGAAAATGAAATGTATTCATGTTCAGCAACTCTAAGTAGTTCAGTTTGGTTGAAGCTTAGAATAGATGAGAGAGAGTGGGCCAGAATTAAGGATGGAGAAGTCATTTAAGGCTGGATCAAGTTAGAGGAGTTGGATGCTATTCTGAGGGCAATGAGGGGCCAAAAAAGGGAAGTAAGCAGGTAAGTGATTCAATCAGATTTGTGGTTTACAAAGAACTCAGTATCACAGTGGGAGAAGGTATGGGGTGAGGGTCACCTGGAGGAAAGTAGTTGGGACTGGAGGCTTCTGAATGTTGACCTTTAAAAGGTGAGAGTATACAGTGGCAAAATAAACAGAAGAGCAGAGACTGCAGAAATATTTAGGAAACAGAGTCAAACAGTACTTGAAGACTGTCTGGAAACGTGAGGAGGAAATCAAGGAAGTTATCTAGATTTTGTTTTGTAGCCCCTGGATCTGGGATAAGACATACAGAAGGAACAGCAGGGTTTTATTAGGAAAGGAGAGATAAGGGATATTAATTTCAGCTTAGGACATGCCTGTTCAGTTTGAAATACCAGACTCCAGGTATAAAAATTATGACTTAAAAAATGATGCAACTTCGTGATTAACTTCATGACGCTCACAATTTGATAAGAGTGAGACTTCAAATGCTAGTTCTTCCCACTGACTTGATTTCTGCTCCTCTTGATCAGTGGTTTTCAACTACTGCTGTGCATTAACATCACAGGAAGCTTTTTAAACATTCAAGTGCTTAGTCCCATCTTAGTTCAGTTAAATATGAATATTTGGGGGTGAAGGCTAAGTTTAAGTAGTTTTTAAAGGTCCACAGGTGATTCTCATACACAGTGAGACTGTGCATGAGGCTAAAAACCACCTCAGATGCTCACACTGCTGATTCAAAATGTCACATCCCAGAAAGGCTCCCTGACTCCCCGTCCAAACAGCGCCCTTCTGCTGCCTCAACCCCCTCCCTACCAGTCTAAGCCATTATCTAGTGCCTTCATAGTTGTAAGGGCTGTCTGAAATGATTAGCGTGTTTATCATCTGTTTTCCTCCAAGAAAATGCAATGTCTTGTTCAGGTCCGTATTCCATTACCTTGAACAATGCCAGGAAAACAACAGGAGCTCTATAAGTATTTATTTACTGAATGAATAAATATATACATCCATGGTTCAGAAGAGAGTTAGACTAGAGAGAAAGAGGAAAATCATGAGCATTCAGACACTAATCAAAACCACACAAATAATATCACAGAATATGTCGAGAGGGAAATCAAGAGAGCCAAGAAAAAAACCCTAAGAAACATCACCATTTAAGGGATCGGCAGATATAAGCCAAGAAGAAAAACTGAAAAGGAAGAGCCAAAAAGGTAGAGGGAGAAGTAGGAAGTCAGGAGAAAAATGTATTTCAGGAAAGAAATGGTCGACAGAGACGAAAATGTTATAAAAATGCCAAGCATGGCAAGAGTTGAAAATATACGTTGAATTTAGCTACAGAAAGGTAGCTGAATTACTCAAGCAAAAGTGGTTTCTGTAATGTATTACTTTAATTTCACGTCCCGAACAGACTTGAGTATTTTATAATATAGAATATTTATATCGTAGAGAAAAATGTAGAATATTTACATCATGGAGAATAAATGAGAGATGAACATCTCCAAACACCACCTCCCAACTATATTTAGTATAATTAACAAAAAACAAGCTATTAAATGGGCACTTATACAATCCTAGAAGATACAGAAAAAAAAGGAAGGAAATTACATAGACTTCAACAATATTCCTGGATCAACCACAAATGCTTAATTCTTGACTGGTGTAGGAAATGATGAAGTAATTATTCTTTACACGAAGAAAATCTCAAACCTTGCTAAACTGACTTATAGTCAGAACATGTCTTTTTCAGTCACATAATGATTAATTTAAATTCTTGCTTTAGAAAATACTTTATTCCTTAAATTTCAGCACAATTTTGATAAACTTTGTCTCACAGAACTGCTTCACAACTACTGAACATCCTAAAATGCAAAACTCAATGCCCATGTTCAGTCGACCTAAAGTTATCTAAAACTGTCTCTAATAGCATACAGCTGATTTTATGATTTTCAAGAACATTCCCACCAAAGGCAGCAAAGACCATGAAGTAGCAGATGACTGAAGTGGCACCTTGAGTCTCATAAAACACATTCAACAGAAAATGGCTGCTAGGAACATCTCTGATAATTATCAAATTATCTCTCAATATCAACTTGAAACTGTGGATTCAGAAATCTATATTAAAAAAAAAAATCAAGTGGATAATCCTGAAAAATATTGCTAACAGACCAAATACAGGATTACTTCAACGACAAACATTTGAGCACCAACTACATGTTATTATGCTAGATGTTCCTGCCCTCAAAAGTGTGCAATTTAGCTAAGGAACTAAAAAAGAACAATAGCAAAACACACACAAATTCCATACAAGTGTAATATAATAAAGTGTGTTTACATGTAGATATGTGAGTGTGCATGTATACATACATACAGATATGTCCACAATCTTGTAACTTGTGGTAAAGAGAGAATAAAGTTAATTTGAGCAGAAAGCAAATCAGCTGGGAAAGCTCTGACTAGAAACTAGGACTCGATCTTCGCCCTGAAGCATGGTTAGATCTTAAATGAATGGAGAGGCAAGGCAAAAAATATCAATCATGGGAATGGTGGGTGAATAAGTATAAAGGGCAAAATGTGTGCCACAGTTTGAGAAAAATAAGCAGAAAAGATGGGATAAAATGGAGAAAGTTTATCAGAGGACTGGTACATAAGCGACTAGAAGCCAGGTCATAGAAGAATATCAAAGGTGTTTAGACTTTATTCTGTCAGTAATTAAACGTTTTTCAGCAACAGATCAGCGTGAGCAGTGTTGTTTTGAGAATAATAATTTTCTAGGGCTTGTAGGATAGATCAAATGAAAAACATGGAGACAGAAAAAAACAACTAGGCAACAAATATCTTGCCAACAGAACCTTATCTGGATGACTGTCCTATGTACATCCCGGTATCCTCAGCTGAAAAAATATTTTAAAACTTGATGACACACAAATATTGTACTTACCTATTTAGACACTATGCCCACTCATCATTTAATACACTTATCTTCTAGTTTCACAATCTTTATAACATTTACATAAAGAGCCTGCCTACTGTTTCCATTAATATAACCAATTCTTTTACAACTACCTAAACTCTACAGATAATTCATTTTGGCAACTCAGTGAAAAATGAATAGTTTGGTCTGAATTTCTCAGCTGATAAGTTTGATTTTTTAAGGGTTGAAAGGAGTGAAATGCAGCCATGGAAATAAAAAAATAGTCCATGCCCAAAGGCTTATTTTCAACACAGAGGAAAAGATTTGTTTCTCTGAAGATGTGTGTGCTTCACAGATTTGTTATGGTATGCTCTATGGATCACAATGAAGTTTTTCTTAAAGCATAATCTATACAGCTCATGAACTAAAGCACAAACTCTGGATGCAGATTAAAAACAACACCACCAACAAAAAAAGACAAGTTGCAATTTAAAACGTCTGGGGTCTGGATCTCAAGTTTTCAAAAATACTCCCAAACTGAGGCTTCTGAGTTTGCAAATCAGAAAACAATGCTACTAAAGTTTTATAGAATGATGATGACCCACGGCTTTCAATGGGAATGTATTTGTTCAGCTAAAAAATGTGAATTGCTAGAGCTTTATACGCTTATTTTAATTAAAATTACCTTTATTTTGGGAATTTACAAACACAAAAAAACTAGAAATTACTCCTGAAAATTATTAAACTTTTAAGAGCAAGCACTCAAAGGGTGTAGCTTGTATAATTTGCAAATTTTAAGCACATTTTATGCCAACTTATTTCAGACAGCCTACAATGATTAACTATTTAAAATCTTCCCTTAATTTCTATTTCATGTGGTAGGACACGTGGGTGGGATACTTCAGTAGAAAAGGACTTCATGAAGTTCATTTGCTGGTGGAAACTCTTGGCATGAGAGACTCAGAACAAAAAAAAATGTCTTTCCTTCAACAAGCATATTTTTTCTTAACAATAATAATGGCAAACATTTATTAGAGCTTACCATAGGCTACGCATTACTCTAAACAATCTACATATGTTGTCTCATTTAATCCTCACACTGTCCTCCAAGGTAGAAAACATTATTCTTGTTTTACAAGTTTCATTATGTATTTTAAAGATGAAGACACTGAGGCAAAGAGTTCAGTGGAGCTGGGATTCAAAATGATGGAGTCTCACTCCAGGATCCATGCTCCTAACCACTATGTTTATAATAGCAGTTCCTGAAAACCCTATTAAAACAGATGCCATTAAATTATAAGCTTTTTAACTTTTTTTTTTTTTACCGTCTATTACAGATCACTAATATGATTTCAAGTAATGATGAACCTAAATACAAAGGCACTAAAACAAGGAATACAACACAGGAAAGAAAACTCCAATCCATCTTAAAAGACCACATGTGTTTCCCTATTTGTTTTGCTTATAAGTGTGGACAAATTTGATCCAGAAAGGACATTTTAAAAAATGGCAAACTGAGGGCTGAGAGTCAGAAATAAGTTGTACTCTAAGGACTTACAGATAATCACAGATTCCTCATGGGAAAGGTAAACACGTAAAGACGAGGAGAAAACAGAATATGAAAGAGTAAACGTCTTTTCTGATTAGGGCCGGATGGTAAGGATTTGGAGGCAGCAAGAGACAGCTTCATAAGGGAAGAAATGGTTCTCTAGATTCTTTAGTCTTCAAAATGAGTTTGAATAGGCCCAAGGACAGAGGTGGAATCTAATTGAGAAAAAGGTCAAATTGAGCTTACTGTGAGGGGAAGGATGCAAAATTAGTGTCTGCTGCAAGAAAAATAAGCATGGAAAGAAATTAAGGGAGGAGACAGAGACAGAGCCAGAGCCACAGACCAGGAGTAGGGAAAAAAAGGTAAGCAGCAGACGGGGCAGAGTGGCCTGGAGGAATGAGGGGTCACACCTAGCAGGTGCCCACCGGCGAAGAGGCAAGGACCGAGCCCGGAGGGCAAACGCCGGCAGGAGTCGTCCCCGAAACACCTTGCCCAGCGAGGCGGACACAAGCTCGGGCCTGCAAGACGGCCCAGGAGGGTGGGGGCGGGAAGGGGTCGCAGAAGGTGGGCAGGGGAAGCGGCTGAGGACGCGCGGTGCACCTGTGGGCGGCCCCCGTGCCCACCCGACTCGCCCGCAGCTCCCTGAATGAACCCTCCACACCCGCCGGCCGCCCCCAGACCCCACCTGACGCGCCCGCGGCCCATCGTCCCTACCTGACGCGCCCGCGGACCCAGACTTCAGCAGACGCGCACGCGGCAATCCCGTCCCCACCTGACGCGCCCGCGACAACCCCGTCCCCACCTGACGCGCCCGAGGCCCCCGGTCCCCACCTGACCCTCCCACAGGCCCCGTCCCCACCTGACGCGCTCGCGACCCCATGTCTTCCCCTGACGCGCCCGCCGCCCCCGGTCTTCACCTGACTCGCCCGTGGCCCGTCGTCCCCACCTGACGCGCCCGCGAGCCCCAATCTTCACCTAACGCGCCTGCGGCGCCAAGTCTTCACCTGACGCGCCCGCTGCACCCCGCACCTACCTAGCGCGCCTGCGGCCCCCAGTCTTCACCTGACGCGCCCGCGTCCCCCAGTGCCCAACGGGCGCGCCGGCCACCTGGGCCCGCACCTGACGGCGACCAGGCGGTTATTGCCGGAAGTGGGCCGCCGCCTCCCGGCGCGCCTCAGGGAAGCCCCGCCCCTGGCCATGCTGATTGGCCGGCGCGGATCCGCGTGGCAATGTTGCTGCCTGGTCCTGTCGCCCGCAGCGTGCGCCTGCGTAGTAGGCACTGCCCCTCCGTCCGCGCGCGTCCAGAGTGCCGGGCGTGGAGGCGTGGGGGCGTGGGGGCGTGGGGTGGGGCTCGGGTGCGCAGGGACGGGCGCGGTCAGTGCCTGAGATCCCTGCGATCGCTGGGAGATGACGGTGAAGACCTGAGATTTAGGCCTGCGCGGCGGGTGACGACGCCGGTCCGGGTCTTCACGGGAGGACGCTGGCCGGGGCCTTCAGGTGTTCTCGTGGCCTGAGGACGCGCGTCCCTGAGAATGTGCGTGCCCGCGCCGCGCGGGTCCCACAGGAGCCTGGGCAGCCCCGCCGCCGCATTTCCACCCTGCGGCCGTATTTCCACCCGCTGGGCGCCAAGCCCGGGATGACTGCACTCTAGGGCATCACTGCGCGCTCACACTCAGCATTCGGGCACAAGCACGTTCTCTTTATAAACAGTTTCGAATCTTGTCGAATCTTTCTAGAAGGTTGAAATGCCCTGGAGGAGCAGCGTGAATAGTTTTTTCCAATTAGGAAAAAAGAATGTGGGGCGGCTGGAGGGAGAGAGGCAGGCCGAGAAGGCCAGGTGGGTCCAGGAGCCGCAGCCCCCGTGCCTCAGTTTCCGCCTAGAAACATGGAGGTGGCGGTGCACGCTACAGGATTTCCATAAGAACAAATGAGTTAGCGTGTGCAAAACATTTAAAACAGTGTCTGGTGTGTAGCAAGCAAATATGAGTATTAGTCTTTTCCTTGTTAAAATGTGTGCATCTACATGTGGTGCACATTACAGGAAGTGTATAGTATGGATTCATATTTTGGAAAAGTAATTTTAGAAGTTATTTCTGAAGTGCTTATTATAATAGTGTTTCTTGACCACATGCTTTTAAATAATGTGAAGGCAATGAAGTAGGCAATATTGCTTGCACATCCCCAATTTAAACACCTGTCTGTCCCTCCTTCCCTCTCTCCGTTCTTTTCTTCCTTTCCCTCTCTCTTTATTCCTTCCTTCATTCCCTTCAAGGTTGCGGATTATTCTATTATATAAATGTATCAATTTATTAGAATAGTTTCTATGATGTCTATGATAGGTTTTAAATTGTTTGCAATAGTTTGCCATTATAAATAATGCCCAGTAGCGCTGTGGTCTGATTTAACTTGTGAAGGTATATTTCCAAATAAATCGCTATGATTGGATTGTTGTGTAAAGCAAAAAGTGTCTGAGGCAGATCACAACTGATTTAGAGGTTTATTCTGCCAAAATCGTGGACGTGTCTGGGGAAAAAGAAACACAGGTTACAGTAGGATTTTTGGCCTGTACTTTTTTCCAAATATTTAAGGGAAAAGCGCCGGTAGGAGGGGAAAGAGGGGAGAGTAGGCTATGAGGCAAGTGGTCACATTTTTGTGAGGCTCTGATTAGAGTACAGCAAATCTACATTTCACATGTGAAAAGAAAGGTATGGGGGAGGGTTATGCATCTGTCTCATACTCAGTAGATCTACATTTCACATAAGATAAAGTAAGCTTTTGGGAACAAAAAGAAGACTGCGTGTGTGTGTGTGTGTGTGTGTGTGTGTGTGTGTGTGTGTTTTGCCAATATTAACTTTTCCCTTTGGCATAGTAAGTTTGGAGGCCTGAAATTTTATTTTTCTTTCACTGATGTGTCAAGGTTAACTGCATATGGAATACTAGTAGAAATTGCCAAGCCAAGACCCCACCACCACAATGGGGGACATAGTAATATTAAATTTAGCCCAATTGGCTAGCATCCTCACAATTCCTAGTGAAAGAATTCCTGGATGGATGGTAAAGAGGTAAACAAACTGCAGAAACTCACAAAGCAACAAAAGAAGTCCACAGAGTAAGAGCAGGAATTCAGAGAGTAACCACAGAGAGATCCACAGAGTAACAGCAGAACCCACAGTGTAACATCAGAGCCCACAGAGTAACAGCAGGACCCACAGAATAATAGCAGGCACCCACAGAGTAACATCAGAACCCATAGTGTGATAGCAGAGCCCAAAGAGTAACAGCAGAGCCCACAAAGTAACGTCAGAACCCACAGAGTAACAGCAGAGCCCACAGAGTAACGTCAGAACCCACAGAGTAACAGCAGAGCCCACAGAGTAATGTCAAGAGCATATTCATGGTCTTGGGTCTTCTTTGTGTGTCCTTTCTACCAGGACTGGGCTTAGCTCTGTGCTTGTGAAGAGTAACCCACTCAGTGCCCTCGGGAATTTCACCACTGGAGGAGGAGAAAAACCCCAGAGGGGCGGGGAGAAATGCTTTTCAAAACACATGGTGCAGCTGGAGATTGTGGAGCAGTTGCCCGGGCAGAAGGCTCGGCAGGGGGAATTAGTGACCAGTAGGGAGGTGCCTCCCTAACCACAGAGATTTTTTGGCAATCAACTTGTTGAAAAATCATGTTTTAAAATTTTCTTTAAGTCAAACCCTACAGAACCTAAGGAGCTGGCTCCTCCTGGCAGGAAGCTGGGAGAGTGCTGGTCACAGTGCACCAGGTGCCCCCTGCCTCACAGGGGCTTAGGGTGGTGGTGAGCACAGGGGTCCCACGCTTCTCCAATGCACACCACACAGTCGTCTCCTCTGACCTTCCCAAATGCTGCACGGACAAGTGTATGTAGTCCCTAACTCTCAGGACAATGTAGACTTGGTATACCTTCGGGCACGGGGAATCCCATCCTTCTTCCTGTTCCTGCCGCTCTGAAGCATGTGGTGTATGTTTAATGGGGATTTTACACAATATGGGAAGACCACTTCTGCTTTCTATGCAGTGATAATACTGCAATAAGAAAAAATGAACCAAGCCACCAAAACAAAACAGTACCACCTGATGCAGAACTAGGAGGGAAACACAGCAGTGTCTCAGAGCTAATGCAGCAGCCAGGCACCACGACAGTGTCATGGGTACAAGGAGGAGGTGTCTCAGAGCTAATGCTCTGTGCTGACAGCAGCCAGGCACCACGACGGTGCCATGGGTACAAGGAGGAGGTGCCTGGTTTTCAGGAGCTTGCCATCTGAACAGACCCAAGGTGGCAAACACACAGTGAGAAAATGGGGCCATGAGTGCTGTAATTACCTACAGAATGTTTAGGGGGACTGGGAGCAAAAACAATCCCCTCTTTCAGAAACCAATCCTGGAAGGTGCTGGAAGGTTGTACTAGCTGTGAAAATCAGACGCCAGCAGGCAGCTATCGTGAGACCAAACGCAGTACTCAGCTCAGGCAAGCCGGTTTGCTTATTTATGTCAAATTTCTCAGTCTTGGGTCTCCTTATCTTTTAAATAAGGAGTTAGAATAGAATTTGAGGGCTGTTCACTCAGGCATCCATGGTGGCTGCAGCATAAGGAGTGTGTGGTGTCAGGATGGGAAGGGCAACATGGAGACTGCATGGCCATTGACGTCTGAAAGTCTCTGGTTGCCAAAAAGAATCTATGTACAACAGCATTCATCCTGACAGCAGCCAACAGGCAGCCTAGACCTGGCATGCCACAGCTCCTCTAGGCTCTGAACCCCTCTCAGCTGAGCCTGGTAGATGCCAGCTGACCGGCTGCAGCCCCTGAGTAGAGGTTGGCTGTCCTAGCAATAGCGTAGGGCGGGGGCACAGCAGACATGGGACCATCATCTAGATTCCTAGACGTGCAACTTCAAGTGAGTACATAACCTCCTGAGCCCCAGCTCTCACCTGAAAGCTGAGTTAGGCGCACACACAGGAAGGCAGAGATGGGTCCAGGGCTGGGCTTCTGGTTCCTCTACTCAAACTCTGCTGCTCCCTGCCCCTCTGCCATCCCTGCAAGCTCCTCACTGACCATGCTTGTCTCAAGCGTTCTCTCTTCCTCCTGACCTCCTGGGGACTTCATAAACCCAGTATCTTTTTAAAATAATCTATTATTTTAGGCTCAGGGGTACATGTACAGGTTTGCTATACAGGTAAACTCATGTCTGGGGGTTTGTTGTACAGATTATTTCATCACCCTACATGTACAGGTTTGCTATACAGGTAAACTCATGTCTGGGGGTTTGTTGTACAGATTATTTCATCACCCTACATGTACAGGTTTGCTATACAGGTAAACTCATGTCTGGGGGTTTGTTGTACAGATTATTTCATCACCCTACATGTACAGGTTTGCTATACAGGTAAACTCATGTCTGGGGGTTTGTTGTACAGATTATTTCATCACCCTACATGTACAGGTTTGCTATACAGGTAAACTCATGTCTGGGGGGTTTGTTGTACAGATTATTTCATCACCCTACATGTACAGGTTTGCTATACAGGTAAACTCATGTCTGGGGGGTTTGTTGTACAGATTATTTCATCACCCTACATGTACAGGTTTGCTATACAGGTAAACTCATGTCTGGGGGGTTTGTTGTACAGATTATTTCATCACCCTACATGTACAGGTTTGCTATACAGGTAAACTCATGTCTGGGGGGTTTGTTGTACAGATTATTTCATCACCCTACATGTACAGGTTTGCTATGTAGGTAAACTCATGTCTGGGGGGTTTGTTGTACAGATTATTTCATCACCCAGGTATTAGCCTAGTACCCAAGAGATAGTCTTTCTGATCCTCTCCCTCCTCCCACCCTCCAGCCTCAAGTAGGCCCAAGTATGTGTTGTTCCCCTCTGTGTGTCCATGTGTTCTCATAATTTAGGATATGAGGATAATGGCCTCCAGTCCCATCTATGTTCCTGCAGAAAACAGGATCTCATTCTTTTTTATGGCTGCATAGTATTCCATGGTGTATACGTACCACTTATTTTTTTTTATCCAGTCTATCATTTTTGGGCAATAGATTGATTCCTTGTCTTTGCTATTATGAACAGAGTAGTGTAGGCTTATAGTCCCGGCTACTCAGGAGGCTGAGGTGGGAGTGTTGCTTGAGCCCATGAGGCGGAGGGTGCAGTGAGCTGCGGATTGCAATGAACAAACACGTGCATGCATCTTTACTGTAGAACAATTTCTATTCCTCTGTGTATGTACCCGGTAACGGGATTGCTGAGTGGAATGGTAATTCTTTTAGCTCTCTGAGGAATCACGATACGGCTTTCCACAGTGGTTGAACTAATTTACACTCCTATCATCAGCATATAAGTGTTCCCTTTTCTCTGCAACCTTGCCAGCATCTGTTATTATTTGACTTTTTAGTAATAGCTATTCCGACTGGTGTGAGATGGTATCTCATGATGGTTTCAATTTGCATTTCTCTAATGATCATTGATATTGAACTTTTTAAAATGTGCTTGTTAGCCACATGTATGTCTTCTTTTGAAAAGCATATGTTCGTGTCCTTTGTTCACTTTTTAATGGGGCTGTTTGGTTTTTTTCTTGTAAATTTAGTTCCCTATGGATGCTGGATATTAGACCTTTGTCAGATACATAGTTTGCAAATATTTTATCCCATTCCATAGATGATCTGTTTTCTCTGCTGATAGTTTCTTTTGCTGTGCAGAAGCTCTTAAGTTTAATCAGGTCCCGTTTGTCAATTTTTGCTTTTGTTGCTATTGCTTTTGGTGTGTTCGTCATGAAATATTTGCCCTTTCCAGTGTCCACGACGGTATTGCCTAGATTGTCTTCCAGGAAACTCAGCACCTTATGACTCGTTTCAGTTATTTAAATCTTAGCCCAGCCCTGCTCTCTACTTAAAACAAAACAAACAAACATAAAAAACTCAGTTCCCCATGGAGACTGAAAGCCCTCTGAAGGCTGAGATGGAAGTCTTATACTTTTTGGAGCCTTGAGTGTCCACCTCTAACTGTGGAGAAGGAATGGAAAGAGAGGTGCAACAGACGGGCTGCACATCTAGCTGGAAATGTGCAATCCAAAGGGCACGACTTTTGCTGAAACGCCGGGAGTGGGCCAAGGCCGCAAAGTCAGTCAGATGTGGTATCAGTGTTTGCTCATTGTGTTAATGATTATTTCCATGGTGACATGGCCTTTTTTTTCTCTGTTGCCTTACACGAGATCCAAGCAATGAGACACACACAGCCCAAGCAGGGATGGCAGAACTCAGACCCGGACCAAACTCCTGGCTGCAATTTGTTCGTACAACAGGTGGTGTCTGTCTCTGTTGTCATTTGAGCCTGGAATTCCTACAGCCTTCTCCCTATGTCCACCAAATATGAGGCCACTGGTGGCTGGGTGTCCAGGCAGCAGGACCTCTCAGCACTGGCAGGGCTGGCCCTCAGACAGCCTCTGACTTCACTCACCCTGATCTCCTGCCCACCGTGACTGGAGGGGAGAGGCAGCTCTCTGGGGTCTCCTTCTAAGGACACTAATCCCATTTACAAGAGCTCCCCTCCGTGACCTCATCACCTCCCAAAGACCCTGCCTCCTAACACCATCACACGGGGATTAGGATTTCAGCACAGGAATCTTGCGGGGGAACCAAACATTCATACCCTGGCCATGGCCCAGGTAGCCAAGTGCATTATGTCCGGGTGAGCTGAAAACCCAGCTCTTCTGAAGAGGGGCAGGAGTGCGAGGAAGCCCTTACTTGTAGCACTTGCGAATTTCTGTTATGTATAGACTCCAACCATGGCTAATTTCACACTGCCCATGAGACAACAATGAATGAGGAGGCGGGAAGGGGTGCACTTGGTCCACTCCCCCAAGCCGATTCCAGCCACCTCCAGCACCCCACTGGGCCTGTGCCTATTGTAAACTATGAGAGCTGTTGGTGCTTTTTGTTCGTTAATGAGTCTTAATTCTAGCACATCTTGAGAAGAATGTTTCCATGTGCCAGATTGTCCAGGAGTGGGAATTTTCCAAGTTTCCAGTTAGGGCCACTGGTTGTACAAATGATGACAACCGGCCACAGATGGTTGGTCCCAGGGTTTCAGCAAAGAAGCCAGTAAACTGAAGGTAGTGAAAGTGCATGTTAAACAGCATGGGTTTTTCCAAGCAGTTTCGTCAGCAGAAGTTTATTCCTGTTTGATTGAATTTAAAAATACAGAAAAAATAGAAAGGCAATATTTTCTAATGCAACTGGTCATAGCAACTCATTACGGTGATATGCTGCATGTTCTGGAAAATTAATTTGGGTTATAGAAATAATATGATGAAATGGTTAATGGGCATTCTTCCAATAACTTCTGGGAGCAAAAGAAATTAAAGCCAATTTAACTAGCAGAAATTCTTACTAAGTTAGAAGAGAAGGTGGAACTGAATAAGTGAAGATGTCAACACAAATGATTCTTATCTTTTGGAGAAAGTGCCTGATGCACACATGGAAAAGGTAAAATCAGAAGGTAGAAATTTAGCTTCTCTATTTAGGTGAGAACCTCCGCTCCACCGGGAGGGCTGAAGATGGCAAGATGGAAAGGGGGATGGATTCATGCCAGCTGGGGTCTAAGGGGGATGGATTCATGCCAACTGGGGTCTGGATCTTCAGAACCAAGTTGGTGAAACAACTTGGCTTGAGGAATAAGTCTGTATAAAGGCCAAGGTTTATTTCGGTATATCCCAGAACCCAAGCTTGCCTGGACAGCCAAGTTCAGTGTCTCTGGCTAGTCGTAAATGAGGGAGGCACTTCCCAGCCTAGTAGCAGCCTCTTCTCTATTTGCTAGCCCACATTTTCCCCTTCCCAGGTGTCTTTATCCACCTCCGTGGATAGGTGAAGCAAAGAATAGCAAAAATACCTACACTTCTGCCTGTTTTCCTAAAAATTCTCTATACTTTTACTCCAACATAACCAGGGCACTGATGGTGCAGTCCACATGTGCATAAGTTTGTTGTCTAAACTTCTAGGAGGGAGCCCTGCTGAGCAATTAGAACACAATGTAGGGTCTTCTAAAGATGACCTTAAAGGGATGAATAACAGTTAATACTAATGTCTCCACATGAATCTAAGACAATTATCAGTGAATTTACATGATAATTTCAAAAGGCAGAGACATTTGGGCACCAACATTGGGGTTTTTGTCTTCAATTAAACTCCAGATGAGCACTTCCTGGTGTCAGGAGTGGGCTCCATTTTCTAGTCCCACCAAAGCACTGGTGGGGATATTTCCTTCTGAGTCACCAGGTTCTTAATCCAATGCCCCTCCCTCTCATATGGGAAGGCGCTTGCACATGTTCTGGGCCATGGTCAATACAGGGCTCCCTGTGTAGCTACCTAGGTGGGACTTGGCAAGGTCTGGTGTCTTTCTGCTCTCTGATCCATGAGTAATGCATAGGCAGCTACTGATGGAAATTCCAGGGCTCACTGATGGGAGAAGAGCAACTAACGGGGCCACTAGGCATGAGTGACTTGGTCAAGCTGCTCAAGTGGTGTTGCAAAGACTGAAGACATTAGCTTAATTTCTGTGCATTGATTCTGCTTCCTCATGTTGAACTGTTCCTGTTTGGGAAGAAAAAAAAGGAAAATTTACTCTTTCTTCCACTTTTCATTTCAGCTAAAAAAAAAATCCTACTTCTTTTCAAGGCAATGTGGATGCTGTAGTCAACTAGTGAGTGCAAAGTCATGCAGAAGGAAGTAGAGGAAAGAAACGTAAGAATATTATTATTTCGAGATTTTTTTGCCCTACCGGGAGCAAATTACACTAATAGAAAAGATTTTGCTAACATTATGAGCCAGACAGTCTTAGAGGTCCATGGCAAACGGCAGGTATTTTAAAGAAAGAGCCTGAGAAGAAAATAAATGACATACTTTGTGTAGATGTTTCTCCTTCCACTGAAGGACAACTGTACAGTCTACAATACTTGTTGAGCTATCAAACTTTAAAAGAGCACTTATAAGAAGGAAACACATATTTACTGTGATTCTTGCTGTGATGTGTGAAGTGCCCTCTGGTTTTACCTTTTATTATCCTGAGATGGAAGGAAAATTGCCCAGTAAGACAGTATCTGTGCAGTATCATACAAAAACTGTATCTTTTAAGCTGAAAAGTTGGCATGAGATGAGGCACTTCTCAACCTGAGGACACCTTGACCTGCAGGTGTCTTTTACAGTGTGAGTGGTTCCTCACCTTGTCAAGGCTTTGCTCAAAAGCCACTTCTTATTAGCTCTACCCTTACTATTTCAGTTAGAGCTGCCACTCCGCACACTCAGGGACCCCTCACACGGGCTTATTTCTCCACCTTTTAACATACTGTGTCTTCTACCTATTTATTCTCTCTGTCTCTACCCGCAGGACATAAGCTTCACCAGGGCAGAAATTTTTGTCTCTTTTGTCTACCGTTGCGTCCAAGGTCCAGGCACATAGCAGACACTAAACAAATACTTGGTGAATAAATGAATGAATGGACAAATTACAGAACACATTTCTCCTATAAGCAGTCTTATCTGTGGATGTTATTGTTCTAGGCCAGAAGAGTCTATTCATTACACGGTGTATCTGAAAGAACGCACGAAGAAGGTTGGTAAATGGAGATGTGCAGATTCTGTTGCTCTTTTACTTACTAAAGTTTGACAGTCTCCTTGCTTGTTTAATATAGCTATAGAACATTAAGATACTGATTTGCTACCATTGTCAGTACTTTGTGTGAAGCTTTTCCTGTATTAACTAGAGATTCAAAGCAGGGAAGATGACTCATAAGAGAAATGTGGTTATGAACAATATAAGAGGTTGCAGAAAATAAAAAGATACAGGAAAGGAACCTGAAGAAGAGGAAGCCTCACCCCGCACATTTATAAAATAGATGGGTCAACTTGAAGGGAGCAAATAAAATATGTCAGCTTGGTATTGATTAAATAGGCTTTGACAAGCTCCTCGGAAGTGTATATAATGTGATTTCTATGAATGAGGAGGCCAAGAACCAAACTATGGAGGATAAAAATGCCTCTCTAAAATTATTGCTTAGAAAGCAGATTTCTTAGTTGTACTCCTATATTAATTAGTATATTATTACATTATTAATTATTATCATTTTGCTGAAACAATGTAGTAGGTGGCATATACTATATGCTTAAGATTTATTGCATCAATAAATGGATAAAGATAGAAAAAAACCCAGAAGGTTCAGACAAACATAAGGAAGACACATTTACAAACCACTCATCATTCCACCACGCAGAAATATCCACTGTTCTTTTTAAGTGAAGCCCTATTTTTAAGCCTCAAATTGTTATAAGGGAAACCACCATCTGTGGAGCTGAAGCCATCATTTGCAGAACTCCAGCACGGCACATGTGCTGGCGCTGTGTTCCTGTATTTCAGGGTCTTCTGCACCATGCTTCTCCACCTGTGGTCCCCAGCTGCTTGCACTAGAGTCACCTGCAGTATTGTACTGTTTATGTCAAATATGGATGCTCAAGCCCCGTCATGCCTACACAGATTTTCTGGGGTGAGCTCTGGGCATAAACAAGCAGCTTGTTGCCCTAATGCACAGCACCGCCTTCACCCTGGGTCTAGACACACGGCTCCCAAGTCTGCCAGGCTGTGCACCCAGGCTCACCTGCGGAGCTTGCTAAAGCCCTGGAATGTACCTCCACCAGGTGTCGTTCATTTTAATGGTGGTAAAACCTGCACCCTCCATTATCAAACATCTTTCCAGCTGATCCTGGGTAGACAGGCTTGGAACCTTGCTACAGATCAGTGCATTCCTACCTGACTTTGAAACGCTCAAACTCTTTGTTCCAGTGACTGACTGGGCTTTCAGTTAACATGTAAAGCAAATAAAGTGTTATTGCTCTATTCAAATCAGAGAATCTGGGCAGACTCAGACTCCCCAAATCTCCATACTAGTCCTGAGGGGCTCTGGGTGAAAGGCGGTCTTGATGGTGGCCTCACGTGGCTGGGCTGAACTGCAGCCTCTGAAGACAGCACCAAGTCATTTTCATGTATTTGACCTCCCACAGAGGATGTAACAGAGGGTCTGGGTGTGGTCAATATGCCATAAAAATTTGTGGAATGAATACAGCACAGGAGGAGGAAAGTGTGACATACTCGGATGTCTGCCAACCTCCAGGTAGGCTGTAAGTAAGAGGGGATATTTCCTCTCTCCCTTTTTTTTTTTTTTTTTTTTTTGAGACAGGATCTCCCTCTGTCACCCAGGCTGGAGTGCAGTGGCGCGATCTTGGCTCACTGAAACCTCTGCCTTTGGGTTCAAGCGATTCTCCTGCCTCAGCCTCCTGAGTAGCTGGGACTATAGGCGCGCACCACCACGCCTGGCTAATTTTTTGTATTTTAGTAGAGACGAGGTTTCACCATGTTGCCCAGGGTGGACTCGAACTCCTGAGCTCAGGCAACTGGCCCACCTCGGCCTCTCAAAGTGCTGGGATTACAGGCGTGAGCCACCGCGCCCGGCTGATTTTTCCTCTCTAATGTGGGAACCTGGTCGAGCTCTCGGAGGTAAAATTCACCAAGCGCAGGTCCCCCATGACTGGGTTCCCCTGGAGTTTTTCTCTCACTTGTCCAGGTGGCATCTCCAGAAATTCATGAGGGGCAGCTCAAGTCCGTGGCATTGGCCCCGCAGAGGTTCTGCTCCTGTCAGCTGAGGTTCTTGGAACCCGCTTGTCTGTGTCTCCAGATTTGGGGGCCGTGCTTTGCCTGGTGACTCAGTTCTCTGACGGATGAAGAAGAGTTGTTGATTTTCAGTTTGTTCATCCTTTTCCTTCCGTGTGGATGGGAGCTGGACTGGACCCTGGAGCCCGGAGCCGAGAAGTCAGGAAGATGATTCCGCAAGTGCTCAGGTGTGTCTGTCGCCTGCACCCATGGTCCCTCCCCGAGAAAGCAGACCCATGGCCCCTTCGAGTCCCTCCCTCCACACTGCCCACCCTGCAGCAGGGCCTTCCTCATTCCCCTTCACCAGTGCTCACCGCAGGTAACAGAGGGGCTGGGTGTGGTCATTGTGCTGGACCCTGGAGCATCTGGGCATGCTCATGCTGATCTGGGCATAAACCGCTGCAATGTCCCTGAGAGAAGCAAAATAATCCAATAGAGACAAAATATATGTTTTTTTAAAAAAAGAGGATCACCTGAAGGATGTTATCAGCAGCTTCTTAGCAGTGCTCATCTCGCCTGCAGAAGCAGCTCTGTGCGTTTTGATTAATTCATTACTGGCTCTGAGATAAGGCTGGGACAGTCTGTATAGTCTGCTTAGAGATTAGGAAAAAACATTTCTTTTGCTGCACACTCCTTCCTACTAATCTTCCTTCTGATCTACCGTGGGCAGGGTGCACGGGTGGGAAATGCATGCAGCCATTCCACCCTTGAAGACGAACTAATAGATAGAAATCCAGGCTTCTGAAGAAGGTGCCTCGGGGGCAACAACCCACCTTGCAGCAGGGTTCTTAGTGAATCCCACAACATACAACTGAATTGTGTAGCACAGATTTACAGGCACAATGAGGGTCAATGACAGGGAAGCATGTCGACACCAGCTTAAAAACAATCAGGGGTTTTTGCACAGCAGGACAACACCTGGCTGCTGGGGAGGCTCAGAGTTGGGGTGCTCAAGGGGGTATGGGGCCGCTCTAAATGAGCTCCCATCTTGGAGGCTGCTCGAGAAGCTAAGAACTTGCATACCTGACTAAGGGCTGTAAACCTCATTTTGGAGTGCAGAGTCCCAGGCTGTGGTCTTGGGACCCCTGGGAACATGCTGAGTTGTCATAAGGGCCCTTCTAGCAACTGTGGTCTGAGACTGACATGTCTCCAGGTGTGGTTTTGGGTCCACCAAGGTGCTCAGATGCTTTTGTGATGAATTAAATACAAATTCAGTAAAATGTTACTAAACAAAGTGCCTTTTTGTCCTTATGCCCTTTCCCAGTAAATATTCTGAGAACAATAATATCAAGTATGTGTTCGTGAGAAATTTTGAGATAAATGTGTTTCATGCTGGCAGAGTCAGGAGCCACAGCAAAAACAACGTGAAGACGCATTCCGCCAGCTCCTGGGTGGGGAGATGGTATGGGACCCGGGCTCTAGCCCACCTGGCTTGGCAGCTGGCCCCCAGCAGCCCGCTCAGCCATCATGCCCCGCTGGACACTGCCCCCCCATGGTCCTCAGTGTCTTCCCTTGGGACACTGGTGTCTTAGAGATGCTGGGGCACACATGGTGTTCACAGCCTCACATTTCAGGAATCAGAATGTATCTTAGTTACATGGCTTGTCATAGTTTAATTGGAAGTGTTTTTCCTCTCTTGGTTCCATGAACGCAGTGGTGTGTCTACAGTCGAGAGCATCTTCGTGTGAGTGGAGCACAGTTGATGCTGCTGGAGTCACTGGAGTGCAGGAGCTCAAAGGGTGGCCCAGTCTCAAAGGGCGCACCAGACCCTGTCCTAGGTCCAGGGACAAATGCTCACAGCTCCCTCAGCCACCCCCACATTGCTACGAGAGGAGGACTGCCTTGTCCCTGTTTTACAAAAGAGGAAACTGAGGCACAGGTGGGTGAGGATTGGCCTGCAGGAGAGCCAGACCTGCTCGCTGCACATCTGCACCGTGAGCCATCTCTGCAGAGGGACAGACAGAAGCTGCCCGATTGACTCCCACCCACAGTCAGCCGCTGGTCAGCTGCTGCACTGGTGACGTCACTGACAGGGAGAATCTGCTCCCACGGCTGCATCTCCTGCTGTCACCATCTCCTCTAAGCCTCCACTTCACTCAGCTTCATTTAATGGGGGTTGTGTTCGTCTGCTCACAAACTCAACAAATGTCAAGTATTTCCTAAGCGTAGGCCCTGGGTTGAAGCCTCAGTGTGGGAATAAACAGGTTCGTGTCCCCATAGAGGTCATGATCTAATGAGAAGAGAGAACAATCACATCACTTGGCTAATAAATAACAGGTTCTGAGATAGCTGCTGAGAGCGACAAGTATGGGGGCTATGAGAGTCTGCAAACCCGCTCCAGAGCGACAATTATGGGGGCTATGAGAATCTGCAAACCTGCTCCAGATGGAGAGGCCTGGGCTTTTTGTTCACCTCAAGTGTTGCATGAACTCTGAGGTTGAGAGGCACTTGACAGAAATGGCCGTGGTTACAGGAGCAGGGCAGACAGTGGAGAGAAGCAGAGAATGCGACGATCTTTTCCGTGGGAGCCAGGCAGAAACCACGGAGCAGAAACGAGATTCACAGCAGGCGGGAAGGCGGGGAACTGCTGCCTTCAGGCAGATGCCCATGGTGACAGCCAGGCAGATGCTGGCACAGGACCCATGCGCCCACGGCGCCCTGCTGGGGCTGGTGGAGCAGCCACCCAGAGATGCACAAACCCTGATCCCCAGAGACTGAGTGTGTTGGGCATGGGGGAAAGGACACCCAGCTGCAGGTGGACTCAGGCTCCCGGCAGGGCCCTTGGGTGGGAGTTACGCAGGGTTACCCTTGGGGTCCTCGTGTGGGAAGGACGAGGCCATCACTGCTGTGACCATGGAGGGGCCTAGCCAGGACCAAGGGCCTTGGAGCCTCTGGCAGCTGAAAGAGTGAGAAGCAGGTATATCCATTTTATATGATGCTGTTTAATCTTTTTAGAAAGAATATACCTCCGTGAAGTAAGGAGAGAAAGGAGAAGGGGAATTCATGACCAACTCTGTGACCTGGTGGGGCCCAGGCCTCTGGTCCTCTCCAGACCCCGTGGGATGCAGACGTGGTCGGTACAGCATCCTCTCTTCACAGTGACCATTAGGTAGCAATTTAGGAATTCTTGACCCCAGTGTGAGGTCCACTTCAGTAACAATACCAAATTGTCATGAATACACAAGCTATCACTTTAAGAGGAGCAACGGTAAACTTGCTGAACGAAAGTGAACTTATTAAGTCATTGACCTCTGGAAAAGAATGATCCGGAGAGGGGTGTGTGCGTGGCTGATCTTCCCAGGCTTCGTGGCAGATCACGGGGCCCTTAGGAGGGAGGGGTCAGAAACCTCAGAACAATGTCTCCATTTCATCGGAATGGCATGAAATGATTCCAGTTAGAAAAGAACGCTGAAGGTCAAATATGATGCAAGGCACTGGATGTATTTGCTAATTAGCATGTTAAAGAATGAGTCAGCTACGGGAGCAGGAGTGATCACTAACCCGTAATAATAATCTGACTCTAATTGGAGAGCCGCCCTTTGGAAGCAGAGCTTAGAGAAGCAATTTGCAGAACACATCAAAAGAGAGATTTAATCACATGTCTTTCTATTTGAAAATGTTAGCCTGTCGCTGTGTTGACATACAATCATTAATCTACCAGGTGAAAGATAGGAAGCTCAGCCCGCCCACTAATTCTTTTCAAAACATATTTTCTCTGATTGCTTGTTTTCTAACCAGGACACTGACTGTGTATGTGGCAGTTATCTTCCTGCTGCTAAACCGTTAATTGTTTAAATGTCCTGAGGTGATAACACGGAAAATCAGACGACTGGGAGCATCTCAACATAAATGATGCAGACAGATGGAAAACAGAGCCCACATTTTCAGCCTTGAAAGGCAGCTCAGTGCCAGGCGCAGGGCAGAGAGGAGATACGGTGTGACCCAAGCAGGCTCCCTAAGACCCCAGGGTCACAGGCCCCCCCACGCCCAAGCTCTCTGTCCCTGGCGCATCTCATGTCCACAGACTCGGCAATGAGCCAGGCAGGGAAGGGAAAGAGCAGGTGGACAGAAACAGGCCCAGCCAGGGCAGAGTCCTGCTGCCCGATCCCTGCCAGGCCCAACCTTAGTGGGATTCCCAGGAGACCCCCTACCAGAGGTGAAGTTTGGGGCAAACCCGTGTGTCACTCTGCCTGAATGTCCCACCCCATTGACCTACTCTGTGGAGTACTTCTTGCCCCAAAGCCAGGTTCTGCCCCAGTGTTGGGTGCAGATGGGCACCGCAGCTGAGGGCCACTGGGAAGGAGGAATGGAGATGCGGGAGGCGAGAATGCGCCTGAGTCCATCAACAGTTTCCGTTGTTCGTGATCAGGGTTTCGGTCTGTGATGAGGTGGACAGGAGCGAGAGGCCGCCTCCACCCATTGGTGACCCAGGAAAGCTGAGAAGAGGAGAATGAAGTGATAGAGGAGGGTAAGAGTGTTGAAGGTGTTCAGGGGAGCAAGCCCAGGTCGATGTGTTCTTTCCACAGCTCACTCCCTCGCCCTGCCTCCTGCCGGGCCTAGGGATGTAGCTGGTTCAGCAGATCTGCCTCCTTCCCCAGAGGAACGACACCAGCCAGGAACAGCACAGGGCTACGCAGAGACACCAGGAAACAGAGGAACGACACCAGCCAGGAACCGCACACGGCTACGCAGAGACACCAGGAAAAATCAAACACTCAGGCAGGAAAAAGACGTTAGGCAGATGGAAAGCATACACTGCCCATAACTATCAAGAACACGACAATGCTGCCAATTATCACTGCTCTTATTCAGCAACACATTGAAATCCCAAGCCATTGCAATACAATTCAAAATTACAAACAAACAAACAAACAAAAAACCCGAATAACTATAAGAATAAAAAAGTAAAGCAAAAGATTGACTTTCTTGCAGATGCTATGATTCTATACATATAGAATTCAAGAGAATCTTTGAATAAATTACAGACATCAATACAAGAGTTCGGCAAGATTGCAGAGAACAAGAGCCGTACTGGGAGTTCTTAGCATTTATTTACTCTGGCAGTCACCAGATGGGGAATAGAACCCTAAACGTGGGCCATTCATGGCCACAGTAAAATCTATGACAGTCAGGGTTGAGCAAAATCCAAAAATATGTGCAAGACCTTCCTGGAGAGAACTACAAACATGTTATTGAAAGGCCCGAAGGAAGAATTTGAGGAGGAGAAGCACCAGTGTTTTGGACAGGAGTATTTGGATAACAGTAAATTCTCCAACATCTTAGCATTCAGTGAACATTCCATCAAGATTCGTCAAAATATATGGGGACTTTAACAAACTGATTCCAGAGCACATATGGAAGAATATATGTGAATAAATACCTTCAGAAATGCTCACAGATGACATGGTGTAGTGCCTGTAATTGGTTTTAAAAGAGTCTGGGGGAGGAGGAGAGGCTGGTGGGGGAGCAGAGGCAATGAAATTGGGCCTGATTTGGTGATGTTTTGATGCTGAGGACAGACACATAGGAACTCACTCTCCTTTCCCATCTACTTTTGTTTTTTTAACATTTTTAAAAATAACATAACGTTTAAAAGGTTTGAGGAGAAAAAACAGTTAAAACATTTTTTTGGAAAAAAAAGCCAAATTGGAAGAGAAAGCAAATATATACAAAGGTATGGTAATGAAAACAGTGTGGCGTTAATAGATCGGCAGAAAAGGGCAGAGCTCAGAGACAGAGTCTCGTGGGAGTCTGTGACCCGATGGAGACAGCTTCCTAAGTTTGGGAACAAGGCACTCAGCACACAGCCCAGGGACTGGGCTCTCATCTGGGGAAGAGGGTTCCTGCCTCATTCCACCCTCAAAAGGATACTTTAGATAAATAGAAGCCTAGGTGTGAACAGCCAAAAACTAGTAGAATGAAACAGACCAGATGGATTTTGGGTTAACCAGCACTGTGAGAACAGGAAGGAGCAGAGTCGTCAATGCAGGTCAGTGCCCGTCACATCAGTAACATGCTCAAAAGACAGGTTTATGTCACGGATAAATGCAAATATACAGGTATGTGAAACTTAAAAAACAGTCATATAAAAATACAAACCAAATACCTCAAACTGGCCGCCCCGGGTGGGAGAGGCTTCAACTGTGTTGTTTTAAGGATCCTTCTACCTCGCCAGAGTCCTTTCCAAAGGACTAGAAACCAACGTGGCAAAATATTTTGTTAATTCTGGTTGTGGGAATATGACTGTTTTATAAAATTATTTGTACATTTTTTTTGTCTTTAAAATGTTTCAAGCCTGGGCGCAGTGGCTCACACCTGTAATCCCAGCACTCTGGGAGGCTGAGGCAGGTGGATCACAAGGTCAGGAGATCGAGACCATCCTGGCTAACATGGTGAAACCCCATCTCTACTAAAAATACAAATAATTAGCCGGACGTGGTGGCACACACCTGTAGCCCCAGCTACTCAAGAGGCAGAGGTGGGAGAATCACCTGAACCCGGAAGGCGGAGGTTGCAGTGAGCCGAGATTGTGCCACTATGCTCCAGCCTGGTGACAGACTGAGACTCCATCTCAAAAAACAAACAAACAAACAAAAATCAAAACTGAAAAGGGCAAAGAAGGAAGAAATCCAAAGAAACAACAAAATCGCTCCAAAGTAAGAGTCCAGTTAAGCCCTTCTAGGGAAAAGAACTGAAGGGTGTAAGGGCCCAGGGGCAGTTTGCGGAGTGAGGGAAGAATGAGCTATGATGGCTCAGGAAATAAATGCAAGAGGAAAACCTTCCAGATGTAAACATGTTAGCTGACAGAGAAGCTCAAACAAGTAGAATAAATTGACGGGAAACAGTCCTTGACGCGTGGAACAGATCTGAGGAAGTCACACAGGATGACACGAAAAACAGCAATGCGACTGCAGTGACCTCAGAGAAGATGGTAGCTGTAGAGATGACGGAAGATAGCATGGGTGCAGTTGGTGCTCTTAAAGAAGACTGAAGAAATAAAAAAAAATGAAAGAGCTGAGAACACAAAGCGTCTTTAAAAAAATGAAACATTTGTACCTGTTTATCTTCTGTTCCAAGAAAAAAAGTGATAAAGATCGATATCGTAAAATACCTTGACTTGTAACCAGACCTCAAGGACAAAGGCATCTTTTGGTAGCTCGAGGAAAAGAAAATCTATAAAGGCAGGAGAGGTATGGGCCCTGAAAAAGCTTTCTCTTCAGAAAACTCCAACTTACTGTTTCAACTTCATAACGTTTACATTCTCTTTATTTATAATGCTCACATTGGTTGAGTCTTAGTTTCTCTGTTGAAGTGAAATTTTTTTTTTTTTGAGACGGAGTTTCGCTCGTTGCCCAGGCTGGAGTGCAATGGCTTGATCTCGGCTCACCGCAACCTCTGCCTCTCGGGTTCAAGCGATTCTCCTGCTTCAGCCTCCCGAGTAGCTGGGACTACAGGCATGGGCCACCATGCCCGGCTAATTTTGTATTTTTAGTAGAGACGGGGTTTCTCCATGTTGGTCAGGCTGGTCTCAAACTCCCGCCCTCAGGGGATCCGCCTGTCTTGGCCTCCCAAAGTGCTGGGATTACAGGTGGGAGCCACTGCGCCCAGCCTGTTGAAGTAAATTTTAACTTTGCCACCCTTTTTCTTGGCGTATTTCTTTGGTTGATTTTTGTCGTTATTGTTTGGATGGATCTTCCTTGAGTTTTTGATGACTTGAGAAAGATTGTCAGTTGCCTTTTTACTTAAAGGCAAATGTGGCTGGCTAGGAGAGGACCACATCCGCTTCCCTCGGGACCCCACAGAAGTGGACGTCTCGGGCTCCAGGGAGGCTGAGTCCGAGGCTGGCCCGGCTCTCCTCCACACCCCTGTGCTTACTCTTTCTCAAAGGACGTTGACACGTTTGCTTTTCTGCTATGTTTCATTTTCAGTGTTCTGCTTCAAATGCAAGCATCTGCGTTTATGTTCAGGCATGCTCTGTATATCTGGGTCTTCCGAGGTCTCCTAACTCCGCTGCGTAGAAGGGCCTCTGCGTGGACGTGTCCCACACCAGAGCTTGTGTAGGGTGGGGCAGACGCAGCAGAAAAGCCTCACGGTTTCCTGTGTTTTCCAAACACGGCTTTTCCTCCCAGCCTCCTGAGTTGTTGTTTTGTTCTTTTAATTTACTTCGGGTGACTTTTCGTTTTCTTTTTTTTCAGATCATCTTTGTTCAAGAAGTATCATAATGAAACCAAACATATTTTTTCTTTTCTTTTTTTTTTGTTTTTGAGACGGAGTCTCGCTCTGTCGCCCAGGCTGGAGTGCAGTGGCGCAATCTTGGCTCACTGCAACCTCCGGCTCCCGGGTTCAAGCGATTCCCCTGCCTCAGCCTCCCGAGTAGCCGGGACTACAGGCGCCCGCCACCACGCCTGGCTAATTTTTTTTTGTATTTTTAGTAAAGACGGGATCTCACCGTGTTAGCCAGGATGGTCTTGATCTCCTGACCTGGTGGTCCGCCCGCCTCAGCCTCCCAAAGTGCTGGGATTGCAGGCGTGAGCCACTGTGCCCGGCCCGAACATATTTTTTCCTAGGAATTACAGCTGAACACGTTCTTTCTTCGTCTTTTTTGACTGCTAACAAAGAAAACTGTGGTCAGGTGCAGTCGCTCACTCCTGCAATCCCAGAACTTTGGGAGGTCTAGGTGGGAGGACTGCTTGAGCCCAGAGGTTAGAGACCACCCTTGGCAATGCGACGAGACCCTATCTCTACAAAATTTAAAAAAATAGCCAGGTGTGGTGGTGCATGCTTGTGGTCCCAGTTACTTAGGAGGCTGAGGTGGGAGAATTGCTTGAGCCTGGGAGGTCAAGGGTGCAGTGAGCCATGATCACCAATGAACGCACTCCGGCCTGGGCGACAGAGTGAGATCCCCTCTCTAAATAAATAAATAGGAAGAATAAGAAATAAATTCAAATAATTAGTAGACATATGTGTTTGACCTCCACTTTCTGGCCTCCACATAGACTGCGCTCTGTGTGTATAGTGTCCTCAGGCCAGAGGCTGGGCGGGGACCAAGCCTGGGTGCAGGAAAAGGAGTAAGGCCTGCACTTGTGCCCAAGAACGAAGGGTCTGAGGCACCTGGACCCTGGGCAGAGGTTCAAGGGCAGGTCTGAAGTGAGGGCTGCGGCATGGACGCGGTGGGAGAAAGTCCTCTTTGAGGACCATGGAGGCAGCCTGGGGGCCAGAGAGCGGTCCCCTGCCCCTGGGGGCAGCTCAGGCTGCTTCCCAACCAGGCAGAATCTGCTTCTGAGCAGCTTCACTCTGCCCTACACGCAGTCCTATGGGTCACACCCGGCATCTCGGTGCTGGGGGCATCCCGGGGCTGCTCCGCCTCATCTTTCATTAAGGACAGGCCTGGACCTGGACCGGCCGCCTCACTGATGGCCCCAGCGCCGCTTAGCAGCCAGGGAGAGAGCCAGACTCTATGCAGCCTTGTTGGGACTGCGTCCACTCTGTGTGGAAAGATCAAACGTTTATTTCAGAAACTTTGTTTATATTTGTCATGTATCATAGTGTAATGTATGCTACATTTTATGTGTGTCCCATACCTGTGTGTGTCACATAATGCATGTGCCACAGGTATCCAGGTGTTATGTGTGCATGTCACATATGTGTGTCATATATGTAATACACATGCATGTGTTGTGCACGTGTCACATGTGTGTCGTCGATGTGCAGGTGTCATGTATCTGTGTGGGACCATTCCCTTGTGCCCTCGTTGCTGCGCTGGTCTCCAAGGAAATTTCTCTCACCTCTTTTCTCTTCTCGACGCCATGTCCCGGAGTTGAGGATCTTCCAGCGTGACCCCAAGGAGGCTTTTCGAGCTCTGTGTCCCGGGCTCCAGTGTCTTCGAGGGGACAACACTGGCTTTGTGTTTTCTCATCTATGGCCTTTCTTCTACACAGTATTGCAGTAACGCTCTCCTTTATCTCTTTCCAGCATCTGGTGTGTTTTCCATTAGTCGGCATGAATCCTGCCATATCGCGGGGCGTGGTGTTTGCCGGGAAACTTGTCCTGTGGCACAGCTCATGGAGAGGACATTGGCTGCACATAGCTGCAGACGAAGAGCAAGCATCACTTTTCTCTTGTACATTCAGGGATGTGCTTCATTGGCTTAGAAAACGTCCTCTGTAAATAAACTCCGTGAGGCTGGGATTTAAATGCAGGAAGCAGCTGGCAGCTGAAGCTACCTATTGGACTATCATCTGCTTAAACACGCGAGAAGCCTCTTGTGAAGTCTAAAGCAAATACAACGGCTTATTTGAGCCGTATATACAAGAGACTTAAACAAACCTCGTGTAATCCTCTTAAATGTTGCATCTCCCCCCACGGAAACACAACCTGCCAATTAGCTCAACGTCCTGACAAAACCTCCCAGGGCTGCACTGTAGGGGAGAAAGGTGTTTATTTAATAAGATCTTTCAGAGGGAAGCCAGCTGCGTGTCTGAACATCTTGGGAGCAACAAATGAAGACAGTACAGTCTAAAGGGAGGACAGTGCCAGCAAGAGCCCCAGGAGCTCGGCAGACAAAGACAGGAAAAGCTGGAAGTGGAAAAGCTGAACGTTCACGTGTAAGGAAACCCACTGGTCCCTTAGTACAATCACAACTGCCTCTTTCGCCAAGTTCCTGAGTACAGTTGGTCTTAGTTGTGAAAGATCAGTCTCAACTGGCAAGTGCTGGTGCTGGATTTGAGTCCAGGTGGTTAGAACCCTGCTGCCAGGTTTGTATTCCATGGAATCCTACAGGTGTCCATTCTATGGAAGGTTCCCAGCACCAGTGGGTCTCATGCATGATCAAAGTTAAATCAGCTGGGCACGGTGGCATGCACCCATAGTCCCAGTGGAGGTGGGAGGACTGTGTCAACTCAAGAGTTCCAAACCAGCCTGGACAACATAGTGAGACCCTATCTCAAAGAAATTTTTTTTAATTAAAAATTTTTTGAAAAATTTAAAGTTAGTCCAAACACTAAGAGAAGAGAGTTGGGGTGTGAGGATGCGATAGTTGTGTTATTAAATCCAACTACTTGGTTTCCATCGGGGAAGGGCCCACCTCCCCAACGTGTCCCTTGCGGGGACCATCACGTTCTGCCCCTGTGATGGTCAGCTGGCCACGGACTTGCTCTCACCATATGACGTGCACAGACACATATGTGCCAAAGCTCAGCAAACCAGTTAAAATCCGTTTTGTGACTGACTCTTGCTCGCTCTATGCAAGAATGGCACCTTCCGGATGGGAACTGCTCCTGGAGCCCAGGCCCTGGCACGAGAAGACGTGTGGTGACTGTAGTCATCAGTGTGCCATGTGGGCAACAGATACGGCCTTGCTTTGCTCAGCCACTGAGATATTGGGGTTCAAGAGACCATGGCCAACTGGATGAATCCAGGGGATCTGTGCTCTATAAACCACCTTTGGATGGATCCAAGTTCAATTTTGCAAAGTAAACCAGGTGATGTCCTTGGAACTTGGTGACTCTCTGGGTGTAAAGTCCCAGTCCCATGTGGGTCCCAGCATCGGTGGTCTGGTTGCTGATGAAGATCAGACTCCAAGTCTAAATTTTCTGGAGATCTACACCTCCCAAAGGAGGCTGGTGAGTCCTGGGGTGGCCCTTGGATAACTTCTGTGCAGTAGCAGCTGCTGGAAGACCGCAAAGATCCCACAGGCTTCTGATCAGAAGAGCACCGACTTGGTTGTCAGGGACCCTGGACATGCCCTCCTGCCTGCCCTCACTGGGGCCTCCGTAGCTGCTGGGGAAAACTGCTTCCTATCATCACTCAGTGACTGGACAGCGCACTGGGCTCAGGAGAATGTTACCTCAATTTAAGGTATTGGTGATATTAAGATAGGAAAATAATCTTTACTTTTTATTAAGAAAATGTGGTAAATATGGAACATATCTAATAGTATATGGAAGCTTTGAAATTTACTGATGAAATAAAGCCCTGTGGAGAGCCCGTTCCTCTTAATCTATGGAAACCCCCCCGGACTCTGAAGCTGCTGCGGCTCCTTCCCGGCCCTGCGTTCCTGCTTCCCTGGGAGATGTGGCCACTCTCCAGCATTAAAAAAAGTGTTCCTTCATTTAAAAAATAGTTTCCATATCTGTACAATACATATTTTAGCATTTCTGAGATCTATTACAATGTTATTATTGTGTTCTCTGGGGCTTGCTTTGTTCTTCTTTCTACCTTTCTAAGATTCCACCATGTTGCTTGTTTAGTTCAACCAGTGCTGA
Organism: Homo sapiens; assembly: GCF_000001405.40. Classification (NCBI taxonomy): domain Eukaryota; kingdom Metazoa; phylum Chordata; class Mammalia; order Primates; family Hominidae; genus Homo; species Homo sapiens. The sequence continues at coordinate 383,113 of NC_000008.11, read as the reverse complement.
TAGGGACACGTTTGCACTTGTCTCTCAGTGAACATTCGCAAGAGATTTTCTAGGGTAAGTATCTAGGAATGGGAATTTCTGAGTCATAATGTATGTGCAAGCCTGAACATTCATGCTTTCCTCCATATTCACTAGTAGATTTGTCTTCTAGTTGGTAAACGCAGCCGCCCCTCGGGCTCGCCGTGTCCCTCTGACCTTTCATATGCACCAGTGGGTGGTGTGAGCTCAAAGCTCGCTGTCCCTCTATCTCTCTCTGCCTCTCTTTTGGTCTCTCTCTGTCCCTGTCTCTGCCTCCCCCTCCCTCTCTGTTCTTGTCTCTGTCCCTGTCTCTGTGTCTCCCTCTGTCCCTGTCTCTGTCTCTATGTCCTCATCTCTGTCTTTCTTTGTCCCTGTCTCTCCCTCTCTCTGTCCCTGCCTGTCTGTGTCTCTCTCTCCGTCCCTGTCTCTGCCTCCCTCTCTCTCTGTCTCTTTCTCTGTCTCTACCTCTCTGGGTCTCTCTCCCTCCTCACTGCAGTTTCCTCAGGGAGCACGGCCAGGGCCCCCCAGAAGACCTGCAGGAGAGATAGTGGTGAGCGGCTCCCACTTAAAAGAGGAAAGAACAGCTTCCCCTCTTGGGCATCGAGAGGTGCTTGCGGCTCGCGTCTGTCTCTCTTTCTCACTGTCTGAAGCTGCCTGCCTCCTCCTTCTCCCGCTTCGTGCTGAGAAAGTAGTGGCAGAAGAGGCGGCCCTGTGGGGAGTCAGGAAGAAGGGACTGTGATGGTGTCCAGAGGCTGGGGAGGTGACTGTGTTCTCGGGGGATTCCACATTCTCTGGGAAACTGAGGCAGGAGAGCAGAGCTGGGGCAGAGTGAGCAGGAAGTAAAACGGGCAAATCTGAAATTTGAGGTGAAGACGGCTCTCCATGTGCATACGGTGCTCATTGAGGAAGAAATGCTGAGGCCTCAGAAGCCGACATTGGGAATTCATGTGTTTCAGTCTCCTGGGAGCTGGAGTGCCGGGTCTAAGTGGTGGTTCTCTTATCAGAGCAGCGGAAGGGCTGCGGAGGAGATGAGGCCCTGCAGAGGTTCAGGGCCAAGGGACAAGCCTTCCCCGCTGGCCTCTCAGGGGGCAGGTACAAGTCCAGAGCCTTTTGAGTGAGTTTCTCCGGTTGTAACAAGCTAAAAGGTAACAGGAGAAGATGTCCTTTTTCCAGGCGAGAGTCACATCTGGAGGAGTTTCAGGGAAGTGGGAGCCTGGGTGACAGAAGGGCCCCCACGTTTCAGGAAGCCCTTGGGACTGGAGAAACAGAGCGAAGGCCTGCTTTGGGAAGTGCAAAATCGTGACCTAATTTGAACTGGTCAAGACGCTGTTCCCGGTGTTCAGGGCAGCCTCATGCCAGCCCCAGTGCCTGGCCACGGGCGTGGTGGTCTCTCACTGGAGTGAGGAGGACACGTCCTTCTCCACGGGGAAGGTTCGGAGACAGGGTCCACCTGAGTGTGCAGGATTTACAGAGGTGGAAGTGGTGGGGAGTGCGGTCTGCAGCAGTTAGGGCTGTGGGGAAGCTCTCTCTAAAGAAATGAACTTTTTTTTAGCTGTGAAAGTATAGCTCTCAGTGTTCTCTTACTTAATGATTTTTTTGCTAACAGAAACCTCAGAATTGAAGTGTGTGCTCCTATCGGAAAACCCACTCAGCCCAGGCTCCTCATGGGCCTTCCTTGCACCCCGCACCCCTGCTCGGCATTGATTTTTCCTTGGGTCCTATTATCATCCGCGTCTTCGGCCCTAAGTTGTTAGTGTAAATAACATTCTAGAATATGGCAATGGCAACGCCAGAGAAGACGGGGCCTTGAATCTGAGAACGGGGCTTGGGATTAAGAAGTCAGGACTGGATTTTAGGACGTGGCAATGGAATGACTGACTGCCCTCTGTGCTCCCATCTGCAGCCTCCAGGCAGAAGCCGCTGCTGACGGGGAGAGTCTGGTGAGGTCCCAGGTGGATGATTTGCTCCAAATTGTGGAGCATGTGGTGCGGTTAATTTCCTGATCATGCAGCCTTGTGAACACACCAGCAGCAGCGTCCTGGAAAGTCACCTATAGGAATATTTGGGCCCTAATATTTCCTTCATGAATGTCATCGGTGGAGTGACATCATGTCATTTACTGACATGGTGTTTGATTAAGTTTAATCACACTAAGTTATTGCCACAATTAGGCCATATGAAGTCGCCAATAAGTGCTTTGCTGAATTAATTAGGCGACGTGAGAAGTCACTGGGGAACACTGAATCTCATAGTGCTCTCAGCAAACCAGCAAATACAGTGACAGAGAAACACTGGGAATAGCACTGGGAACAGCACTGGGAATGTAATAATAATGTAGCTGTTGGCCATTTTTGCCACTGCTATTATTGCATGAAGCATCATGCTCATTAAACATATCTTATTTGTAAACATTTGTGTGTGATCCAAAATGTTTGCTTTTGCTGTCACTGCCTCCACTTGAGGAAACACGCAGGGGCTTGCCCTGCCAATGTAGAAAATTTCATCAAAAATCCATATTGACGCTTGGCACAGGAGAGCAGAGTGTGAGTCCAGTCAGGACAGGTTATGCCATGGGGACAAGCAGCTTGAAAATCTCAGTGATTTGAAAGAAAACATTATTTTTTGCTCTTGTCACATGTACATAAAATTTGACCTGGGGGCTCTGCTCTGTGGTGTCCCCCAGGACCCAGGTGGGGGGATCAGATGATGTGGACACACAGGTCTCTTGCAGGCTCAGAAGCTTCCACTTGGAGCTGATGTGCTGGTTTCTGTTTACGTTCCATCAGCTGGAGGAAGTCACATGGCAGATGCCAGAGGACCAGCCTGGGAGAGGCTTTCTAGCAACCAGGACACCTGCCGCAGTGCCACGCTTTCTCCAGGAAACAAGGACAGCTGCACGGGTGCCCACACGAGAGTCGGCGACCAGCCTCGGCGGTGGGGTTCCTGCAACGCGTGTTCCTGCTGGGGTTCTCCTTTCTGCTGTTCCGAGCTACAGTGCGGATCATGCTCCCCATACGTGGAGTCCAGGGACAGCACAGCCCGGGGACTGCCCAGCCAGCCAGGAAGTCTGGCTTTCAGAGAACTGGGAAGACCATCTTCCACTTTATCCCATCTGGGAGACTGTAAACATGGATTCCACTGTCTCGGACAGTGAGACGATTCCCAGTCTTTTCCTGTTCCTCCTCTAGGTATGTAGCTGCTATCAGCTTCCAGAAACGCTGGAAGGAAGGGCGTTGCTTTGGCAGGACACGTGGGGAGATGGGCTGGGAGGGGAGATCCCGGAGGTAAGGAGGGGAGGCTTTCCTCTCCCCACACTGGGAACTCAGTTTCTAGCCCCAGGTTCCTGGTTGTGTCCGGCATCCCAGGAGCATGAGTGGGAAGCTGCTGCATCCACCTGCCGTGTGCAGTCGGGGACCAGCTGCAGAGCGCACTATGCATCCTTTAGACTCTGCAGGCTCAAGTGAAAACCCAGCTCTGCCACTGCTCTCTGGATGACCTTGCCACCTCCCTCTCCTCCTTTGAAAAGTGTGGGAAATGCTGCTTTTCATCAAGTCCAAGTCACCATGTATTGTGGCTTAAACGGCAGTGTTATTTTCTTTCTCAGTGACACATAACATACTGCTGCGTTTTTTAACAGATGCTGTCTTGGACGCAGTGAAGTCTGCCGATGGCTGTTTCAGAGCCGTTAGGATGGTGAAGTGAGACAATGTGAATGGAGTGTTTTGTGAGGCTCAGTGCTGCATAAATGCTAGCCATTATCTAATAGCAAGAATTCCTTGAAATGTTTCTTTCTCTCAAATTTATGAAAAGATTAGAAAATAGTTCTAAAAATTAAAAATGCTTCTGGTCGGAGCGGCTTACATGATGGCAGTGAAAGTGTGCAGCTTCATGGGTCCCACTGCGTGCACTTGGCATGGAGAGAACGAAATGTGGAGGCCAGCGATACCAAGAACACCCCTGTGAGCCGCGCTGGGTGCAGCCCCCACGGCCGGCGGGCAGTGACACCGCAGTTTCCTCTCCTGCCGGCATCCACGCTTCCTGTGCCCAGGTGCTGGAAGCTCAGTCTTCATGTCCCCTTCTCAGTTATGTGTCTGTAGGGCTGGGACAGGGAAGGAAGTCAGTGAAGCTGGTTGGATCTTCCAAGGGATGCTCTGTGTGCAAGGCTCGGGGACAAGGATGGCTGGGGGAGTCAGACTGTCAGTGAAGCTGAGGGGCGGATGGAGCCTCACCACGCCTGAGTCCCTGTTTTCCAGCTGCAGATGCTGACCCTCCAGAGCTTTGTTTACCAGCCCCTGTGACTGCGATCTGGAGTCAGCCAGGCGTTCCTCCTTGTCCGGTAGATTTTATTAAGTGCTCAATGTGTGCCAAGCCAAATGTCCGTTTGACTTACTGCATGTCCGAGAAGCGATGCCGTTGAAGGAATTTCCTCCCCAAGCCTGAAGGAATTGAACACCAGGAATGACTGGAACCCTGGAGAGAGAGAACTGGATTTCTGGAGGAAAATCACTCGTTTTAAGGAAGCAGCATCCTGGACCCTTGAGGCCCTGGAGGAAGCGGGCAGCACAGCTCGGAGGCGGGTGTGGCTGGAGGACGGCCGTCGCACCTGCGAAATTCTGTCTGTGGTACGTGGTTCCTTCCTGGCTCTGGGAACCACCTGGATACTTGCATTCTTCCCTTTTCCTTTCTATTCTCTTTCAAGTCACCCTCCTTGAGACAGCCCTCCAGTCCAGGCCAAATCTCAGCCTGCCCTTGGTCCGCTGTGGTTGGGCCTGCACCCAAGCCATGAGCACACGCAGCAATTGTGGCAGCAGAAGCTTCCTCTGGGCTCAGACTCAGGCTGATGCTGCGTCAGGACCTGCCGCGGTCTCGGCTGGGCTTCCTGGGACTCGGTGGTTGTGGGCTGATTGTAAAGCACGGAATGACTCTTAGAAACTGGGCGTCATTCTTTGTGGTTTTCCAAGCTTGGTCTCTGATGATACTCCAGGTCTTAGGAGACATGCTGAATATTTATTATGCTTACATTCAAGCAACATTAACCCTTAAGGTTGATGTAGCTCCCCGTCTTTTTTTCCCAGAAGGAGGAGCACTGAAGGAACACTTTTCCAGTATGGATTCTTTCCAGCTCCGAGAAGCTGGAGGCACACGGATCCCTCGGCCAGCTCTCATCTATGGACGTGCTGTAGTCACAAGGACTGTGACTAAGGCTCAGTCCCTGAAGAGTGCCTTGGCATGGGCTGCTTTAGGCTGTAAACACCCAGTTTTATCCACTTTATGTGAAGAAAGCCAACAAGGGGCATGGAGTGAGTTCCGCAGGTTTTAGTGGCTGCGGAGGCTGGTGCTCAGTGGGGATGATGGAGGGAAGGCGCCTCCCTCTGCGGGCCCCGAGGTCTGTGCGGGAATCAGCTCTGCAGTTGTGTCCAGGGGCAGCCGTAGACCACACACGGCAGGCTCACAGCTCTGTTCCATGAGAACTTTATACACAAAAGCAGACGGGCTGGCTTGGCCTCTGGATCATAATCTGCTGACCCCTGGGTAAGAAATTTTAAATATTTACTTAATTCTGTTCAACAGAAGGGGTGATATACTGAGGAGTGAATAATGGGAAAGACCTGGTTCAGCTGTATCAGGAAGGACTGGTGTAAATTCAACTTATTAACTGAATTCACAGTATTCGTGTTTTATGCCTTTAGGGGTTAAAAATGGGTCACACACGAGCAGCATGCACTTCACTGGCGTGGCAGGGCACCTCAGTGTTTACATGTGTGGTTCCCATGCTTACCAGGGCTGGAGGCCCGTTAGTAGTGAAGTGCATGTGGAGTTCTGGATACTTTTCCTGGCTTTCTCTATTTGTGTGAGCTTGTGCAGTTAGAGGTTTGGGCTGAATTTGGGTAGAAATGGGTGGCTCACAGGCTGCAAAAGTTCTGTGGACACTTTTTCCCCCAGCTGATTAATGTTGTAAATATTAGAATATTGTTACATAAAAGTCTGGATTTTTACTTTCTTTCACATTGGAATAGCTGCCAACATTGGGCCTGCATTCATCTCTCTAGGGCAACGTTGGCTGCAGCGGAGATGGCTGCTCCCCGGTGGGGTGTGTGCTCAGCCCGCAGCCCCCGCCCTCCGGACTCCGTTCGCCTCTGCTCTCAGCTTTGCACCTCGTCATTGTCTTCTAATTGTGCATCCCTGGACTGCGTGACCTACAAGGCTCTCAGCACAACAAGACTCTATGATTCTGTCTATTGGAACAAAAAGCCAGTGAGGCAAGTGTATCATCCTGTTGATGAATTCACAGAATTAACTCTGGGAGTTGGGGACAGTTTGTATTCTTCTTCCAGACACTCTCTGTTTCTGCTGGATGGAAAGGTTCTGCTACTTGTCCTGTGGTCAGGCCCAGCTGATGGAATGGAATGGAAGTGACTCAGCCCCTTACTGGCAGAAACTTTAAAAGCCGCACAACATTCCTGCACCCTCCCCTCTGCCATGAGCCTGGCAGTGCTCAGGATGGGAAAATTATTTCACCTGGGCCTGAGGATACAGGAGCTACTCCCAGCGTGCAGTGGAAGAGAAGCATGGGCAAGTAATTAAACTTTGTGTTTTCAAGCCACAGAGGTTTTTTGAGGTTGTTTGCTACCATGCTTTGTCCCTACAAACACAGTCATGGAGAAGGCCAGTGGCAGAGCCTGAGCCGTTCGTGCATCTGTTCACCAGCATCCAGAATAACAATAGATTTTTGAAACATTCCTGAGAAAATTCTGGGAGTTGCATACCGGCCAGTCTTATTCCCTAAAGTTGTTCCTTCTAAAGGGTGGGATGACCAAAAATTTCAGAAAAGCAAACCACCGCTGAAAGGCAACGTTATTTCTGTTGGCAGAAGGCGGCCTGAGCAATCTAGATTTTCCACGGTTCACCAACTAGTTTTTAAGGAAATATGGCTGTGAGAGGAATAAAACATAATTCCTACCTTTAAGGAACTCAGAGAAGTGAATTAAAGGAAGTCACAGATCAGGCAACCAACCACACAAAGTTTCTAAGAGCAAACTGTTCAGGTCGGCAAGTCACTCTTATCCACTGTTTTGCCTTCTGAGGTTTCAGTTACTCTCAGTCAGTCATGGTCCAAAAACATTAAATGAAAAATTCCAGAAATAAACAATTCACACGTTTTAAATCGTGTTTCATTCTGAGTAGCGTGATGAAGTCTCATACCGTCCCACTCAGCCCCACCTGGGGTGTGACACCTCCCTCTGTCCAGCAGGTCCACCCTGTCTATACTACCTGCTTTTCCAGTAGATCCACCCTGTCTACACTACCTGCCTGGCCAGCAGATCCGCCCTGTCTACACTACCTGCCTGTCTGGCAGATGCGCCCTGTCTACACGACCTGCCTGGCCAGCAGATCTACCCTGTCCATACTACCTCCCTGGCCAGCAGATCCACCCTGTCTACACTACCTGCCTGTCTGGCAGATCCGCCCTGTCTACACTACCTGCCTGGCCAGCAGATCTACCCTGTCTATACTACCTCCCTGGCCAGCAGATCCACCCTGTCTACACTACCTGCTTTTCCAGTAGATCCGCCCTGTCTACACTGCCTGCCTGTCCAGCAGATCCACCCTGTCTATGCTACCTGCCTGTCCAGCAGATCCGCCCTGTCTACACTACCTGCCTGCCCAGCAGATCCACCCTGTCTAACTACCTGCCTGTCCAGCAGATCCACCCTGTCTACACTACCTGCCTGTCCATAGATCCACCCTGTCTATATTACCTGCCTGTCCAGCAGATCCACCCTGTCTACACTACCTGCCTGTCTGGCAGATCCGCCCTGTCTACACTACCTGCCTGGCCAGCAGATCCGCTCTGTCTACACTACCTGCCTCTCCAGCAGATCCATCCTGTCTATACTACCTGCCTGTCCAGCAGATCCGCCCTGTCTACACTACCTGCCTGGCCAGTAGATCCACCCTATCTACGCTACCTTCCTGGCCAGCAGATCCTCCCTGTCTACACTACCTGCCTGCCCAGCAGATCCGCCCTGTCTACACTACTTGCCTGGCCAGTAGATCCACGCTATCTACACTACCTGCCTGGCCAGCAGATCCACACTGTCTATACTACCTGCCTGCCCAGCAGATCCGCCCTGTCTACACTACCTGCTTGTCCAGCAGGTCCACCCTATCTACACTGCCTGCCTGTCCAGCAGATCCACCCTGTCTATACTATTACCTGCCTGTCGAGCAGATCCACCCTGTCTATACTACCTGCCTGCCCAGTAGATCCGCCCTGTCTACACTACCTGCCTGCCCAGCAGATCCACCCTGTCTACACTACCTGCCTGTCCAACAGATCCGCCCTGTCTACACTACCTGCCTGTCCAGCAGATCTGCCCTGTTTACACTACCTGCCTGTCCAGCAGATCCTCCCTGTCTATACTACCTGCCTGCCCAGCAGGTCCGCCCTGTCTACACTACCTGCCTGCCCAACAGATCCGCCCTGTCTACCCTACCTGCCTGTCCAGCAGATCCACCCTGTCTACACTACCTGCCTGTCCAGCAGGTCCACCCTGTCTACACTACCTGCCTGTCCAGCAGGTCCACCCTGTCTACACTACCTGCCTGTCCAGCAGATCCACCCTGTCTACGCTATCTGCCTGTCCGGCAGATCCGCCCTGTCTATACTACCTGCCTGGCCAGCAGATCCACCCTGTCTATACTACCTGCTAGACACTTACTGGCTGTCTTGGTCATCAGATCGTCATGATATCTTGATGATATCATGCCTTGTTTTCAAGGAACCCTCATTTTACTTAATAATGGCCCCAGAGTGACAGAGTGGTGATGCTGTAATTCAGAAATATGAAAGAGAAGCTGAAAAGTGACTCCTTTAAGTGAGCAGGTGAAAGTTCTTGACTTACTAAGGAGAAAATCCTGCACTGAGGTTCCTAATGTCTATGGTAAGAATGAATCTTCTATGCATGAGCTTGTGAGGAAGGAAAAAGAAATGCATCCAAGTTTTGCTGTCACACCTCAGAGTGCAAAAGTTCCAGCCACGGTGCACAGTAAGTGCTTGGTTCAGATGGAAAGGCCATTAAATTTTGGGGGTGGAGGGGAGGACAGGAACAGAATCATGTTCTGGTTTATGGCAGTTGGGCTCGGTATCATCTGTGGTTTCAGACATCTGCTGGGGATCTTGGAATCTATCCTTGTCAGATAAAGGGGGACTACCAGCTCTCTCAGTATCCAGAACAACAACAGATTTTTAAAACATTCCTGAGAAAATTCTGGGAGTTGCATATGGGCCAGTCTTATTCTCTAAAGTTGTTCCTTCTAAAGGGTGGGATGACCGAAAGTTTCAGAAAAGCAAACCACTGCTGAAAGGCAACGTTATTTCTGTTGGCAGAAGGCGGCTTGAGCAATCTAGATTTTCCACGGCATATGCATATATAGAAATAAAAGGCATGGCTGTTTATAATTTGTATCAGATTTAAAAGCAAGTGCAAGAATCTGACTTAAAGATGAGAAAGATGAGGTAGGGATAAACAGGTGCTTCTCTGGAAAGAAATGGGAATGTTTTCCCTCAGGGATAAATGCCGAACCTTGCTCAGTTGAAGCTCCCCTGAGTGTGTGGCAGAAAACATGGACGTGAGGTGGCTCCAAGCTTCCTGAGAAGTGGAAATAATTTGGTCCCCACTCAGGGTTCAATTGCAGCAACTCTCTCAACCCTGTGACACAAACCCCAACTGTGGGCCATGGGAAGGGTGTGGAGATAGAGATGGATAAACCAGTGTTCAGCTTGGCTGTGAGGGGCTCCCAGAGCCTCTGTGTGAAGGGCCGTGCTGCCGTTCCACTTAACTCTGTCTCTTTCAGAACATCCCCAAGGAGTGGTCCCTAGACTTTGGGTTGACTTCAAGGAGAACAGCCAAGGCCGTGCAGAATCCGGTCTGGGAGGCGGAGTGCGTGTCTGGAAGGACCCTGGATCAGAACCAGTTTGGTTATTCCTCAGGTCTTATGCCGAGTGTTGGGCATTCCATGTTGATAAGTGGTTGTGGGGATGCCAGCTGAAAGACCAAGCTGGACAAAGGCCTACAAAAATTGCAAGGAGGCATATCTCAGAAAGGAGATAGCAGGAAATGTCATAAAAAATGAAAGCAGATAGAAAAAATGGTTTGATATTAAGGTATCAACGATGCCAAGTCCCATTTTCATCTTGGTCTGGACCCTAGACAGCAACAAGGTACACTGGAAATTTGATTTGATTAAATCAATCCTTATATAAAATATTTCAAATATTTTTTAGAAGAATGAGCTAGTTTTCTCCAAATACAAGACAGAGGCTAAAGGTTTCTTTTAGCCATTTCATACATTCTTAAAAGTGAGATCTGGAGGGGGTGGAGCCAAGATGGCCGAAGAGGAACAGCTCCAGTCTACAGCTCCCAGCGTGAGCGAAGAAGAAGATGGGTGATTTCTGCATTTCCAACTGAGGTACCGGGTTGATCTCACTGGGGAGTGTTGGACAGTGGGTGCGGGACAGTGGGTGCAGCGCACCGAGCGTGCTCCGAAGCAGGATGAGGCATCGCCTCACCCAGGAAGCACAAGGGGTCAGGGAATTCCCTTTCCTAGCCAAGGAAAGGGGTGACAGATGGCACCTGGAAAATTGGGTCACTCCCACCATAATACTGCGCTTTTCCAATGGTCTTAGCAAATGGCACACCAAGAGATTATACCCCGTGCCTGGCTCAGAGGCTCCTACGCCCACAGAGCCTTACTCACCGCTAGCACAGCAGTTTGAGATCAAACTGTAAGGCGGCAGCGAGGCTTGGGGAGGGGTGCCCGCCATTGCTGAGACTTGAGTAGGTAAACAAAGCGGCCGGGAAGCTCAAACTGGGTGGAGCCCACCGCAGCTCAAGGAGGCCTGCCTGCCTCTGTAGACTCCACCTCTGCGGGCAGGGCACAGCCAAACAAAAGGCATCAGAAACCTCTGCAGACTTAAATGTCCCTGTCTGACAGCTTTGAAGAGAGTAGTGGTTCTCCCAGCATGCAGCTGGAGATCTAAGAACGGACAGACTGCCTCCTCAAGTGGGTTGCCTGACCCCCGAGTAGCCTAACTGGGAGGCACCCCCCAGTAGGGGTAGACTGACACATCACACGGACAGGTACTCCTCTGAAACTGAGAAAAAACTTCCGGAGGAATGATCAGGCAGCAACATTTGCTGTTCACCAATATCCGCTGTTCTGCAGCCTCTGCTGCTGATACCCAGGCAAACAGGGTCTGGAGTGGACCTCCAGCAAACTCCAACAGACCTGCAGCTGAGGGTCCTGACTGTTAGAAAGAAAACTAACAAACAGAAAGGACATCCACACCAAAACCCCATCTGTACGTCACCATCATCAAAGACCAAAGGTAGATAAAACCACAAAGAAGGGGAAAAAACAGAGCAGAAAAACCAGAAACTCTAAAAATCAGAGCGCCTCTCCTCCTCCAAAGGAACGTAGCTCCTCACCAGCAACGGAACAAAGCTGGACAGAGAATGACTTTGACAAGTTGAGAGAAGGCTTCAGACGATCCAACTACTCCGAGCTAAAGGAGGAAGTTGGAACCCATGGCAAAGAAGTTCAGAACCTTGAAAAAAGATTAGATGAATGGCTAACTAGAATAATCAATGCAGAGAAGTCCTTAAAGGACCTGATGGAGCTGAAAACCAAGGCACGAGAACTACGTGATGAACGCACAAGCCTCAGTAGCCGATTCAATCAACTGGAAGGAAGGGTATCAGTGATGGAAGATCAAATGAATGAAATGAAGCGAGAAGAGAAGTTTAGAGAAAAGAATAAAAAGAAATGAACAAAGCCTCCAAGAAATATGGGACTATGTGAAAAGACCAAATCTACATCTGATTGGTGTACCTGAAAGTGACAAGGAGAATGGAATCAAGCTGGAAAACACTCTGCAGGTTATTATCCAGGAGAACTTCCCCAATCTAGCAAGGCAGGCCAACATTCAAATTCAGGAAATACAGAGAACGCCACAAAGATATTCCTTGAGAAGAGCAACTCCAAGACACATAATTGTCAGATTCACCAAAGTTCAAATGAAGGAAAAAATGTTAAGGGCAGCCAGAGAGAAAGGTCGGGTTACCCACAAAGGGAAGCCCATCAGACTAACAGCTGATCTCTTGGCAGCAACTCTACAAGCCAGAAGAGGGTGGCGCCAATATTCAACATTCTTAAAGAAAAGAATTTTCAACCCAGAATTTCATATCCAGCCAAACTAAGCTTCATAAGTGAACGAGAAATAAAATACTTTACAGACAAGCAAATGTTGAGAGATTTTGTCACCACCAGGCCTGCCCTGAAAGAGCTCCTGAAGGAAGCACTAAACATGGAAAGGAACAACCGGTACCAGCCACTGCAAAACCATGCCAAATTGTAAAGACCATCAAGGCTAGGAAGAAACTGCATCAACTAATGAGCAAAATAACCAGCTAACATCATAATGACAGGATCAAATTCACACATAACGATATTAACCTTAAATGTAAATGGGCTAAATGCTCCAATTTAAAAGACACAGACTGGCAAATTGGATAAAGAGTCAAGACCTATCAGTGTGCTGTATTCAGAAAACCCATCTCATGTGCAGAGACACACATAGGCTCAAAATAAAGGGATGGAGGAAGATCTATCAAGCAAATGGAAAACAAAAAAAAGGCAGGTGTTGCAATCGTAGTCTCTGATAAAACAGACTTTCAACCAAAAAAGATCAAAAGAGACAAACAAGGCCATTACATAATGGTTAAGGGATCAATTCAACAAGAAGAGCTAACTATCCTAAATATATATGCAGCCAATACAGGAGCACCCAGATTCATAAAGCAAGTCGTTAGAGACCTACAAAAAGACTTAGACTCCCACACATTAATAATGGGAGACTTTAACACCCCACTGTCAACATTAGACAGATCAACGAGATAGAAAGTTAATGAGGATATCCAGGAATTGAACTCAGCTCTGCACCAAGTGGACCTAATAGACATCTACAGAACTCTCCACCCCAAATCAACAGAATATACATTCTTTTCAGCACCACACCACACCTATTCCAAAATTGACCCCATAGTTGGAAGTAAAGCATTTCTCAGCAAATGTAAAAGAACAGAAATTATAGTAAACTGTCTCTCAGGCCACAGTGCAATCAAACTAGAACCCAGGATTAAGAAACTCACTCAAAACTGCTGAACTACATGGAAACTGAACAACCTACTCCTGAATGACTACTGGGTACATAACGAAATGAAGGCATAAATAAAGATGTTCTTTGAAACCAAGAGAACAAAGACAAAACATACCAGAATCTCTGGGACACATTCAAAGCAGTGCATAGAGGGAAATTTATAGCACTAAATGCCCACAAGAGAAAGCAGGAAAGATCTAAAATTGACACCCTAATATCACAATTAAAAGAACTAGAGAAGCAAGAGAAAACACATTCAAAAGCTAGCAGAAGGCAAGAAATAACTAAAATCAGAGCAGAACTGAAGGAAATAGAGACACAAAAAACCCTTCAAAAAATCAATGAATCCAGGAGCTGGTTTTTTGAAAAGATCAACAAAATTGATAGAATGCTAGCAAGACTAATAAAGAAGAAAAGAGAGAAGAATCAAATAGACGCAATAAAAAACGATAAAGGGGATATCACCACCGATCCCACAGAAATACAAACTACCATCAGAGAATACTATAAACACCTCTACACAAATAAACTAGAAAATCTAGAAGAAATGGATAAATTCCTTGACACATAAACCCTCCCAAGACTAAACCAGGAAGAAGTTGAATCTCTGAATAGACCAATAACAGGCTCTGAAATTGAGGCAATAATCAATAGCTTACCAACCAAAAAAAGTCCAGGACCAGATGGATTCACAGCCGAATTCTACCAGAGGTACAAGGAGGAGCTGGTACCATTCCTTCTGAAACTATTCCAATCAATAGAAAAAGAGGGAATCCTCCCTAACTCATTTTATGAGGCCAGCATCATCCTGATACCAAAGCCTGGCAGAGACACAACAAAAAAAGAGAATTTTAGACCAATATCCCTGATGAACATCGATGCAAAAATCCTCAATAAAATACTGGCAAACTAAATCCAGGAGCACATCAAAAAGCTTATCCACCATGATCAAGTGGGCTTCATCCCTGGGATGCAAGGCTGGTTCAACATACGCAAATCAATAAATGTAATCCAGCATATAAACAGAACCAACGACAAAAACCATATGATTATCTCAAGAGATGCAGAAAAGGCCTTTGACAAAATTCAACAACACTTCATGCTAAAAACTCTCAATAAATTAGGTATTGATGGGACGTATCTCAAAATAATAAGATCTATCTATGACAAACCCACAGCCAATATCATACTGAATAGGCAAAAACTGGAAGCATTCCCTTTGAAAACTGGCACAAGACAGGGATGCCCTCTCTCACCAATCCTATTCAACATAGTGTTGGAAGTTCTGGCCAGGGCAATGAGGCAGGAGAAAGAAATAAAGGGTATTCAATTAGGAAGAGAGGAAGTCAAATTGCCCTGTTTGCAGATGACATGATTGTATATCTAGAAAACCCCACAGTCTCAGCCCAAAATCTCCTTAAGCTGATAGGCAACTTCAGCAAAGTCTCAGGATACAAAATCAATGTGCAAAAACCACAAGCATTTTTATACACCAATAACAGACAAACACAGAGCCAAATCATAAGTGAACTCCCATTCACAATTGCTTCAAAGAGAATAAAATACCCAGGAATCCAACTTACAAAGGATGTGAAGGATCTCTTCAAGGAGAACTACAAACCACTGCTCAAGGAAATAAAAGAGGATACAAACAAATGGAAGAACATTCCGTGCTCATGGATAGGAAGAATCAATATCGTGAAAATGGCCATACTGCCCAAGGTAATTTATAGATTCAATGCCATCTCCATCAAGCTACCAATGACTTTCTTCACAGAATTGGAAAAAACTACTTTAAAGTTCATATGGAACCAAAAAAGAGCCTGCATTGCCAAGTCAATCCTAAGCCAAAAGAACAAAGCTGGAGGCATCATGCTACCTGACTTCAAACTATACTACAAGGCTACAGTAACCAAAACAGCACAGTACTGGAACCAAAACAGAGATAGAGACCAATGGAACAGAACAGAGCCCTCAGAAATAATGCCGCATATCTACGACCACCTGATCTTTGACAAACCTGACAAAAACAAGAAATGGGGAAACAATTCCCTATTTAATAAATGGTGCTGGGAAAACTGGCTAGCCATATGGAGAAAGCTGAAACTGGATCCCTTCCTTACACCTTATACAAAAATTAATTCAAGATGGATTAAAGACTTACATGTTAGACCTAAAATCATAAAAACCCTAGAAGAAAACCTAGGCAATACCATTCAGGACATAGTCATGGGCAAGGACTTCATGTCTAAAACACCAAAAGCAATGGCAACAAAAGCCAAAATTGACAAATGGGATCTAATTAAACTAAAGAGCTTCTGCACAGCAAAAGAAACTACCATCAGAGTGAACAGGCAACCTACAAAATGGGAGAAAATTTTTGGTATCTACTCATCTGACAAAGGTCTAATATCAAGAATCTACAATGAACTCCAACAAATTTACAAGAAAAAAACAAACAACCCCATCAAAAAGTGGGTGAAGGACATGAACAGATACTTCTCAAAAGAAGACATTTATGCAGCCAAAAGACACATGAAAAAATGCTCATCATCACTGGCCATCAGAGAAATGCAAATCAAAACCACAATGAGATACTATCTCACACCACTCAGAATGGCGATCATTAAAAAGTTCGGAAACAACAGGTGCTGGAGAGGATGTAGAGAAACAGGAACACTTTTACACTGTTGGTGGGACTGTAAACTAGTTCCACCGTTGTGGAAGACAGTGTGGCAATTCCTAAAAGATCTAGAACTAGAATTACCATTTGACCCAGCCATCTCATTACTGGGTATATACCCAAAGGAATATAAATCATGCTGCTATAAAGACACATGCACACATATGTTTATTGCAGCACTATTCACAATAGCAAAGACTTGGAAGCAACCCAAATGTCCAACAATGATAGACGGGATTAAGAAAATGTGGCACATATACACCGTGGAATACTATGCAGCCATAAACAATGATGAGTTCATGTCCTTTGTAGGGACATGGATGAAGCTGGAAACCATCATTCTCAGCAAACTATCACAAGGACAAAAAACCAACCACCACATGTTCTCACTCATAGGTGGGAATTGAACAATGAGAACACATGGACACAGGAAGGGGAACATCACACACCAGGGCCGGTTGTGGGGTGGGGGGAGGGGGGAGGGATAGCATTAGGAGATATACCTAATGTTAAATGAGTTAATGGGTGCATCACACCAACATGGTTGTATACATATGTATACAACATGTGTATACATATGTAACTAACCTGCATGTTGTGCACATGTACCCTAAAACTTAAAGTATTAAAAAAAAATTAGCCAGGGATGATGGCAGATGCCTATAATCCCAGCTACTCAGAGGCTGAGGCAGGAAAATCAGTTGAACCCGGGAGGTGGAGGTTGCAGTGAGCCCAGAATGCGCCATTGCACTCCAGCCTGGGTAACCAAGCGTGACTCCATCTCAAAAAAAAAAAAAAAAAAAGAGTATATTCTATGTAATTGTTGATAGCATAATTCACTACTATGTGGATCAGAGAGCACAGGATTCAGAATGCATGAACATATCTTTAACACTTCAATACATTACTCATAATTACTGATGAACTAAAGAGAAACCAAGAAATTATGGTGATAGTTATATTTACCTGGAGAAATGTAGACATGAAAGAACAGTGAGATGAGAAATGTGTTAACACAGTCTGTAAACAGGAGAGTTTTTCAACAGATTTCTGGTCATGTAAGTCCATTTGTATCAGTTAATATTTAAAAGGTTTATGTACATGCAATCAACTGCACATACTTCAATTGTAAAAAAAAAGAAAAGTGAGATCCAAAGGACTCCTTTTTCTGAACAAATAATTTTTCATGAAAAAGAAAGATTTATGTATTATTGTCATTAATAAGGTTAGAATTTTTGGTTTCCTATGAAGTCCTAAAAATGTCTGCAGCTGTATCAATAACATTTCTTGTGCTAAATGCAAATAGTAAATATGTTTATGCCATTAATTTCACATAATAGTCGCACCGCTTTACAGACCTCATTTCCACACTTCCAATTATAAGCATATATTAAGTTGTTGTATTTGGTTCTGAATAGTCAAATCTGTTACACATTTTCAGGAAAACTTTAAGTAGAAATGCAGACAACTTTGTGCTACATTTACATGCTTAAAATGGTCACAGTGGGTTATTGTAATCTAAGGATCTTCCACTCAAGATGCAAAATCACATGTAATGATATTTTAAGAACATCTAACCCATCTGTGGTCCCCTTAGAAATCCAAGCACAAAACACTGAAAATGCTTTGAATGCTTTCCAGAAGGTCACATTTTCCAGCGAGAACATTTTCAGATGCTGTATTTATTAACGCGGTGACAGTTTTAAAGCAAAAGGAATAGTCTTAAATATTTTGCAAACTTGTTGTTGGAGACATGCAATCTAAGCATTCACGTATAAGGAACCTTGGGGTTGGGAACATGAGAAGGTCAACTCAGCAGTCAACACACGCCCAGGAGATGTGTAACCAGAGGCAGAGCCTGTGCTGCCCTTGCACTGAGGTCTCATGCTTCCCAACCAACTGTGCAGCAACTGGGCATTAGGACCTCCTATGTACCAGGCACCATCCTAGACACAAGGGAAGCAAATATGGTGAAAGCCTGGATCTGTTCTTTAGGCGTCAGAGTCCAGGGTTAGGAAACAGACACACTGGCAAAAGCATTTATGACCCTATTCAGCATCGTGCGCAGTGCTGAATTGCTGTGGTCTGCAGAGGAGGACACCCTCGTTCTCCTTGATGTGATAGTCACTTGTAATGCCACTGCTCACCTATTGACATATGCAAATCTCTATTATGTTTGAGGGAATTATTCCCCTATGAATCTTGCCTCTCTAAGGGAGAGCTCAGGAACTGCTTTCCAAGCTTTTATTGGCAACTCAGGCCCAGGTATGCCCTGGCTTTTTCCACTTGTGTACAGCGTTTTTAGATTCTGAGCACAGGGATGAAAGAGGGCAGTGCTGTGGGAGAGAGATCGGAACCCAGAGTTCAGAGGCCTCCTTGGAAGAGCCTGCCCTGCATTGCAGTGAGAGTCATGTGCCTGTGCCCATTGTGGAAGTAGCCGTATCTTCAGGGATACGATTTAGGTTTTGTTTTTGGCTAAGTATCCTTCAAGTCTGATTCTGTGGGCCTCCCCAGAGAAAAATTCCCCATAAAATAATGTAAAATGGCTCATGATTGCTGAGAGCTTGGCACGGTGCCAACATCTTTATGTGCAATTTCTCACTCAAGTATCACCAAACAATGTGAAGTCTTTTTAATGCCCATTTTTCAGATAAGGAAATGGAAGCAACATTAGAAATAGCAACATCAAAGAACTTGACTCACCTGAGCTCCTATATTTGTCCAAGTGAGCTGACTTAGCCCAGGTAGTCTATCCTCCAACGTGGCAAAGAAGCTGAAGAAGTGGAGGGTAAATGTGAGACCAAGACCAGCGAGCATCGAGGGTCAAGGCCAAGTTCAAGGGGCAGAAACGGGAAAACTGAAACTGAGTCAGGGCCTGGTGTTGATGTAGACGATCATGAGGCAGGTCAAGAGTGGCTGCCGTGGACGGGGCAGGAGAATCCACAGTGTGACTTCACGGCCTTGCTGTTTTCTCTGGAGACATACACATGACTTGGGTGTTTGCCTTCATGTGTTTTGGGGGACTGAATTCCTGTAAGATGGCGGAGCAGGGCCAGGAGGTGCAAGTGCCCTGCGTGACCTGGACCGTGCTTGACCTGGACCTTGAGTTACCTGGACCGTGCGTGACCTGGACCGTGGGTGACCTGGACCGTGCGTGACCTGGACCGTGGGTGACCTGGACCGTGTGTGACCTGGACCGTGGGTGACCTGGACCGTGGGTGACCTGGACCGTGCGTGACCTGGACCGTGGGTGACCTGGACCGTGTGTGACCTGGACCGTGGGTGACCTGGACCGTGGGTGACACTCGTTTTTGACTTGGCGACTTTCTCCCTGGCAGTTCTAGATTTGGGTCAGTGAATCCTAACTACACAAATATTTCAATTAAAAACAGCATCATGGTGACAGATAACTATAGATTTAGTCAGTCTAACCGCATATGGGGCATGACATGAAGAGTTAGAGTTGAGAAATTTCAACGAAGAATTCTAAGCTTCCCCATGGAGTATTGTTCATGGCTTTTAATGTACGTTTAAACTCAGTCACCCAAGGATTCGGGGATTAAGTGCATCTTTATACGTATAGCAGTTTATAGCTGCAGGATCAGCTTAATATGTTCATTTTGTGCTTTGGGAGGCAATCAATCCTCTGAATTGATTTTTGAAGTTGATCACAAGAATCTTTGATTCAAAAAGATTTTATTTTTTGACGCTATTGAATTTGGCAAATTCTGCCACACTTCCTTATTTTAACATTTCTGTCTTTGAATAGAAATGGTGATTTTATTACTTGTACTAATCTTAATTCTTTTTTATTCTTCTATGAGAACCTTCAGTTTAAATATGACATCGTCACTAGTTCACTTTCAGTATTCTACTAGCTCTTCATGTGTCACTCATAGACTCTATTCCTCTTTTCATTGCATTGTTCATGTGATAATTCCATGGCCTGAAAGGGTTAAATGTCTCCTGAAAGTATTCCACTGAAGCTGTGGGGTGTGCAGGAGGAGCTGTTAAGCGTGCCTGCCAACCCTGAGAAATAGCTCCTTGCCAGTGTTCAGGACACTGGACAACAGGTCTGGCCTCTGCCCTACTTTTGCCTGAAATTAGAAGAGGAGCTTTACCTCCCTGGTAGTTTTTTCCTCTCATCTACAGAAGAAGAGACTTGAAACACAGTGTAGATGCTTTCCAAGGTTCTTTCTGACTCTAGGTTTCTACCGTACTTCACAGCAAAGGCTGACATTGATGTGGAAAGTCACAACTTTGAGATTTTCATGACTGTATTTTCCTTCCACATTTCTTTTAGCAAATGGTAGAATGTTGACAGGAAGTCCATTAACAAAGTCAGGAAAAAACTCACCAAGTCTTAGCAGAAATTGTAACCTGGATTCATTCTCATTCTCCTAATAAGATGGTACCAGTGAGTGATAGTGTCGAGTAATAAATGAGAATGACTAAATAGGAGGCAGTACCAGCTGTCCAAGGTAGCACAAATTGGGTAGTTTGAGGCATGTGCTTGGAATGCAGGAACGACACCTGCCTTAGGAGGTGATGAGGTGGGTGGCAGCATGAACACTGTTACCATGATGTATGGATGGCGAGAAACAACACGCTCTCAGCACCTGAGTCAGGAACTGTTACCATTGCATGAGATGGTTGCACCCAGCCCACCCATGATAATCCTCACAGCCATCTCTGATGCAGGAGGAACTGGAGGTCATGATGCCGTCAGCACTTGTGCTTTAAATGGTGACTCTGTAAGGGTGAGTTACGAGGGGTCAGGTTACCTCTGAAAATCAGGTTTGGCAAAAACTCACTATGTCACAAGAGACTTTTTAGATGCTCAGGGAAGGCAATGGGCCTCTTCTCTTCCTCTTAATGTAGATCAGCTTGGAGCTGTGGTACACT